>NC_000007.14:97658294-97961324 GCF_000001405.40 Homo sapiens | reverse complement strand
ATGACAAATAATATCACAGTTTGTACACCCACTGTGATATTAAAAGTTATACCTCCCTCAGATATGGTGAATAATATCACAGGGTGTACCCTCTGTGGGATACTAGCAGTCATGTTTACCATGGATATTACAAAGAATATCACAGGTGTAAACACATGGGGTACGCCCACTGTGATATTAGGAGTTATGTCTCTCGAAGATATTAGAAATAATATCCCAGTGGGTGTACCCCATGTGTGTACACCCACTATGATACTTTAAGTAATATCTCTCTATAAGATTACAAATAATATCGAAGGGTGTACAGCTCCCGTGACATTAGGAGTAACATCCCCCTACAATATTGGGAACAATATCACATGGTGTACACCCCTGTAACGTTAGGGGTAACATCCCCCCAGAATATTACTAATAATATCACAAGGTGTACACGCATTGTGACATTAGTAGTAATATCCAGCTAGCATATTTTCAATAATATCACAGAAGGAACACACGTGTGACATTAAGAGTAACATCCCCCGAGAATACTTAGAATAATATCACAGGGTGTACACCCCCTGTGACATTAGGAGTATCATCTCGCTAGAATATTATGAATAATGTCACTGGGTGTTATCTTCTGTGACATTAGGAGTATAGACCCCTGGAAAATTATGAATACTTTCACAGGGTCTACACCCCTGTGACATTAGGAGTAACATCCTTCTAGAATACCACGAATCATATCACAATGTGTACACCCCCTGAGTCATTAAAAGTAAAACTGTCCTAGGACATTACGAAATAGAACACAGGGAGTACACCCCGTGTGACATTAGAAGTAACATCCCCCTAGGATATAATGAAGAATATCAGAGAATGTACCTGCATTGGGACATGAGTAGTAACATCTTAGGATAATACGAAGAATATCAAAGGGTGTACACACATTGTGAAATTACTAGTGAACTCCCGCAAGGATATTACGAATTTTATGACAGGTCCGACTCGCCCTGTGACATTAGTAGTCACCTATTCCTACAATATTATGAAGAATATTAAAGGGTGTATAGGACCTGTGACATACGAGTAATATTTCTAGAGAATATGACACGTAATATCACCGTGTGTACACCCCGTGTGACATTAGCAGTAACATCCCACAAAACTATAACGAAAAATTTGACAAGGTGTACACCCTCTGTGACATTAAAAGTAACATTTCCCTAGAATATGACGATATTATCACAGAGTGTACACCCTCTGTGATATGAGGAGTGACATCTTCTAAAAACAATACAAGGAATTTGACAGGGTGTAGAAAACCTGTGACATAAGGAGTGACATCCCCCAAGTATATTACCAATAATATCAAAGGGAAAATACACCGTGTGACAATAAACTAACTTCCCCTTAGGAGACTAAGAATAACACCCCAAGGTGTACACACATTGTGACATTCTTTTTATTGTCCCGCTAGGATATTATGAATAATACAACAGGGTACAGAGTCCTGTGAAATCAGGATTAACATTCCCCTAAAATATTACGAACATCGCAGGGTGTATCCCTCCTGTGATTTTAACAGTCGCATCTTCCCAAAATACGGAAAATAATGTCCCAGGGTGTCAACCAAGTGTGGCAGTAGAGAAAATCTCCCAGGAGTAAGGTATTAATAACCCCCCACGATGCGGGCAGTAATATCGCCCCCCTCTCCCACCCTGGATATTACGATCCACATCGCAGGGGGGCGAGGGTGCCCACCGAGATGCGGTGAGTAATATAAGCCCCCTCTCCCCCCCTGGATATTAGGACCCACATCGCAGGGAGGCGGAGGCCCCCCTCGATGCGGGAAATAATCTCACCCCCCTCTCTCCCCTGGATATGACGATCCATATCTCATGGGGGCAGGCGTCCCCGCCACTCGGGGAGTAATATCACCCCCCATTCCCCACATGGATACGAGGATCCACAACGCAGGGGGGCGGGCGACCCCCCCCCCATGCGGGGAGTAATATCACCCCCATCTCCCACCCTGGACAAGACGATCCACATCGCAGGGGGACGGGCGCCCCCGCGACGCGGGGAGTCATATCAACCCCCTCTCACACCCTGGATATGACGATTCACATGGCAGGGGGGCGAGGCGCCCCCCGCGATGTGGGGAGTAAGAGCCAGCCCCTCTTCCCCCCCTGGTTTTTAGGATCCGCGGTGGACTCACAGCCTGTTTACCATATTGTGAGCAATATCACCTCCTTGTCTGGAGATTATGATCTGTTTCACAGACGGGTGTACACCCGTCTGTATTGGGAGTAATATCATCCTCTTCCTCCCTGAATATTAAGAAGAGTATCACAGGGGTGTTTCCACTCCCTCGGATATCGCGTGTCATATCCTCCTCTCCCACGTTGCAATTAGAAACAATATCAGTGGGGGCGTGTCCAGCTTCTGTGATATTGAAAGTAATGTCATCCTCTTCCCTCCAGGATCATGGGAACAATATCCCTGGGGGGTGTCCACTTTCTGCCATATACGTAGTCATATCACCCCCTCCGCCTTGGAATATTATGAAGGACCATCTCACACTGGGGTGTATACTTTCTGCGATATTGGGAGTAATATCAACCTCTCGGCCTCTGAATATTAGGAAGAATATCACAGGGTGGGTGTATACCTCCTGCTCTATTATGGGGAGTCATATCTATCTATTATGGGGAGTAATATCATCCTCTCCCTTTCAGGATATTAATAACAATTTCACAGGCTGAGTGAACACAGCCTGCGATGCTGGAATTATTATCACTCTCTCCCCCTCGGGATACTAGGAAGAATATCACAGAAGAGTTGTACACTCCCTGCGATATTGGGAGTAATATCATATGCTTCTTCCGTGAATATTAGGAGCGATATCACTCGGTGGCTGTACATTGATTGCTATGTTGGCAGTCATGTCATACTCTACCCGCTGGGTATTAGGATCGGTGTCACAGGGTGAGTGTACACCTACTGCGATATGAAAATTAATATCATGCTCTCCATCCCTGGATATTAGGAACAATATCACAGGTAGGTGTACACCCTCTGTGGTGTTAGCAGTAATAATATTCTGAATTATTAAACATCAGTCTTATTAATAATTATCAATGGTAATATTAATTAACAGTATAACGTTATTAATCATTAATGATTATTTCAAGATATGATTATGCATGATTAAAATTAATTATTAATGTCACTTTTTATATTAGTTATTAATCTTAATATTAATTATTGTTTTATTACCAACATCACTTATGATTGAAGTAACATTAATTAGTGATATCATTATTTTATTATTAATAGTGATATTACTATTATTTATAGTAACCATTAATGTTTTTCATCCGTACTAAGTTTTACTGTCTCTACTGTAATTATTAATATTGATGATTACTATTAATTGTTATTATATTTATTAATATTAATAATTAATAGAACTGTTCCCGATATCCGTGGGAGAGAGGATATTACTCCCAATATCGCAGAAAGTGTACACCCCTCTATGATGTTACTCCTAATAGCCGGGGGGTAGAGGATGACATTATTGAAAATAGCGCAGTGGGTGTACATCCCTTCGGTCATCTTGTTCCTAATATCGTGGGGTGGGAGCGGATGGTATGACTCCCAATATCGCAGGGGGCAGAGACCTCCCCTGTGATACTGTCCCTAACATCCAAAGGTGGAGAGGATGATATTTCTTCCAATTTCGCCGGGGGTGCACAACACCCTTGTGATATTGATCCTAATATCCAGGCGGCGAGAGGATGATATTAGTCTGAATATTGCAGGATGTGTACACTCCCTAGGGATATTGTTCCTAATATCCAGGGACGGAGAGGATGATATCACTCCCAATATAGCCGGGGGTGTACACCCCTTGTGTGACATTGCTCCTAAAGCGCAGCGGGGGAGAGGAAGATATTACAGCCAATATCGCAGGGGATGTACACCCCCTTGTGACATTCTTCCTTCTATCCTGGGAGGGAGAGGAACATACTAGCGGCAATGTCGCAGGGGCTGTACACACTCACTGTGATATTGTTCCGAATATCCGGAGGGGGAGAAAATGATGTTACTTCCAATATCGCAGGGGGTGTACATCCTCCTGTGATATTGTTTCTTATATTCAGCGGGAGAGGATGATATTACTCCGAATATCGCAGGGGTTGTACACACCTCCTGCGATACCGGGAGTAAGAGCCAGCCCCTCTCCCCTCCTGGCTCTTAGGAGCCCCATCGCAGGGGTTGAGGCCCCACCCCGGGGTACGGGGAGTAAGAGCCAGCCCCTATCACCCCCTGGCTCTTAGGACCCCCATCGCAAGGGGGTGAGGCCCCCGCGATGCGGGGAGTCATATCACCCCCCTCTGGATATGACGATTCACGTCGCAGGGGGGCGGGCACCCCCTGCGATGCGGGGTGTCACATCGCCCCCCTCTCCCCCCCTGGATATGACGATCCACGGTGATCACACAGCGTGTTCACGTTATTGTCAGTAATATCTTCTCCGCCTCTGGAAATTACCAACTATGTCGCAGACGGGTGCACATCCTCTGCGCTCTTTGGAGTAATAGCATCCTCTTTCCCCTTGATATTAAGAACAATATCACAGGAGTGTTTTTACCCCTAGGGGCATTCCGTGTAGTATCATCCTCTCCCACGTTGAAATTAGGAACAATATCACTGGGGGCGTGTCCACCCCATGCGATATTGAAAGTAACATCATCCTCTTCTCTCCTGGATCATGGGAACCGTATCACTGGGGTTGTGTACACTTTCTGCGGTATTGGGAGTAAGATCATCCTCTCCGCCTTGGAATATTAAGGACCATATCACAGTGGGGCTGTACACACCCTGTGCTATGAAGAAGAGTATTATCCTCCCCTGCCCTGCACATTGGAAAAAATATCACAGAGTGGGTGTACACCTCCTGCGATGGGGGGGTGATATCATCTCTTCTTCTGGATAATAGCAACAATAGTACACAGGTTTGTACACTTTCTGTGATATTGGGAGTAATATCAACCTCTCCACCTTTGAATATTAAAAACAATATCACAGACTGGATGTACACCCCCTGCGATATTGGGAGTCATATCAGCCTCTCCTCTCCGTGGATGTTAGGAATAATATCCCAGGATGGGTGTACACCTCCTGCTGTATGGGGAGTCATATCGTCCTCTCACTTCCTGGCTGCTAGGAACAATATGAGAGGGTGGGTGTACACAGCCTGCGATATTGCGAGTAATATCACCCTCTCCCCCTCCGGATATTAGGAACAATGTCACAGAAGAGGTGTACACTTCCTGAGATACTGGGAGTAATAGCATTCTCTTCTTCCGGGAATATTAGGAGGAATATCACCGGGTGGATGCACACCCACTGCTATCTTGGGAGTAACGTCATACGCCACCCCCTGGAGATGATATTCGGATCAATATCACCGGGTGGGTGTACACCTACTGCGATATTGAACGTCATATCATGCTCTCTCCCTCCCTGGACATTAGGAACAATATCACTGGTGGGTGTACACCCACTGAGGTATTAGGGATAATATTCATATTAATTCTTCCTCATTTATAACATGAATATGTATTACCAATATTAATATTAATATTAAGAAATCATTGCTAAAAATAGTGTTCAGATTATTAATATTACTGTTAATTATTAGGAGCTAATATGACAGTTTTCTAATGAATAAGATCAATATCACTCTTTAAGACCAGGCGTCATTAATCATTAATATTCATCATTTATTGTTATCGTGAGTATAACTCTTTAATACGAATTATCATTATTATCGGTATTGATTTTAAGAATTATATGATCAGTTATTAATATTGATAATTATCAGTATCAATTAATAATTGAGATTATTAATTGCGGTAAGTAACATTGCGCCATTCCACCCCTCCCTCGGCAACCCGTTTACGACCCAAAACAGGGATCCAAACGCCCCTGAGAGAGCAGCGGTATACTGGGAGAGAGGAGGATGGTCACGTGGTGGAGAGACGTGTTTTTGTGTACCAGCCCTTCACCTTTGCCGACCTTCTCAACTGGGAAAACAATACCCCGTCCTAGAGCGAAAAGCCGCAAGCACTAATTGATTTGCTCCAAACTGTTATCCAGACCCACAACCCCACCTGGGCTGATCGCCACCGGTTGCTCATGTTACTCTTTAAGAGAGATGAAAGGCAAAAGGCGGAGAGGGCTCCACGTAGCAACTAAGTGGCTAGAGGAACATACACCAGCTGATTATCAAAAACCCCAAGAGTATGGAAGGACCCAGTTACCAGGAACCCACCCCCAGTTGGACCCACACGAAAGAGAGGATATGCAAAGGCTAAACTGAGACAGGGAAGCTCTCTTGGAAGGATTCAAGAGGGGAGCTCAGAAGGCCACAAACGTTAACAAGGTCTCTGAGGTCATTCAGGGAAAAGAAGAAAGTCCAGCACAATTCTACCAGAGACTGTGTGAGGCCTATGGTATGTATACTCCCCTTGATCCTGATAACCCTGAAAATCAGCGCATGATTCACATGGCTTTAGTCCGTCAAAGCGCGGAAGACGTTAGAAGAAAACTGCAGAAGCAGGCTGGGCTTGCAGGGATGAATACATCACATTGATGAGAAATAGCTAAGCAGGTGTTTGTAAACAGGGATGCAGTAAGCCGCGAGGGAAAGTGCAAAGAGAATGAAGGTCAGGCCCGGTGAAACGCTGACCTGTTTGTTAGCTGCAGCAATCAGAGCTGTCCCCTCAAAGAAGCAAGGGAAGGGGGGCCCTGGGAAAGAAACTCAGCTTGGCTGTCAGAGTTTGCAGCGTCACTAGTATGCTTATTGTAAAGAAATAGGATAGTGGAAGAACAAATGCCCTGAGCTCAAAAGAAAACAAGGTGACTCAGAGCAGGAGGCCCCGGACAAGGAGGAAGGGGCCCGGCTCAACCTGGCAGAAGGGTTATCGGACTGAGGGAAACCAGGCTCAAGTGTTCTCAAAGAGCCTCTGGTCAGAATGACAGTCGAGGGTAGAGACATTGTTTTTCTTGTAGATAGCGGTGCTGAACATTCGCTAGTAGCCGCCCCGGTCGCCCCCTTATCCAGAAAGACTATTGACGTCACCAGAGCCACGGGGGTTTCAGCAAAGCAAGCTTTCTGCTTGCCTGGGACTTGCACTGTAGGAGGACATCAAGTGATTCATCAGTTTTTGTACATGCCTGGCTGTCCCTTGCCCTTGTTGGGAAGGGACTTGCTTAGCAAGCTGAGAGCTGCTCTCTCTTTGACAGAACACAGCTCTTTGCTGCTAAAGTTACCCACCACGGGAGTCATTATGACCCTTACGGTCCCCCGAGAGGAGGAATGGAGACTTTTGTGAACTGAGCCAGGCCAAGAGAGAAGACCAGCTCTGGCTAAGCGGTGGCCAAGAGTACAGGCAGAAGACAACCCTCCAGGGTTGGCCAGTTAAGACTGGGGCCCAGCCGCTTAGGCAAAAACAGGACCCGGTCCCCAGAGAAGCTCTTCAAGGTATCCAGGTCCTTCTTAAGCACCTAAGAACTTTGGGTATGATAGTTCCTTGTCAGTCTCAACGGAACACTCCCCTCCTGCCTGTTCCCAAGCCATGGACCAAGGACTACAGGCCGGGACAGCATTCACGCTTGCTTAGTCAAGCTACCCTGACTTTCCATCCAACAGTACCTAGCCCGTCCACATTGTTGGGGTTGCTGCCAGCCGAGGACAGCTGGTTCACCTGCTTGGACCTGAGAGACGCTTTCTTTCCTATCAGATTAGCCCCGGAGAGCCAGAAGCTGTTTGCCTTTCAGTGGGAAGATCCGGAGTCAGGTGTCACTACTCAGTACACTTTGACCGAGCTTCCCCAAGAGTTCAAGAACTCCCCCACCATCTTCAGGGAGGCGTGGGCTCGAGACCTCCAGAAGTTTCCCACCAGAGACCTAGGCTGCGCGTTGCTCCGCTAGGTTGATGAGCTTTTGCTGGGACACCCCACGGCAGTCCGGTGCGCCAAGGGAATGGATTGCCCTACGCCAACACCTGGAGGACTGTGGGTGTAAGGCGTCCAAGAAGAAAGCTCAGATCTGCCTACAGCAGGTACGTTCCTTGGGATTTACTATCCGACAGGGGCAACGCAGCTTGGGATCAGAAAGAAAGCAGGTCATTTGTAATCTAGCAGAGCCTAAGAGCAGAAGGCAGGTGAGAGAATTCTTAGGAGCTGTGGGATTTGTAGACTGCGGATCCCAAACTTTGCAGTATTAGCCAAGCCTTTGTATGAGGTCACCAATGGGGCGGGGACCGGGAACTTTTTGAATGGGGATCCCAACAACAGCAAGTCTTTCATGAGTTAAAGGAGAAACTTATGTCAGCCCCAGCCCTGGGGCTACCCTATCTGACAAAGCCTTTTACATCCTATGTGTCAGAGAGAGAGAAAAGATGGCAGCCGGACTTTGAACCCAAACTGTGTGGCCCTGGCTGAGGCCGGTGGCCTACCTCTCCAAACAACTAGATGGGGTCTCTAAAGGATGGCCCCTGTGTTTGAGGGCCTTGGCAGCAACTGCCCTGCTAGTACAAGAAGCAAAGAAGCTGACTCTTGGGCAGAACCTGAACATAAAGGCCCCCCATGCTGTGGTGACTTTAATGAATACTAAAGGACATCATTGGCTAACGAATGCCAGACTCACCAAGTACCAAAGTTTGCTCTGTGAAAATCCCCATATAACCATTGAAGTTTGTAACACCCTACACCCCGCCACCTTGCTCCCGCTATCAGAGAGCCCTGTCGAGCATGATTGTGTAAAATTGTTGGACTCAGTTGACTCTAGCAGACCTGACATCCGGGACCAGCCTTGGGCATCAGTAGACTGGGAACTATACGTGCATGGGAGCAGCTTCTTCAACCCCCAAGGAGAGAGAGTTGCAGGGTATGCAGTGATAACCCTGGACACTGTTGTTGAAGCCAGATCGTTGCCCCAGGCCACTTCAGCCCAGAAAGCTGAACTCATTGCTTTCATTCGGGCCTTAGAACTCAGTGAGGGTGAGACTGTCAACACTTACACTGATTCTTGGTATGCCTTTTTAACCCTTCAAGTGCATGGAGCATGCTAGAAAGAAAAGGGCCTATTGAACTCTGGGGGAAAAGGCAGAAAATATCAACCAGAGATCTTCCATTTATTAGAAGCAGTATGGAAACCCCACAAGGTGGCAGTTATGCATTGCAGGGGACACCAGCGAGCTTCCACCTTGGTGGGCTTGGGGAATTCCCGCACTGACTCAGAGGCTCGAAAAGCAGCATCTGCCCCTTTCCAGGCATCAGTCACAGCTCCTCTGCTCCCTCAAGCACCTGATCTTAGACCTGCTTATTCTAAAGAAGAAAAGGACTTTCTCCAGGTAGAGGGACAAGTGATGGAAGAAGGATGGATTCGGTTACCAGATGGGAGAGTAGCTGTGCCACAGCTGCGAGGAGCTGCAGTTGTACTGGCTGTGCAAGAAACCACCCATCGAGGTCAGGAGTCACTGCAAAAAGTTGTTAGGCCGGTATTTCTACATCTCGCCTTTCTCAGCCCTTGCCAAAACAGTGAGGCAGTGATGTGCCAGCTGCCGACAGCATGATACGAGGCAAGGTCTAGCCATTCCACCCGGCATACAAGCTTATGGAGCGGCCCCCTTTGAAGATCTCCAGGTAGACTTCACAGAGATGCCAAAGTGTGGAGGTAACAAGTATTTACTAGTTCTTGGGTGTACCTACTCTGGGTGGGTGGAGGCTTATCTAACACAAACTGAGAAAGCTCGTGAAGTAACCCGTGTGCTTCTTCGAGATCTGATTCGTAGATTGGGACTGCCCTTCTGGATCGGCTCAGATAACGGGCCTGCGTTTGTGGCTGACTTGCTACAGAAGACGGCAAAAGTATTGGGGATCACACGGAAACTGCATGCCGCCTCCCGGCCTCAGAGTTCCGGAAAGGTGGAGCGGATGAATCGGACTATCAAAAATAATATTATTGTCTTCCCCGCTGGATATGTAAAACAACACCACGAGGGGCATCAAACCACCTGCTACATTGGAGGGAATCTTATCCTCTCCCCACCTCCTCCGGTCCCGGATATTAGAGGCAATAACACAGGGGTAATGTACACCCACTGCTTTATTGGGAGTAATGTCATCCTCTGCCTTCTTGGATATTAGGAACAATATCACAGTGTGCGTGTATGCCTGTCGCGAAATTCAATGGAATGTCATCCTGTGCCTCCCTGGATATGACGAACAATATCACGGGGGATGTACAACTTCTGAGATATTGGGAGTGATCTCATCCTCTCCCCTCTGGAAGTTAGGGACAATATCACAGGGGTAGTGTACACCTTCTGTGACGTTGGGACTAATATCATCCTCCCGCCTCCTGGATATTAAAAACCATGTCACAAGGGGCGTGTACACACACTTCGATATTGGTATGAATGCCATCCTCTCCCTCTTTGGATATTCGGTGCCATGTTTCAGGTGGGGTTTACACCACCCGCAATATTGGAAGTCATGTTACTTTCTCCCCCCCCCGGATATTAGAAAGAGTATCACAGGGGGGTGTGAACAACCCTTGCGATATTTGGAGTCATATCTTCACCTCCCCTCAAGAATATTAAGAACAATATCTTAGGGGTGGGGGTTGTACACCCCCTTTCATATTCGATATCATCCTCTTCCCCCCTGGATATTAGGAACAATATCAGGAAGGGACGTACAGACCCTGCGACATTTGCTGTCATGTAATTGTCTCTCCCCTAGATATTAGGAAAAATGTCACTGGGGATGTGAACACCTCTGCGATATTGAGAGTAGTATCATCCTCTCCCCCCTTGCATATTGGGAACAATATCACAGGTGGGGCGTACTGCCTCTGTGATATTGGGAGTACAGTTATCCTCTCTTCCCCTGGATACTAGGAAGGGTATCAGAGGGGGAGGGTGTACATTCCCTGCGATATTCAATGTCACCTTATCCTCTCCCTCCCAGGGTATTCAGAACAATAGGACAGGGGGGTGTACACCCTCTGCGAAATTGGGAGTCATATCATCCTCTTTCGCTCTGGATATTAGGAACAATATCACAGGGTTGTGTACCCCCCCTGCGATATTGGGAGTCATATCATCCTCTCTCCCTGTGGATATTAGGAAGAGTATCACAGGGCTGTGTAAACCCCCTGCAGTACTGGGAGTAATATCATCCTCTCGCCCTCTGGATATGAGGAAAATTTTCACAGGGGTGTGAACACTCCCTGCGATATTGGGAGTAAGATCATCCTCTCCACCCAGGAAATGACTAACAAGGTCACGGGGGGGTGTACTTCCCCTGCGATATTGGGAGTAATGTCGTCCTCCCCAAACCTGGATGTTAGCAATGAGATCACAGAGGGGGTGTACACACCCTGCGACATTGGAAGTAATATGATCCTCTCCCCAACTGGATACTGGGAAAGATACCACAGCGCGGGTATACGTTTCCTACGCTGTTGGGAGTAATATCATTCTCTTCCTTTCTGGATATTAGGGAGAATATCACAGGGGTGCTGTACAATTACTTCGACATTGGGAGAAACATCATCCTCTATTTTCCTGGATATTGGGCACAAAAACACAAAAGGGTGTACAACCCCTGCGATGTTGGGAGTAATAGCATACTCTCCTTCCCTGGATGTTAGAAAACAACATCATAAAGGCTGAACACCCCCCGCGATAATGGGAGTCATGTTTACTCTTTCACAGGCCATTTGGAACAATATCATCAGGGGTGTTTACAAACAGGGGTGGTGTACACCCCCTGTGATATTGGGAGTAACATCATTCTCTCCACCTCCGGATATTAAGAACAATATCCCGGCGGGAGGTGGTACACCCCCAGTGATATTGCGAATAATGTCATCCTCTCCTTCCCTGGATATTAGGAACATATCACAGGGGGGTGTACACCTTCTGTGATATTGGAAGCAATATCATCCTCTCCCCCGCTGGATATTAGAAAAAAATATCACTCACGGTGTACACCCACTGTGATATGAGGAGTAATATCTTCCTAGGGTATTATGAATAATTTCACTGTCTGTACACACATGGTGTACACTCACTGTCATATTAGGAGTAATATCTACCTAGTAGATAACAAATAACATCGCAGTGTGTACACCCACTTTGATATTAGCTGTAATATTTTTCTAAGTTGTTACAAATAAGATCATAGAGTGTACAAACATGGTGTACACTCACTGTGATATCAGGAGTCATATCTCTGTAATATATTATGAATAATATCACAGGGTGTACACCCACTGTATTATTAGGAGTAATATCTCTGTAGGATATTACAATTAAGATCACAGGGTGTAGAGCCACCGTGATATTAGGAGCAATATCTTTCTAGGATATTACAAATAATATCACAGGGTGTACGTCCACTCTGCTGTCAGGAGCAATATCTCCCTAGGATATCAAAGATCCTATCACAGGGTGTCCAATCTCTGCCTTCCAGGCTCTAAGGGATTCTCCTGCTTCAGCCTCCCGAGTAGCTAGGGTTACCCGCCACCATGCCCGGCTAATGTTTTTTTATTTTCACTGGAGACGGGGTTTCACCACGTTGGCCAGGCTGGTCTGGAACTCCTAACCTCAGGTGATCCATCAGCCTCGGCCGCCCAAAGTTCTGGGACTACAGGTGTGAGCCATGGTGCTGGGCCAAGAGTTATATATTCAATTCATTTGGAAACACAGCTCCCATCTTTGAGTGTGCATGTACTTTTATGAAGAAATGATGTCAGAAAACTGAAGGATGATAATAAATACGAAAAGTAACAGGCATGTGAAAAGGTCTTCCGATTGAGAACTATAAGGTTTGATTTCGTTTTCAGATAATGGGTTCCTAGCTCTTGTGTCGTCCTTTTACATATTCTACATCAATGGAAGTTGTAGCACGGTGTCAGAATAAAGTAGAGTGTATTTCACGGCTTCTTAATTTCTTTCAATTAGACTGAGATCTTTTTCTTAAAGCGAGAAGGACATTGTCATTGCATTGTATTTTTTCTGAAAAGAGTAGGCCGTATTTTACTGAGATCACGGATTTGTTATATATGATGTTTTGGTCTTCTAATATTCTTCAGTGGATTTTCTCTAAAGTAGTATGTACAGAAAGCCTTGTATAGCAAAAGAGTAAATCACGTAATAATTCTGAGATTTTTTGGAATTGTCATAACTGAGAAACATTGCTGGCGGTGTATGGTCCGCAAGTGTGAAAATGTTCCTTGTGAATTGCTTGCATCCAGCATTAAGGACTGGTTTTTATCTTTTATTTTTCCAATCCTCTTTCCTTCTCAAGGTGTCCAAGACACACAGAGCCACAGAATCTCACAGATGTCTGAGAATTCCTCCTCCTGGGACTCTCAGAGGATCCAGAACTGCAGCCGGTCCTCGCTTTGCTCTCCCTGTCCCTGTCCATGTATCTGGTCATGGTGCTGAGGAACCTGCTCAGCATCCTGGCTGTCAGCTCTGTCTCTCCCCTCCACACCCCCACCTGTGCTGGGCTGACATCGGTTTCACCTTGGCCACGGTTCCCAAGATGATTGTGGACATGCAGTCGCATAGCAGAGTCATCTCTCATGCGGGCTGTCTGACGCAGATGTCTTTCTTCATCCTTTTTGCATGTATAGAAGGCATGCTCCTGACTGTGATGGCCTATGACTGCTTTGTAGCCATCTGTCGCCCTCTGCACTACCCAGTCATCGTGAATCCTCACCTCTGTGTCTTCTTCGTTTTGGTGTCCTTTTTCCTTAGCCTGTTGGATTCCCAGCTGCACAGTTGAATTGTGTTACAATTCACCATCATCAAGAATGTGGAAATCTCTCATTTTTTCTGTGACCCCTCTCAACTTCTCAAACTTGCCTGTTCTGACAGCGTCATCAATAGCATATTCATATATTTCGATAGTACTATGTTTGGTTTTCTTCCCATTTCAGGGATCCTATGGTCTTACTATAAAATCATCCCCTCCATTCTAAGGATTTCATCATCATATGGGAAGTATAAAGCCTTCTCCACATGTGCCTCTCACCTAGCAGTTGTTTGCTGATTTTATGTAACAGGCATTGGCATGTACCTGACTTCAGCTGTGTCACCACCCCCCAGCAATGGTGTAGTGGCGTCAGTGATGTATGCTGCGGTCACTCCCATGCTGAACCCTTTCATCTACAGCCTGAGAAACAGGGACATACAAAGTGCCCTGCGGAGGGTGCTCAGCAGAACAGTCGAATTTCATGATCTGTTCCATCCTTTTTCTTGTGTGGGTGAGAAAGGGCAACCACATTAAATCTCTACATCTGCAAATCCTGCCCCTTAGTCACATTATTTTTGTGGCTTGATGGCTTTTATTCCTTTCCGCATTTCCTTTGTGAATATTGCTTTCTTCGTTATGCCTTTAACTGGAATGGGTGAGGATTCTGGGATCCTTTGTTTAGCAGAAACCTCATGACTGAATCCTCTATACCTAGGCAGCCTCTTTTAGTTTCTGAGTAATAACCCTGTCATCCAGGTGGAATCACAACCATCTTTTTATATACACGAAGTCCTCACTTCGTTTTGGAATTCCCTGAAAACTGACTTTATGGAAACAATGTACAGGAGGTCCTCCAACACCATTGGTTGTTCAAAGTTGTGTAGTTATACTGTTGATAAAAAATAAGTGGTTTCACTATACATCATTTTGCTTCGAGGTGAAGTTTCCAAGAGACTTTCAAAGATGTTAAGTGAGGACATACTGTACATCAAATTCATATCCTCTTCCACAGTTCATCTGGAATTTCTTTATAAACTGCTTCTAGAGAATCTATTTAGGCAGGTTATGTGTAGAGATCCATGTCGCCCTTCCTCAATCTTGGTTTTGAGTCAACTCACCTGGGGAGCTTACAAATGATGAGGCCCTGGGTCTCAATACCTGAGATTCTGATTTCCTTGCACCTGTGTGAGCATGTGGATTTTTTTTTTTTCTTTTAAAGCACCAGAGGTGGTTCCAATGATGAAGTTTTTGGAGGCATCAAGCTCCAATGTGTAAGAACAGAAATTAATTGTAATATGATTTCTTCAAATATTATCTTCAAATGCATTGTCCATCAACACCATACAAATGTTTATTATGCTGTTTTTTCTTACCATTTCGCATTTTCTATTTCTTTCTTTTCCTTATTTTTTGAGTCAGAGTTTCACTCTTGTTGCCCAGGCTGGAGTTCAATGGCACAGTCTTGGCTCACTGCAACCTCTGCCTCCCGTATTCAAGCAATTCTCCTGTCTCAGCCTTCCAAGTAGCTGGGATTACAGGCATGCGCTAACATGCCTGGCTAATTTTTTTTTTTTTGTATTGTTAATAGGGACAGTGTTTCTCCATTTTGGTCAGGCTGGTCTTGAACTCCCGACCTCAGGTGATCCGCCCGCTTCTGCCTCCCAAAATGCTGGGATTACAGGCATGAGCGACCGCGCCCAGCCAGCACTCAGCATTTATATTTTACATTTGTTGAAGTTGTAGATTTATACACACATTGATTGCTGCTTTGTTATACACTTGCATATACATAAGATGGGAAATAGAAAAGAATAAAATGGACACAGTATCCCTGAGGTTTCACATTCTGAGACATTTTAAAAATATTTTCTCTTCAGAAATTTGTTTCAATGAAGAAACTGTGGTATACACACCCAATGAAGTATTATTCAGCCTAAAAAGGAAGAAACTCCTCTCCGCTGCAGACAAAATGGATGAGATTGCAGGTCTGTATATTAAAGGAAAGAAGCCAGGCACAGAATGACAAATATTTCATGTCCTCACTTCTATGTAGGAAGAAAAAAGACACCTTGGCCAGGTGTGGTGGCTCAGGCCTGGAATCCCAGCACTCTTGGAGGCCGAGTCGCACGGATCACTTGAGTCCAGGAGTTCGAGACCCGCCTGGCCAACATGGTGAAACCCCGTCTCTACGGAAAACACAAACAATGAGCCGGGCATGGTGACGCATGCCTGTAGTCTCAGCTACTCAGAGGGCTGAGGCCCAAGAAGTGCTTGAACTCGGGAGACAGAGCTTGCAGTGAGCCCGGATTTTGCCTGTGTACTCCAACCTGGGCAACAGAAAGAGACTCCATCACCCACCTACACACAATAGGAATCTCAGGAAGGTGGAAAGTATAAAGGTGATCAGCAGACACTAGGAAGAAAAGGGGTGGGATAGGGAATGAAGACAAGTGGATAATTGTGTCCCAAAATACAGAAAGATGGAACAAGTGAGTTCTAGTGTTTGATAGTACAGTATGAAAATTTTAGTTCACAAGAATTGCTTGCATATTTCCAGATGCTTTGGTAAGAAGCTTCCTAACTTTCTCATTATGCTGGTTTTTAAGCTCTTCTCTTTCCACTCTTGAAATCATGCTGGTTTTTTGTTTTTTGTTTTGAGATGGAGTTTCACTCTTATTGCCCAGGCTGGAGTGTCATGGTGCAATCTTGGCTCACCGTAACCTCTGCCTCCTGGGTTCAAGCGATTCTCCTGCCTCCACCTCCCTAGTAGCTGGGATTACAGGCATGCGCCAGCACGCCCAGCTAATGTTGTATTTCTAGTAGAGACGGGGGTTTCTCCCTGTCGGTCAGGCTGGTCTTCAACTCCTGACCTCAGGTGATCCACCCGCCTCGGCCTCCCAAAGTGCTGGGATTACAGGCGTGAGCGACCGCGCCCGGACCATGCTGTATCCTTATCTGTTGTCTGTTGTTGTTTGTTTGTTTTGGAGCCCAGAAATAACTTCTCACCTATATGTTCAAATGATTTTTCACATGAGTGCTAAGAAAGCTCATTGGTGGAAAAGCAGCCTTTTCAAGAAATGGTGTTGGAGAAACTTGATTTCCACATGCAGAAGAATGAAGGTGGACCCTATGTCACACCAGGTGCAAAAATTAACACAAACTGGATCAAAGGCCTCACCCCAAGGGCTAAAAGTATCATACGCCTAAAAGAAAACATTGGCCACGCTTTCATGACATCAGATTGGGCAATGTTCTCTGGGATATGACACCAAAAGCATAGGCAACAAAAGAAAATTAGATTCCTTGGATTACATCTAAATGACAGACACTTTTGTGCAGCAAAAAACACTGTGAACTGAGTGAAAAGATAACCCATGGATTAGGAACAATATTTGCAAAGCATATATCTGAAAAGAGGCTGATATCCATCATATATAAAGAACAGCTACAACTAAACAACAAGAAACCCAAAGCATCCCATCAACAATGGTCAGAAGACTTGAGTAGACGTGTTCCTAAAGAAGATATAGCAATGGCCAATAAGCATCTAAAATGATGTTCAAAGTCACTCATCATAGGGAAGCACAAATCAAACCAAGAATGTCATACCACACATTAGGATGGATATGATAAACAAAAAAGCATTGGTGAGACTAGAGGGAAGTAGGAATGCTCGAATATGATTGGAGGGAATGTAAAACCATGAAGGAACGGGGAAAATAGTATGGCATCTACTGGAAAATTTAGAAACAGAATGATCAGATGTTCCCGCAGTTTCATTTGTGGGTACCTACCAAAAAGAATTAGAAGCCAGGAGTGGAAGACAGATTTGTGTACACCCATATTCATAGCAGCATTAGTCACAACAGCCAAAATGTGGAAGCAACCCAAGGGTTCATGGACAGATGAATGAAAAAGCACACTGCAGTTCCTTTATACAATGGAAGACTATTCAGCCTTAAAAAGGCAGGCACTTCTGGCCAGTGCGGTGGCTCACGCCTGTAATTGCGGCGTCTTGGAAGACCGAGGTGGGCGGATCACCTGAGGTCAGGAATTCAAGACCAGCCTGGCCATCTTGGTGAAACCCTGTCTCTACTGAAAATGCAAAAAATGAGACGAGCGTGGTGGGGTGTGCCTATAGTCCCAACTACTCGGGAGGCTGAGGCACAAGAATGGCTGGAACCCGGGAGGCGGAGGTTGCAGTGAGCCCAGATTGTGCCACTGCACTCCAGCCTGTGCGACAGAGTGAGGCTCCATGGAAACACAAAACAAAACAAAGTCAAACGAACAAACAAACAAAAGACAAACAAAAAAAAAAAGAGAGGCACTTCTGACGCAGGCCGCAACATGGATGAACCTTGCAAACATTATCGTCAGTGAAATAAATGAATCCCAAAAGGATAAACACGCCCAGGCTCAGTGGCTCACACCTGTAACCCCAGCACTTTGGGAGGCTGAGCCAGGCGGATCACTTCAGGTCAGGAGACCAGCCTGGCCAATATGGTCTCTATTAAAAATACAAAAATTAGCTGGGCGTGGTGGCGCACGCCTGTAATCCCAGCTACTCCGGAGACTGAGACAGAAGAATCGCTTGAACCCACGATGTGGCGGTTGCAGTGGGCCGAGATCATGCCACTGCACTCCAGCCTGGGTGACAGAGAAAGACTCTGTCTCCAAAACAAGAAAATTAAACACGGTATGATTCCACTTATCTATCAAGTGTCTAGAGTAGTTAAACTCATAGAGTTGCAAACTAGAAAGGTGGCCCCCAGGGGTGGGCAAGAGAGAGGAGTGGAGAGCTTGGTGAATGGGTGCCATTTCCATTTTGAAAGATAAAACTGTTCCGGAGACGATGACGGTGATGGTTGCTAAACAATGTGAACGTACTTAATGTCATGAAACTGTAAACTGAAAAACAGTGGAAATTGTAAATGTTTATACTGGCCATTCTATATGAACTAATATATATTTATAATTTTTAATATTTATACATGGTATATTTTCCCACAATAAAGATGAAAATTAAAGCAGTTGGATGTTTAAAAAGAAAAGAAAGAAGTTAAGAATACACACCAGCTTTCTCCTGATTAGAGGAAGAGCCCCAAAGCTTCTATGGACACTCACTTTTCTCTTCTTCTTCTTGCATTATTATGAGGAAATCCTTAGTGGTTGGGGAACTTGGGCGACTTTGGCTAATGAGGAGGTCTGTGCCTTGAGCTCCCAGGCCACAGAATAGTAAATAGTCTGTGCCTCCAGCCCTGCAGTGTGAGGTTGCAGTCCTGTGGGCTCCACAGACATCACCTGTATCAGGAGGCTCATGTCTTACCCTGTCTTCTTGCCAGCCTCAAGGACGGAGTCTGAGCCTCCATGGTGCACCACACAGGGAGGACAGTGGACCTGTTCTCCGTGGTCATGGCCCAGCAGAGGGGAAGGGCAGTTCAGTGAGTGTAGGCAAAAGAAAGAGCGATCAGACTCTTACTGTGTCTATGTAGAAAGGAAAGACATAAGAGACTCCATTTTGAAAAAGGCCTGTACTTTCAACAATTTCTTTGCTGAGATGTTGTTAATCTGTAGCTTTGCCCCAGTCACTTTGAACAAACCACTTTGACCCAACCTGAAGCTCACAAAAGCATGTGTTGTATGAAATCAAGGTTTAAGGGATCTAGGGCTGTGCAGGACGTGCCTTGTTAACAAGTTGTTTCCAAGCAGTATACTTGGTAAAAGTCATCGCCATTCTCTATTCTCAATAAACCAGGGGCACAATACACTGTGGAAAGCCTCAGGGAGCTCTGCCCTTGAAAGCGCCGTATTGTCCAAGGTTTCTCCCCATGTGATAGTCTGAAAAGTGGCCTCGTGGGAGGAGAAAGACCTGACCATCCCTGAGCCCGACACCAGTAAAGGGTCTGTGCTGAGGTGGATTACTCAAAGAGGAAATCCTCTTGCAGTTGAGAGAGAGGAAGGCCGCTGTCTCCTGCCTGCCCCTGGGAACTGAATGTCTCGGTATAAAACCCGATTGTACATTTGTTCAATTCTGAGATGGGAGAAAAACCGCCCTATGGTAGGAGGTGAGACATGTTGGCAGCAATGCTGCCTTGTTATTCTTTACTCCACTGAGATGTCTGGCTGGAGAGAAACATAAATCTTGCTTAGAGACACGTCCAGTCATAGTACCTTCCCTTGAACTTCCTTATGACTTAGACTGTATTGCTCACATGTTCGTTGCTGACCTTCTCCTTATTATCACCCTGCCCTCCTACTACATTCCTTTTTGCTAAAATAATAAAAATAATAATCAATAAAAACTGAGGGAACCCAGAGGCCTGTGCTGGTTCAGATCCTTGGTATGCTGAGCGCCGGTCCCCTAGGCCCACTGTTGTTTCTCCATACTTTGTCTCTGTGTCTTATTTCTTTCCTCAGTCTCTCGTCCCACCCGACTAGAAATACCCACAGGTGTGGAGGGGCAGGCCACCCCTTCAAGTGAGTGCTGAGGGACGGTTGGGAGCCTTGTTTGTTTCCTCCTCCTCAGGACAAACAGGAGAATGCGCTGGGCAGATGTGAGGAGACCAATATGCAAACTCTGTCCTCAGCAGACTGTGGAGTTTCTGTTCTTGGTTGTGCTGGGGGTCTCAGAAATCTTATTCAAAATTTTTCTTTCCTCCCCCACTGGTTGTCCTTTTCACAGACATCTCACCCATGATAGCAGGGAATCAGTCCCTCTAAACTATTCCCTAAGAACAACAAAGAGATTATGAAGGTGATGATGAGGATAAAGAGGATGATGACAGACACCATGGCATCATGAACCCTTACTGAGGGCTTCCTAAAGGCCAGGCTCTGAGCTCTGCGCTCTATGCAGCTGGTTTCATTTCATCTGCATAGTCTCCACGTTATTAGTGCACATTTCATGATGATTTTACAGACTAGAAAAGGCGCAACGGATTTTCATGTAGCTTGTACCAGATCACGAAGTCAAAAAGGGTGAAGTCCAATTTGAACCAGGCAGTCTAAGTCCAGACACATGGCATTTGGCCAGTCCTCTCCCTGCATCCAACCTGCCCTCTCAAATCCTCATCACTCAGGCCGATGGCCCTGCTCACTGTGCCCTTCCCTTTCGGGGTTCCTTGTAGACCACATCTAGACCAGTGGGTGCCACAATCACTGTGTCATGTATAGAAAGGGCAGTTGAGATCACATCAAGGATTCCAGAAAGAATTGGCACAGGATCATTCGGGACGCATCCCTCCCTTGCCCCTGTTCCTGGCTTTCCTTACAGCTCTCGACTTCCTCAAAGGAGTCATCAATTCGGAGTTTGGCTTCCATTCCTATTGAGGAAGCTGGAAAGCGTTTCAAAAATGCTCCTCTGATGTGCCTGTGGTTAAGACCTCTGAGCTCTGCTTAAAACTTTTGGAAGCTGGGCGTGGTGGCTCACGAGTGTAATCCCAGTCCTTTGGGAGGCTGAGGCAGGCGAATCACAAGGTCAGGAGTTCGAGACCAGCCTGGCCAACATGGTGAAACCCTGTCTCTACTAAAAATACAAAAAAAAAAAAATAAAAAATTAGCCAGGCAAGGTGGCATATGCCTGTAATCCCAGCTACTGGGGAGGCTGAGGCAGGAGACTCCTTTGAAGCCGGGAGACAGAGGTTGCAGTGAACCGAGATCACGCCACTGCACTCCAGCCTGGGCAACAGAGCAAGACTCTGTCTTAAAAAAATAAATAAAGAAAAATTACGAAAAAATGTGCTTGGATGGGCTTGGCAAACTTTAGCCATTAGCTCACGTACCACTTCGGAAGGGCATACCTTCAGTCACTTCACCCTTTAATCCCTTTGCTCAAGACTAAAGTTCTGAGAGGAAGTCTAATCGGCTGAGTTGTGTCCATGTGGGCAGTGCAGGAAAGGGTGCAGCGGGAGGCGGCTCCAGGGACGTCTTTGGCTTCCATCATGGGAGAGCAGGCGCCTGGATTATCCACCCTAACAAATCTGGACAAAGGAAAACGAGGTTCTCTGAGGAAGGAGACATAGAGCCCAAGGAGCTAACCAAGAGACAAGTAGTCATCCTGTCTTGTCATTTTCTTTTACACATGTGTGTACATTATCTTACACTTATCACTTTGTTTTCTTTCTCTCCTTTAATTGCACCCGGTTGCCAAAAGTGAAAATAAAATGACAGTATTAATTAGCCAGGCGTGGTAGCGGGCGCCTGTAGTCCCAGCTACTCGGGAGGCTGAGGCAGGAGAATGGCGTGAACCCGGGAGGCGGAGCTTGCAGTGAGCCGAGATCGCGCCACTGCACTCCAGCCTGGGCGACAGAGCGAGACTCCGTCTCAAAAAAAAAAAAAAAAAAAAATTGAAAGTATTGAGATAGCTCAGTAACTGACTTTTGGTCAATTGCCTTTTCATATAGTGAACAGCTGCCCAAACGATTGTCTCTGTCACTGTGCAAATTTGCAAGCGTTTGCATGATCACTCCCAATCCCCCAACACAGGGCTGTGTTTAGTTCACAACACAGGGCACAATTTAGTTCAGTGTTTTGCTCTCTGCAACAGGGAGTTTCTGATCCATTACAGGTTGCAGTAAAAACAGGGGTACCATAAGCAACCACCTCTTTCCTCAACGATGTGATGAAAGCAAAAGCCAAGTAGCTCCATATATCCAACTTAAAAATATAAAAAGTTACGCCCGTGGGCTGCAGTTGGAGCTATGGCGGCGGCAGCTGTCACTGGGCCTAGCCCGGGGTGTGGACCTGGGGACTCCCCAAAAGGGCCCGATGTGGAGGCTCACGGAGCGTCGGCAGAAGGCGCACAGGATGCTAAAGCTTTACAACGGCCTCTCGGAAGGGGAGGCGGTGGGACTCCCCGCGGGGCCCGACCCCCTGGACCCCACTGATCTGAACGGGGCGCATTTCGACCCGGAAGTTTACCTAGACAAGCTGCCTAGAGAGTGCTCTCTGGCCCAGCTGATGGACAGTGAGACGGACATGGTGCAGCAGATCCGGGCTCTAGACAGCGACATGCAAACCCTGGTCTATGAGAACTACGATAAGTTCATCCCAGCCACAGAAATTGACAAACAGCATAAAACTCTATGAGGAATTGCAGGAGACCCAGAATTTCCCAAATAACCTTGTAAAAGAAGAACAAAGTTGGAAGACTCACACACAAAAAAATACATACATATATATAAAGTTGTGTTTTCATTCAGTTGTAAATGTTTAGTAATTTCTATTGTGATTTTTCATTTAACTCATGAAAGGATATTTTTAATTTTCCTAATGTATGCTTGTGTTTAGCTATCTTCTTGCTGTTGACTTCTAATTTTGTTGCATTATGGTCAGGAAAATGTGGTCTGGACAATGTCAATTGTATAGTGGATTTTGTTGAGACTTCTTTATGGCCTAATATGTGGCCAGTTTTTTTTTTTTGTTTTGTTGTGTTTTTTTGTGCAAATTCGCCACATGTTGTTAAAAGGAATGTGGATTATTTGTTTTTTTTAGGAGAGTTTTTATTTTTAAATAGATAAGTTTCTCAGTGTAATTGAAATCTAGCTTCAATTAACAATATGCTAGATTGCTCAAACCTTAGGATGTTAGTCAGTGTAACAATAGACTGCTGCTGAGACGAATAAACCCTGAACTCTCAGTGGGTTGGCACCCATAGCATAGTCTGGTGCAGGGCAGGGGTTCTCCTTGGGGGCCCTTGTCCAACAGTGATTCAGAGATTCTGGAGGTTTCCATCTTTTAATTCTGCCATCTCAGAGTTTTTCACTTGTAGCCATATGGATAGGAAGAGAGGGAACATAGCTCACACTTGCCTTTGACAACCTTGGCCTGAAGGGATTTCTTACATTCCTATTGGTGGAAATGCAGTCACATGGTTCCAAACTAACTGCAAGTAAGGCTGGGAAATGTAGTCTTTCTGCATGTCCAGGAAGAGGAATGGTGTGAACACAGCATTGTCTTTGATACACTAAGCATGTGCTAAAGAGTTCTTACTCTTATAGGAGGTTTGTCTGTCCTGTGTAACTTTCTCAGTTTTTGCTTAGTTTCAGGCAATGTTGTTTGGTGCATTCAGCTTGATGATTATTATGTCCTCTTGGCAAAGTAGTCAAGATTCCCATCAGTTTACAGATAGGTCAGGAAATGTTAATACTTTAAAAGGCCCTTCTATTCCTCCACTCTACAGATAAGGACAACAGAGTCCTAGAGAGAGGAGGTCATGGGTCTCACTCATGAGTGGCAGCATTGAAACCAACATGGCAGTAACTTTGCCTTTCCCCCATCATGTTGTTCTCCCTCTATCTTCACTCTGCTGATTTCTTCACTTGCTCCATACAGACCTCCCAGTGCCAAGTGTATAAGCGTGTCCAGAATTGGTGGGTCTCACTGACTTCAAGAATGAAGCCGCGGACCCTCCTGGTGAGTGTTACACTTCTTAAAGTTGGCGTGTCTGGAGTTTTTTCCTTCTGATGTTCGGATGTGTTCGAAGCTTCTTCCTTCTGGTGGGGTTCGTGGTCTCGCTGGCTCAGGAGTGAAGCTGCAGACCTTCACGGTGAGTGTTACAGCTCTTAAGGCTGCACGTCTGGAGTTGTTCATTTCTCCTGGTGGGTTCATGGTCTCGCTGGCTTCAGGAGTGAAGCTGCAGACCTTCTCGGTGAGTGTTACAGCTCATAAAGGCAGTGTGGACCCAAACAGTGAGCAGCAACAAGATTTATTGCAAAGAGCAAAAGAACAAACTTCCACAGTGTGGAAGGGGACTCCAGCTGGTTGCCACTGCTGGCTTGGGCAGCCTGCTTTTATTCTCTTACCTGGCCCCACCCACATCCTGCTGATTGGTCCATTTTACAGAGATCCTGAATGGTGTGTTTTGACAGGGTGCTGATTGGTGCCTTTACAATCCCTGAGCTAGACACAAAGTCTCCCCACGTCCCCACTAGATTAGCTAGATACAGAGTGTCCACACAAAGGTTCTCCAAGTCCCCACCATAATGGCTAGATACAGAGTGTCGATTGCTGCATTCACAAACCCTGAGCTAGACACAGGGTGCTGATTGGTGTGTTTACAAACCTTGATCTAGATACAGAGTGTCGAGTGGTGTATTTACAATCCCTTAGCTAGACATAAAGGTTCTACAAGTCCCCATCAGACTCAGGAGCCCAGCTGGCTTCACCCAGTGGATCCCGCACAGGAGCTGCAGGTGGAGCTGCCTGCCAGTCCCTCTCCGTGTGCCCACACTCTTCATCCCTTGGGTGGTCGATGGGACTGGGTGCCGTGGAGCAGGGAGCGGTGTTCGTCGGGGAGGCTCGGGCCGCACAGGAGACCACGGAGTGGGGAGGCTAAGGAATGGCGGGCTGCAGGTCCCGAGCCCTGCCCCGCGGGGAGGCAGCTAAGGCCCGGCGAGAAGTCGAGCACAGTAGCTGCTGGCCCAGGTGCTAAGCCCCTCACTGCCCCGGCCGGCAAGGCCAGCCGGCAGCTCCTAGTGCGGGGCTGCCAAACCCACGCCCACCTGGAACTCCAGCCGGCAGGCAAGCAGCGCGCGTAGCCCCGGTTCCGGCTCACGTCTCTCTCTCCACACCTCCCTGCAAGCTGAGGGAGCCAGCTCCGACCTTGGCCAGCCCAGAAAGGGGCTCCCACCATGCAGCCGCGGGCTGAAGGGCTCCTCAAGTGCCGACAAAGTGGGAGCCCAGGCAGAGGAGGCACTGAGAGCGAGCGAGGGCTGTGAGGGCTGCCAGCATGCTGTCACCTCTCATAAGGAGTGATTAATCTGAGCTTCTCCAGAAAGTCCATTCCTGGTAGGCACTGGGAATAAGAAATCTCAGAGTATAAAAAAACATCAAGTGGTAGCACTTTTGTGAATGGCTCCCAAATTAGATCCTTTACTTTTTTTTCTTTTTCATGAAGCACAGTTGCCCAAAACACGCTCAGCCTGAGATGAAGCACATATTAGAGAAAGGTTCTTTCTATAGCATTATGTATTACTCGAATGAGCATTAAAAAGAGGAGACGGGACATGCTCTCTCTAGCTATTATTACCTGCACTATAGAGTTGACATACACAAGCTCATTATTGCATTATGTTTTATTCAACAAAATAACTTTAATGTTGAAGCTTAAATTGAATTCGCTAAAACATCTTTGTCTCCAGCATAGTGTGCCTCAAGTGTCTCCTTGGTGCCTGAATTTTCTCCAGAATTATAGTGCTGAAGCTATGGAAATGGTGAAATTATATGCAATCTGCAAAACAATGTGGCTATAACGTGGTAATTGGCCTTCCACATAATTAAAGGAACATTTCCTCATCAGAGCTGTTCCATCAGAGACCCAAAGGTTATCGTTGTACAAATCACCCACTTAGGAAAACCTTTATTCCCAGTAGCCTATACAAATCTGGTTATGCAAACAGATTTGCTTATTCAGTAACATTAATGGCTTCTCATAGTTAAAAAGTCATCAATGTGTTTGACCTATAATCTGTTTCCTCTGTGACCAAGTGTCATTTTTATTTTGACAGTTAGGAGCCTTTTGACTCTTTCACAGCTGGCATGAAGGTACAGGGAGGGAAATCTCAAAAACCAACAACCTGTGTATTCCCAGACTATTAATCATAGAAAATCACTTCAACTGGATTACGGTCTTGTACCTGGCAGAAAGGCTGTTATGAACATTGGAATTGGATTTTTACACTTGATATGACACTTCCTTGAGTCAGATCAGATTCGTGTTTGATAGACTCTTGCCAAAAAATTGCTCCAGGGTCTGTGCAGTAGCTAAAGCCTTTTTGTTGTTGTTGTTGTTTTAAAAGTAGCATTAAATGTTTTCATGAAGACCTTCCCAGTCGTGATTTTATTGGGAATATGGTCTTTAGCTCTGGTCCTGAATAACTCACACTGAGGAAACCTCTAACAAGTGTTGTATTGGAAGATGTCTGATGGATGGTTGGTTTTAATAACAAATCTCTTCCCTTTTTCTGTCCCCTGTGTTCTATTCTCTTTTCTCTACACATTATTCTGGGAGGATTCACCTATTCCCAAAGTCCTTTCCTCTTTATTTCCATTTCAGAGCTCTCTGTATAACTCCAGGCTGACGAATCCAACGGCCCAGTTTTTATCTCCACTTGGCTGTCTTTCTTGCATTGACCTCATCTTACCTTGCCTCTCCTGATTTCCTCTTCTGCCTGGGCTCATCACATCAGATTCACACCACCATCCACCCAGCTTCCAAAACACCTGGGCCTCCTCCTTCATTCCTCCCTCTGTCTCAGTCAAGTTAGTCTACTGTCTCCTCTCCATCCTCACTGCCACAGCCTTGGTCTAGCCAACCATCTTGTCTCACTTGGCGTATTGCAGCCTCCTACCTGGTCTACTCACCTCCCACTCTCCTCCAGTCAGACTGCTCTTTTTATAGCACAAAGTGGATCATTACTCCCCTGCATAAAAACATCTACTGTCTCCCTTTGTCTACAGGATAAACACGACAAATAACCTTTAAGATTTGGCTCCAACTTACCTCTATATTAGTCAATTTTTATAATTATATAAACATCTCTCAGCTCCTCACCCTCTCACGTCTCGATTTGTGCACATGCTCTTCCCTCTGCTGGGAATGATCTTCCACACCTCTCCTATCGACCTGGCTAATTCCTACCATTTTGTAGTCTTCAACTGAGGAGTCCTGTGGTGGAGAAGGATTTCTCACCACCTGATAGAGATTGCATGCCCACCCACCTCCGGGCTTTTATTTATTTATTTATTTTTTTGATGGAGTCTCGCTCTGACCATGCAGGCTGGAGTGCAGTGGCGCGATCTTGGCTCACTGCAATCTCCGCCTCCCGGGTTCAAGCAATTCTCCCACCTCAGCCTTCTGAGTATCTGGAAATACAGGTGCCCGCCACCACATCTTGCTAATGTTTTTGTATTTTTAGTAAAGACAGGATTTCACCATGTTGGCCAGGCTGTTTTTGAACTCCTGGTCTCGAGTGATCCACCCACCTTGGCCTCCCAAAGTGCTGAGATTACAGCATGAACAACTGCACCTAGCCAATCGGATGCCCCTTCTATGTGCTCCCATTGCCCCAGGCATACTGTCACCATAACTTTTACCATTCTGAGTTGAAAATGATTTTTTTTTTTTTGCTTTTTATTTCTCTCATTAAATGCAAAGCTCATTGAAAAGAGGATGGTGGTTGTTCACTGTTGTACTACTAACCTTTGACTCAGTGTCCTGAGGTTGGCTCTAGAGTTGTGCACACATGTTCAGACATTGGAGCACATCTTGTCTAGCACCTCTTTTGAGGTGACTTAGAGAAAAGTCAGTAGGTACTTCCCCAAGAATGAAAGATAAGCTTCACCTAAACCAGTTCTTCAAATTCAGCCTGCATTAGTATCCTCTGAGAGCTTGTTAAAAATACAGTCTCCTAGAGCCCACTCTTCAAGAGTCGGTGAGTTGCTTCATCATCAAAATATATACAGAATTCAGGCAGTTTTCAGCGCCAGCCTGGTCTGAGCCACTGTGGACTCCCACCTGCAGAATCTCCCTGCTGGTCTCCTTGCTTCTGCTCTTACCTTCTTATTGCCCATTCAAGTAGCCAGGGTGATCCTTTTTAAAATTTTTTTAAAATTTTTTTGAGATGAAGTCTCACTCTGTTGCCCAGGCTGGAGTGTAGTGGTGCTATCTCAGCTCGCTGCAGCTCTACCTCCTGGGCTCAAGCCATCCTCCCACCTCAGCCACCTGGGTAACTGGGACCACAGACATACACCACCACACCCGGCTAATTTTTGTATTTTTTGTAAAGACACGGTCTTGCTATGTTGCCCAGGCTAGTCTTGAACTTCTGTGTGCACCCACCTCAGCCTCCTGCATTTTTAGGAGGCCCCTCTTGTAGGGATTTTGATGCAGAGGCCTGGGTGCCTCATGTCTCCTCCCATCTCTCTCTGTCTTTCTGTCTCTGTCTCTCTCTCTCTTTCCCTTTGCCTTATAGCTGCCCTGGGGACTAGACTCTGCCTTAGGCATCCCTCTGACTCTTGTTTGCTTTTACACTGAGGCTGCTTTAAGTTGCACATTGATCTGAAGCCTTGGGCTTCTGTTCCTATTCCTTGCTTTTGTTGGAAGGGCCGTGCAGCTTCTTGACAAATTGCAAAGGTGCCCACGAGTTTCCAAGTCCCCAAGAACCAAACCAGATGACAAACAAAGATGCAGCCCACAGCTGGAGAGACAGATTTCATGTCCACACAGAGACTCCAAGATGCTGAACTGAAATCCACCCCAAAACCTGCTTTCTCTCTCATTTAAGTTCAATGTGAACTGGGGGCTTGCAGGGCAGGGCTGGTGACCATTCACAGGGCAAAGATGCTTTGAAATGGCAACTGAGAATGGTGTGGTTGTTGACAGATGGCACATCAGAGCATAGATTAACATGGAAAGAGAAACTCACCCCTTGGGGGGAGTGTGTGAGGCTGGCAGCCACACAGAGGGCTTTTCCTGCGAGCTCTTGCATAGATGCAAACAGCCAGGAGGTTTTGCTTTCTGAGCCTGAGTGGAACCATGTTCCTCCCTGCACGTTGCCGCTCTGCAGCAAATGTTTATTCCTGTTGCATTGATTAAAAGTGCTTACCAGGCCGGGTGCGGTGGCTCACGCCTGTAATCCCAGCACTTTGGGAGGCTGAGGCAGGCAGATCACAAGGTCAGGAGATTGAGACCATCCTGGCTAACACTGTGAAACCCCGTCTGTACTAAAAATACAAAAAATTAGCCGGGCATGGTGGCGGGCACCTGTAGTCCCAGCTACTTGGGAGGCTGAGGAAGGAGAATGGCATGAACCCAGGAGGCGGGGCTTGCAGTGAGCCGAGATTGTGCCACTGCACTCCAGCCTGCATGACAGAGCAAGACTCCGTCTCAAAAAAACAAAGTGCTTACCGAAGGGGTTTGAGGGCAGTGGTGACAGTGTGAGTTATGGCTCTGCCGGCTGCCAGTGGAGCCAGCCGCTCTGCACAGCCGTGCAAGCGTGTTTTGAAAAGTGGCTCAGCCAGCCAGGAGTGACTGGCTGTAAATATTGCTGCCACAACATCTTGTAGCCTGATTGGGGCCGTGTTTGCAGAACCCCTAAACCACTACACTTGTTCAGGCTTAAAAATAAGCTTACTTTTGTTTGTTTGTTTTGTTTTATGAGATGGAGTCTTGTTCTGTCACGGGGTTGGATGTAGTGGCATGATCTCGGCCCACTGCAACCTCTGCCTCCTGCGTTCAAGTGATTCTCCTGACTCAGGCTCCCGAGAAGCTGGGACTACAGGCGTGTGCCATCATGGCCAGCTAATTTTTGAATTTTTAGTACAGACGGGGCTTCACCATGTTGGCCAGGATGGTGCGATCTCTTGACCTCGTGATCTGTCCACCTTGGCTTCCCAAAGTGCTAGGATTACAGGCGTGAGCCACCGTGCGTGGTCAAACATAAACTTACTTTCTTACCTCTTCTGCTGAACTCTATTTGCTTCTTTTCTCAACTTCTGCTGAACTCTATTTTGCTTCTTTTTCCTGGATAAAGCTCTTCTTTATCCAGAAGAGCTTTTAGCAACAAAGTTACCCAATGCCCTTCCCTAGTCTCTCCTTGCAACTGGCTCTCCGCGCGGGGGGGGGGGGGGTGAGGGGGTGGGTGGGTAGGAGGATTGACAGAACCAATTAACATGACTGTTTGGAGGACTCTCGCTAGCCCCAGGAGGTGTTTGCATTTTTAAATTGGTTAGTAGTGTCAGAATGTTTCATGAGTAAGAGCACAGCCTCTAAGTTGGATGCCATGAATTTAAATCTCAACATGGCCATTTTGTATATAACCAGAGGATGGATTTGGGGACCCAATGGATCTACCATGACATGAACTTGCACCAACATTCACCTGACCTCCAAAATGCCTATTCTGTCTGGTAGACCCTAGTCTCGCCCTAGTGCCAGTTCAGAGCCTGTGTCCAGTGATCCTGCACAGGGCCCATTAGTTCCTTTTCTCCTGTTCAGTCATCCTGGTAAAAGGCTGTGTATTCCCTTGGGGGCAGGCTGGGAGAAAGATTGACAGTATAAATTTTTTGCAGTGGAGCAGAGTCCTTTCTGGAGGGGACCTGGCTTCCCATTCAGACAAGGGACTCCGGGTTTGTGAACTGGCTTATGTCTGGGAATTGACTGGGGACTGTGACTCTGTTTTTATGATTCAGATTAGACTTCTGCTCACCTGACCTAGAACTCTTCTGCAAACACAGATCCAGTAAAAATGTGGCAGGCTTCTTATCTATTTCACTTCTAGGAATGCCACGATCAGCTGGCACCATAGGTCTCTGCGAGTCAGGCTATTCTGGTTGCAGCTTTGACTCTGCTGTCTTTTATGGTAACTGCATCCACTTTGCCTTTGGGGATTGAGTGCTCTGATCACTTGGCCCCAGCCCCTGTAGTGTGCCTATGTCACTTACCCTCTTTATACCTCAGTTTCCTCCTCTATAAAATGGGCATCCTCATTGCACCCACCCCAGGGCTGCTGTGGGGTATAGATGGATTAGCATATGGAAAGTAATAGAAGAGGGTCTCATAGCCCATGTGTCGTTATCAGAATTATTTCGTGACAGGGGAGAGCTGGAGGAGAGAGGAAGGTGCTGAGCAGACCCATGTGCTCTCCCACCAGTGTTTCCTGAGCACCTACTATGTGCTGCCCACTGTGAGAGCTGTTAGGGTTGAAATAGGGAGCACAGCAGGGCAGGGGCTGCCATCAGGAGCTTAGTGGGGAGACCATTGTGCAACATGTTTCCAGCGCTTGGGGTGGAGAAGTTCAGGGAGTACAGGGACCTAGGATCCTGGGCAGAATCATGGAAAGGACACAGCCTCCCCAGCCTCTCCTGCCTCCTCTGCCTCCCTGGCCTCCTCTGCTTCCCTGGCCTCTCCTGCCTTCCTGGCTTCCCCTTCCGCCCCGGCCTCCCCAGTCTCCCCTGTCTCTCCTGCTTTTGAGGTGGGCCAGGAGCTGCTGGTGCTCACTTAGCCTGTCCTGGACTCTGGGTGTAGCACTTCGATGTCCAGAAAATACCCCCGGGTTCAGGTCATCACACAGCCAAGGCAGGAGCTCCACACTGACACTAAGGGTGCATCCTGGGCTCATTCATCAGGGCATGCCTCCAAAATATTTCTCCACGTCTCCTCCCTTTGCCCACCTGCATTGTCTCTGTGCCTCAGCCCCGGCTGGGGGCCTGCAAGGATCCCCTATATCCTCTGCCCCTGCACGGCTGGGTCCCAGGCCATCTGTCCGCCCACCACACCTCTCTCACCTTGTCCACCACGCTCCAGCACCACAGTCCTCTTTCTGCTTCTTTCCCAGCCTCTGGGCTTTTGCACACGCTGTTCCCTCTGCCTGAACACCCTCCACTGGGCTGAGAACAACTCTCTGAGACCTCTCTCAGCTGTTGCTTCCTTTGGAACAGCCGCTGCTGCTGTCACTCTCCCAGCTCCAAGACCTGCTGAGCCTCCTGTCTTTTTTAGTTCCCATGTCCCCAGCACTTCTCCTTGGCCTCCTTTGGCCCAATTGACAATGTCCATTCTCAATGCCTTCTCACCCAGCGCTGAGCCCCACTGGGTGAAGGCAATGCCTGTCATGTTCACCACAATATCCCCTCCCCCATCACCACGACTGGTCCACAGTGATGCTCAAAAAAGATCTGTTGGTAGGCAATGTGAAGGTGCATTCATGTCATCCTGCAGGCGGAATTCTCCACGAGTTTTGAGCAGCCTCGGTTTTCCCACCACCTCCAAATCATGCAAGACACAGGGTAAGAGCAAAGACAAGGTGGCTGTGGCCGATGTCCACCCTCTCGGGGCGTCCCTTCTCTTCTCTCCTCCTTGAGCAGGGAGACCATCGGGGTGCAACCTGGTTGGGGCGGGGAGGAGGTGCAGGGCCTGGCCAGAGCGGGCCTGGCCACGGGCAAGGGACAGCGACCCCCGGGCCAGGACAGGTGAGAGCGGCGCAGGCCCGGGCCCGGCGTGGCGGAGGTGCGCGTGAGCGGCCAGCAGAGGGCGCCAGAGAGCCAGGAGCGGCCCGCAGAGGAGCCCGCGCCGGCCCCGGTGCCCACCTCCGCGCCGCGCGGACCCTCCGAGCCCGCGCTCAGACGCCCCAGCTCCGCCGAGAGGCCGCTTGCGCCGGGTCCTTCTTCCCCAAATGCAGGCAGAGCCCCCGGAGCCATGGCCAGCCCTTCCGGCAGCTCCAAAGCCACTGGCAAGCCCCGAGGCAGGGATGGCCGGCCCAGGAGGGAGGAGGACGACGTCCCTCCCGAAGAGAAGAGGCTGCGGCTCTTGCTGGAGGGGGGAAGCGCACAGCCCCAGGACTGCGAGGACGGGGAGGACGCGCCGCGGCCGGGCAGGGAGGAGACCGGCACCCAGACAGGTGGCGACGGCAGAGGAGTAAGTGACGCGGGCGCGGGGGTCCGGGGGTGCCGGGAGCGCGGGGGTGCTGGGGACGCGGGGTAGGGGCGGCGGGAGGCTCCGTGGCCTGCCCCGGGTTAAAGCTGGGAGGGCGGCCTTCATTCTGAACACATTTAGGCAGCACGGGCAGCCCTCCTCGCCGTGGGCTGCATCAGAGCCCCCCTGCCCAGTCTTGGGGTTGCTCCCGGATGCTGTCTGGGAGGCTTGCTCATGGTGACATCCTCATCTCCCCGTGCACGTTACTGCATTCAGAGCTTGGGTCACCTGGACACTGAACTCTGAGTGAATTTTCTCTGAGATCCCGGGAGAAGGAGGACAGTTCTCTGGAAGGTTTTCCAGGGCCGATCACGGAAAGGATGAGAAGGGAGAGGTTCTGGTCGGGGACACAATTACGGTGGCAGTGTAACATCAGGAAACTTTATTGCGTGAAGTCCCTCTCACTCCCTCTACCTCCTTCTTTTACGTGGACTCTGCCAAAGACCAGGATACCAGAATGCACTGCAGTGACCAAACGTAGTGGGACCTTGGGAACGCGAGTCTGGAGCCAGGCGGCTGGGGTTTGCATCCTGGTTCTGCCCCTCCTTAGCTGGCTGACATGGCACAAGCCACTTACCCTCTCTGAGCCTTACTGTCTTCAGTGGCAAATGGATCTGTCAACAGGCCCCATTGCCTGGGGTTGTTACTGCTGAGATTAAGGGATGCTCGTCCATAGAAAGACTTAGCGTTGTGCCTGGCACATAGTGTATGGTGGATAAATGGGACTTAGGACTAAAACTCATGCCTTGGTGTGTTTTTGCAGTGATGTTTTGTTCTGGGGTGCATCACAAGAGACAAGGTTCTTGGCCGGGCATGGTGGCTCAAGCCAATAATCCCAGCACTTTGAGAGGCCGAAGGGGGAGGATCGCTTGAGCCCAGGAGTTTAAGACCAGCCTGGGCAACATGGTGAAGCCTCATATCTACCAAAAAAAAAAAAAAAAAAAAAAAAAAAAGCCAGGTGTGGTGGTGTGTGCCTGTAGTCCCAAGTACTTGGGAGGCTGAGGTGGGAGGATTGCTAGAGCCTGGAAGGTCGGGCTGCAGTGAGCTGTGATCATGCCACTGCACTCCAGCCTGGGTGACAAAGTGAGACCGTTTCAAGCAAAAGAGAGAGAGAGAGACAGACAGACCCACAAGAGTCTTAAGCCAGAATCTCCATGTTAAAATGCTTTCTGGAGGCTAAAATGATGATATGTTGATAATGAAATATTTAAAAGGCAGAAACCCCACTGAATTTTTTGGTCCACAAAGGGAAATGGGAATCGCATGACCTGAAGGATGATGGAGGAACTGAACAGAAACCATCCTTGTTTCCTGAATCTGAATATGGCACGCTCTTTTCGCGGCGCCTGTATCTGCTCAGTCTGGCGGCCCCTTGAAAAGAGGGAATCTTGATTTTCAAACTTAAAATTTGGCCCAAAGCCCACTGCTGCCCACAATGCCCGCCAGACCCATTCCTCTTCCCTTTTAGTTTCTATGGGAATACTCTCTTTGAAGAACCCATGAAGAAGTGTCAGGCTGGTGTGAGGATCAGCAGTGATTTCTTTGAGGAGGAGAGCCTGTTTCTTCACTCACAGGCCATGTCTGAGTGGATCAAGAAGAACAGAGTGCCCTTTTATGAGATTTTGTCTGTGTAGACCATTAGCTTGGTAAAAATGTCAAAACCATCCTCATTCTTTAATAGCAGATTATTTTGGACTTTTCTCTGCAAGAAGCAGCATGGGCATTCAGATGCTTTTAAGGATAAAATGTTCTTTCTCATCACCAGGCCTGGTGCTCTGGATGGCTGAGGTTTTAATGTGACTGGATGTCCCTTGGAGTGGCTCCCAGGCTGTGATCTCGTGGTTGGGTGGCAAGGGGTTGCTTTATTCGGTGTTGGCTAAAGGATGTTTTAGCAGGTAAATCGGGACCCCAGGAGACCCTGAGTGCCAAGTCCTGCTGCAGGGCATGTGTTTATGGTGGGGAGGCAGGGGGGTGGAGGGTGGGGGGCATTGATTTCCTGCCAATATCAGAAGTTTCACAGGCTTCTTGTGTATCCATAAACACCCATCCCATTAAGACGCCTAGAAAACCTGGCCCTCCCCAAGCCTTTATTGACCGCTTGTGAATGATCCCAGGGTGTGTCTGACCAACAGCTCTTCCTGGAGGGAGACAAGTCTCTCCTAGGTATTTGGTTATCAACCTCAACCATTTGCTCAGCCTTCCCCAAGACCAGGCACCTCGGCAGAGATTTCTGGGTTGTCAGGCAGAACCGAGCATTCAAGGGTGATAACTCACTGGAGTCCCTGAAATCCCTGATTAACGCACCAGGTAAAAGCATCCAGGGTTGAAACCAGATCAGGAAGGTTATTGTCAGCCTGGGGCTCCTGTAGAGGTGCATCCACGTTGCAGGTATTTTCCCTTCTTGCTGAGGAGAAACCTGGGTTTCTCAGCTTTGGCACAGTCACAACACTTGGGGTCAGACCATTCATGGTGGTGGTGGTGGGGCCGTCCCGTGTATTGTAGGATGGTTAGCAGCATCTCTGGTCTCCATCCTCTAGGTGCCACTCTACCCTCCCAGCTATGGCTACCCCAGATGTCTCCAGATGGTTTCAAATGTCATGGAGCAAGGGAGTGGTACGTGAGCAAAACCACCCCAGTTGAGAGCCATTGGTCTACATTTGTGGAAATGTTTGAGGGTGAGAGTGTCGAGCTTGGGTCCCTGCTGTACCCTTTATGAGCAATGCGGTCTTGGAAAATTAATACTACTCCAGGGACCTCAGTTTTCTCATCTATAAAATGGAGATAAATGAGATACACTTTCATAGGAAGGTTATATGGGATTTACTGAGATAATAAGACAGTACATGGAAAATGCTGGGCATAGCATTTATTTATTTTTATGTTTTTTAAAGATGGAGTCTTACTCTGTTGCCCAGGCTGGAGTGCAGTGGCATGATCTCTGCTCACTGCAACCTCCACCTCCTGGGCTCAAGTGATTCTCCTGCCTCAGCCTCCCGAGTAGCTGGGATTACAGGTGCCCACCACCACACCTGGCTAATTTTTGTATTTTTAGTAGAGATGGGGTTTCACCATGTTGTCCAGGCTGGTCTCAAACTCCTGACCTAAGGTGATCCGCCTGCCTCGGCCTCCCAAGGTGCTGAGATCACAGGTGTGAGCCACCACGCTGGGCTGGGCATAGCATTGTAACACAGACAAAGCACAAAATACTTGGGCAATATCTTTTTACATTTGGCTTGTCTAGACTCCATCCTCCATCCCCTCATGCACTGGTGTGGTGCAGACCAGAATATCACCCACCTAGACTGCAGAGTGGATTTGGGTGGCATCTTGGCTTTCTGCACAAGACTTGCCTGTTCCCCACCACATCCCCCTGGTTCTCAGGGTCCAGGATTCCAGGAAGCAGGGATGTGGGCAGGCAGGGTAGGTGGCCCACCCAGTTCACTCCCACGCTGGGGACCTGCAGAGCTGGCTGTCCGAGACAGGGTGTTTGGACCAACATCTGGGTTTCTGGATTTCCATTTGAGCACAGCTGGACTACACAGGCTGAAGCTTTCTCTGCCGAGATATAGATATTTCCCTGGTGACGATCTTTCAAGCTGACATGAAGACATGGCCACCCACTGGAACGTGGTGTGTCTGCCGTGGCGCTCTTGTAATTTGTGAGGCAGGCTCCTGAGGAATGCAGTGCATAAGTGGGAAATGGTGGGAAGTTCTCGCATCCCCCCCTGGCCGAAAGTGCTACCTGCGCATGTTGGTGGACAGTCCTTTGAGCAGGAAGAAGACATGAAGCACATTCCTGTTAGCTACGACAGAGAGGGGCAGGGTACACACTGGACATTTCAAGCCCCTCCAGAGAAGCAAGTCTTACTGTGCTGGGAGTACTTGTGGAGTGCGGGCTGTGTTGCCCTGGGCTTTAATTATTTCAGGAACATTTAACCGCAGGGTTGGCAGGCCGGATCTTGATATGTGTTTCTCAGTTGGAAAGACTTTGGACCATAGGGAAATGTCTTCTCAATTCTTTTAATTTCATTAAGGTTGTCATTTTTCTTCTTGTGGCCTCTGGAATGTGACACAGAACTCAAGGGACAGGAAGGAGATGAGTTGGAGGCTGGGACAGGGGTCCCTGCCAGGGATGCTGGTGACTCACATGACGGTGTTGATGTGTGGAGTCCGGTGCCTGGTTTAGGGAATATTCGTGGGATATGTTCCAAAGGACTGACGGACCTATCAGGTACTGGAGGTGAATGGTCAAGTCTGATCTCAGGGCTGACAGTGTCAGGCAAGGACAGGAAGTTGACGTTGGACTCATTGGCTGAGGTTGCTTGGGACCCAGGGGGCAACGTGTGCCAGGACAGATGGGTCTGGGGCTAGGAAGGCAGGTTTGGGCTGGAGACTTGGGCTTGGGAGGCATCCCAGGTAGACAGTGGTTGAGGCTGTGGAAATGACCGTGATTGCCTGGGATGAGAGTGGAGACGGACAAGATGGGGGTTTTGCTCTAAGCCTGGGGAACCCACCTCCCATGTTCAAAGGATTCTCCTCCCTCAGCCTCCCAAGTAGCTGGGAATGCAGGTGCGTGCCACCATGCCTGACTAACTTTTGTATTTTTAGTGGAGATGAGGTTTGGCCAGGCTGCTTTCAAACTCCTGACCTCAAGTGATCGGCCCACCTTGGCTTCCCAAAGTGCTGGGATTACAGGCATGAGCCACCATGCCTGACCATTTTTAAATATTAATTTTTATGAAATATTTTCAAACACATTGGAAAAGTCAATCATGATTTGAAAACTTTATCAAAATCCAATCAAATGTCAGTTAACCACTTAATTGTGGATGAGTAAGGAGACTATTTTGACCAAAACGTGTTAGAACAATTACCACTTATAGAAATAATCTATGTTTTAATGTTTTAGTTGAATTAAACAATCTTTTATATTCTGTCCAGGCGCAGTGGCTCACACCTGTAATCCCAGCACTTTGGCAGGTCGAGGCTGGCGGATCACCTAAGGTCAGGAGTTCGAGACCAGCCTAGCCAACATGGCGGAACTGTCTCTACTAAAAATACAGAAATTAGCCAGGTGTGATGGCACACACCTGTAATCCCAGCTGCTTGGGAGGCTGAGGCAGGAGAATCATTTGAACCTGGGAGACAGAGGTTGCAGTCAGCCGAGATCACACCACTGCACTTCAGCCACCTGGGTGACAGAGCGAGACTCTGTTTCAAAAATAAATAAATAAATAAAATAGAATTCTGAATTTTATTTTTAATAATTATTTTGTAAAAAGAATGTCTTGTTTTTTGGAGTTGTTGAATTTATTTAATTGACAAAAATTATGTACAAGAGGGTACAACATGATGTGATTGAAGTATGTATACGTTACAAAATGGCTAAATCAAGCTAAATAACATCACCTCCCAGACTTATTTTTTTATGGTGAGAACACTTAAAAAATCTGCTCTCTTAGTGATTTCCAAGTGTATGTTATGTTGTTATTAACTATAGGTACCATGTTGTCCCATGGATATCCTGAACTTATTCTTCCTCTCTAAAAATGACATTCTGTGTCCTTTGGCATCTGCCCACTTCCCCACCCTGGCAACCATCATTCTACTCTGCTTCTGTGAATTCAACTTTTTTCTTTTCTTTTTCATCCTTTTTTTTTTGAGACAATCTCATTCTATTGCCCAGGCTGTAGTGCAGGGGTGTGATCTTTGCTCACTGCAGCCTTGACTTCCCAAGCTCAATCAATCCTCCCACCTCGGCCTCCTGAGTATCTGGGAGTACAGGCATGCACCACCACGCTCCACTAATTTTTGTATTTTTTTGTAGAAATGGGGTCTTGCTATGTTATGCAGGCTGGTCTCGAACTCCTGGACTCAAGCAATCTGCTGGCCTCAGCCTCCCAAAGTGCTGGGATTACAGGCATGAGCCACCATGCCTGGCCGAGTTCAACTTTTTTAGATTTCACATATAAGTGAGATCATGTGGTATTTGTCGTTTTGTGCCTGGCTTATTTCACTTAACATAATATCCTCCAGGCTCATCCATGTTGTCTCAAATGGCAGGATTTCCTTCTTTTTGAAGGCTGAATAGTATTCCATTGTGTATGTACACTACATTGTTGCTGGAAGTGTAATGGAGACCAGTTGGGGGAGGAGGGGGAAAAGATTCACTCTAAGTCTAGATGCTCCGGCACCCACCCAGGATGTGTGCAAGGAAGTGCAGGATGCTCCTGGTCTTGCAAACTGTGGTTTGTGGGACTCCAAAGCCCCTATCCTTCCACAGTGCTTTCTGTCTTGTTATCACATTTCCTTGGAGGAGAGCCCAGCCTTGGTGGAGAGCCCTGCTCTGGCTTTGTCCCTCGGCATGAGATGGCAAAGGATGGTGCTGCTGGGAGACCCTCACGTCTGCACACTGGGGGCTGCTTGCCTTCTCCATTCCTCCTTCAAGTATCTGAGCAGCTCCTGTGTGCCAGCTGCTGGTCTACAAGATGGATCGGTCCTTGGAGATCATGCTGTAGCAGAGGAGGCAGGCTGTAGCCCACACGCCACAACCAGCCCCCTGCCTGTTCACACAAATAAAGTTTTATTGGAATACAGCCACACCCATTTCAGTGCATATTGTCTGTGGCTGCTTTCCTGCTACAATAGAGAGTTGAATAGTTGGGACAGAGACCTATGGCCTGCAAAGCTGAACTATTTACCATCTGGCTCTCAAGAAAAGGGAAAAAAATGCTTATCTTTGTACCCCGACAGTCTTAGATTAAGAGTACTTTGTACCACCCTGACGTCCCAGGCAGCCATGAGTCCAGCCACCCCTGAAATGTACACAAGTCTGGGCTAGGGTTGCAGCAGGTGAGTCCCAATTTTGCAGATCTTTGGCATCAGGGGCACAACCCAGGATTTTGAGTGGGGTTTCCTCACCACTGTGGCTGGGCACTGGGCTAGTGTGCTTTCTGATTTTTGTATGGGGAAGAGAAAGGAGGGAGGAAATGGCAACTTGTTGCCCTGTTCTAACATTTTCCTAAGATGGGTCTCCAGGCAAGGGCTTGGGATCTCACCTTACACAGCTTACAAAACCCAGTGAGGCCGGCTGTCTTGGCGCTGCCACTCTGAGGGATGGAGCCCCCAAATTACTAGGAAGGGAGAAAAAAGAATGGTTTCTGCAAGCACAAGAAGTGGCGTTATTGAAATTAACATTTCCCCCAAGTTTTATAATGTCTAGGCATGCATATTTAAGTGTCTGTCTCAAAAGCTCTTGCTAATAACCAGATGGTGCATTTAATTTCCTTTTTTTGTTCTCTGAGCAACATGCAGCTTCCTACACAGCCCTCCTTGCAGGCAACTGCACTGAGGTGACAGTCCTCCTGACTGCCAGCACAGATCCCCAGGGCCTCTGAGAGCCCTGTATTCTGGGGGCAGCCTTTCCCCCTTCTATTTGGCCCCAGCTGGAAGGGGGCAGGTTACCCACAGTGCAGCACAGGGCTCCTGCCTTAGCTTAGCTTAGCTCCTGCCTAAGCACAGGGCTCCTGCCTTCTCTAGGGAGTCTGGCTCCCTCTGACCCTCTAGACCTCACCAGCTGAGGATCAGAGCCCCGGGGCAGGAGCCAGGGCCGGGGGGCATTGGGGGGTGGTTTGAGAGTACAGCTCTGGAGGGGGGCAGGACGGGCCCAGGAAAAGCTGCTCAGGGGAGACTGCCAAGAGATGGCAGAGTTAGGACAAGAGGGCCAGGCATGGTGGCTCACACCTGTAATCCCAGCACTTTGAGAGGCCAAGGTGGGCGGATCGCCTGAGGCCAGGAGTTTGAGACTAGCCTGGCCAACATGGTGAAAACCTGTCTCTACTAAAAATACAATAATTAGCCGGCCATGGTGACACCTATAATACCAGCTACTCGGGAAGCTGAGCCACGAGAATTGCTTGAACCCAGAAGGTGGAGTTTGCAGTGAGCTGAGATTGTGCCACTGTACTCCAGCCTGGGCAACAGAGCAAGATTCCATCTCAAAAAAAAAAAAAAGTCAGGACAAGAGGAGGAGGGAAGAGAAGGGAGCTGTGGGGCAGTAGCCAGGACCTTAAAGGCACAGAAGAGGAAGCTTGGATTTCCAATTCCAAAGGACATGAAGTCACACACCTTTATTTAACCTGCTCCAGGTGAGGCTGGGCTTTGTGTATTTTCCTTGCTTTCCTTTTCCTTGTGTTCAGGCTGTTGTAGAAACAGGTACACAGGGGCTCTGTGTGGCGCCCTGTTCTAGTTGCCTTCTGGAAGCATGGGGTGCCCTGGTTTCCTTGGCTTCTTGTCCCCCTTTCCTCCTGCCACCCCTGACTGTGCACCCCACCTTATCCCTCAGACCATCCTCCTGGAGGGGACTGGCCAGGGCTTGTGTCCTTGCTAGTCTCTAGGAAGGAAGACTCTGTGGCTTGAAAGCTTGTCGGCTTAAGTTGCAAGGTGTAGGTGCCTGGGAGGGCATGTGCACGGCCCTCTTGACTGATCCATTCATGTTTTTCTTTTTTGACTCTGTCCTATGTTGTCCTGATGGAGGGGTAAGCCCCTGCCTTCTGCCTTTCCTGCCTTGGACTCTTGCAATTGGACCAGATGAGAGGGTCTGAGAATTCAAGCAATGCAGGCCAGGCATGGTGGCTCACACCTGTAATCCCAGCACTTTTGGAGGCCAAGGCGGGTGGGCCAGGAGTTCGAGACCAGCTTGGCCAAAATAGTGAAACCCTGTCTCTACAAAAAATACAAAAGTTAGCCAGGCTTGGTGGTGTGCACCTGTAATCCTAGTTATTTGGGAGGCTGAGGCAAGAGAATCACTGGAACCCAGAAGCAGCAGGTTGCAGTGAGGAGCAGGTTGCAGTGAGGAGGAGGTTGCAGTGAGGAGGAGGTTGCAGTGAGCCGAGATTGTGTCCCTGGACTCCAGACTGGGCAATAGAGCGAGACTATGTTTCCAAAAAAAAAATATTTATGTAGAAAACAAAAAACAAAACATCCTCTTGATTTGCTTTTCTTGATCTTGCTTCTCAGAGGTAACACTGGGAAGGGTTGGGGTATACCTCTCCACACCTTTTTCTTTGATTTCTTTTTATTTTTTATTCTACGTTCTGAGATACATGTGCAGAATGTGCAGGTTTGTTACATAGGTATACATGTGCCATGGTGGTTTGCTGCACCCATCAACCCGTCATCTAGGTTTTAAGCCCCGCATGCATTAGGTATTTGTCCTAACGCTCTCCCACCCCTTGTTCCCCACCCCCGACGGGACCCGGTGTGTGATGTTCCCCTCCCTGTGTCCATGTGTTCTCATTTTTCAACTCCCACTTATGAGTGAGAACCCGCAGAGTTTGGTTTTCTGTTCCTGTCCACACCTTTTTCCTCTGTGCACACAAGCACATGTATTTGCATATGTGTTTATTGTAACCTTTTTTAAAAAGTAAAAATGGAATAATGCTATATTTATTCTTTGGAAAGCCTGCTTTTCAGGCAGCATGTCTTTGACATTGTCTCACGTTGGAACCTGGGTACCACCTTCTTCTCCCAGCAGTTATTCTGACGTGTGGATGCACCACGCTTCGTTTAACCAGCCCTGCACCGATACGTCTTTGGATGGTTTCCGCCTTTTCCCAATCACAGACGGTGTTCTGATGGATTTCCTTACACACATCACTTGGTGCTCTGTGCCTGCATTTCTGTGAGATGTTCCTGGAGGTGGGCTGTCTAGGTCAGAGGGGGATCTGTGCTTAATTTGCATCCTGTGCAAAATTCCATCCAGTCATCCGGCTCCCCAAGGGCTCACATGGTACTGTCCTGTGTAGACATCATCTTCTGCAGATGATGGCACGACCGCCTCTCTTTCTTTTACTCACACCAGTCTGCACCCTGGTGTCCTGGGGGGTCCAGCCCCTACCTGCTTGTCTGCCCCCACCCCACAGTCCCCCCAGCCCCTGCTAACAGGGACTCTGGCTTCTGAGCTCTGGCAGACTGCCTCACTCTGGAGAAGTTTGCTTTCTCAAACAATCCTGGCAATGTTACTGCAAATCTCGAGGCCTGCATTTGCCTTCTTCAGGCCTCAGTTTCCTCAAAAGTAAAATGGGGTTAATGTGATGCTACTGTCTGCATCCTAGAGCTGCCATGAGGGTTCAGTGAGATCACTGTTGAGAGCACGTTCACAGCGCCGGCCTTGTGCGCAGTCAGCACGTGTAGGGCAGGGCTGTTGCTGATACGTGGTTGACTGTCATTGCTAGACTGTGGCTTTACCAGGGGCATTGTCTTTAGTGCCAAGCCCAGAGCCACCCCTAGTACCTGCTGTGTTTATAGAGTGATTGAGTGTCAGGGTCAGAGACTAGGGCAATGGCAGCAGAAACAGAGGAAAGAAGTGGGGCTTCTAATAGGTCCTGAGCCAGTGGCCCTTGAGATGAAGACTTCTTGCCAAGGTCTGGGGCTGTGCTGTGTGTTCTAGGCCCGAGACTGGAAGCTAGGCCTGGCTGCAGCCCCGGCTGAGCTGGGGAAGTGCAGGTCAGCATCCTGCTTCATTAGGACACCTCCAAGCCCAGCTTAGACCTGGATGCCAGGTGACCCTCTGTTTACTCTGAGCCCAGACAGAGGACAGGGAAGTGTGCAAGTGTGGGAACCCTCATCACAGCCCTTGACTCTGTAAGGCATATGGGCTTGTGCACGTGTGTGAGCACGGCCGTGGCTTCTCTGTGAGTTTCAAGCTCGAGGTTGTGTTTATGCAGGGTTAGGCTTGCCAGGTAAAATACAGGAAGTCCAATTAAACCTGAATTTCTCATTAACCTTTTTTTTTTTTTTTTTTTTTTGGTGCAAATATATCCCATGCAATATTTGGGACCTGCTTACCCTAAAAAATGATTTGTTGTTTATCTGAAATTCAAGTTTAACTGGCATCCTGTCTTTTCACTTGCTATGTATGAGAGTTCCGTGTGGGGGTTATGAGTGTGCATTTATGAGTTCCCATGTGAAGGACTCTCCAAGTGTCTGTAGGTGCCAGGATGGAGATGGACAGAGAAGATCCTCTCGGGCCACTTTAGTGGCACCTAGAGACTGTGGGGTAGGACACTTCAGCCCCAGGGGCCTAGGCAGCACTGTCCAGCACCTGTGTGCTCCTGTCTTCTTCATAGGGTCTGACTTCCCTGCCATCTCTCTCCAAATACGGTGGCAGGAGCTATCCCATCCGCCCCCATCTGGAGCTCGGCTGCCCAGCCAGACAAGATGGCAAACAGTGTGCAGATGGCTGCAAAGCTTTCCCCAGATCCTTCTGCAAGGGGACTGCAGATGAAATGGAAGCCCTCATCCTCACCGCCTCCCCCTTCCAGAAAACCCAGGCAACAGCCACCTCTGAATGCTGCTTGGGAAGCTTCTCCCTCCTGGTGATTAAACCACCCCAAATAAATAAAGCACTGCATTTCCACCATAGGCTTGTTCACATGCACGCAGCCTATTGTCTTGGATCCGCCTGTGTGCCTGATCCATCATGAGGGGTTCTCCTCTGAGGTGCTTGCAAAGAGCTGCTTGCAAAGAGTTGCTTAATTTTCATCTGAAAGACTCTGTAGAAACCAGGCCCAGCTTTGGAAGAAAACCTTTTCTCCCCCTTTAGCAAATTCTGTGTCATTCTTTTTTCTTTCTTTCTTTTTTGAGACGGAGTTTCACTTTTGCTGCCCAGGCTGGAGTGTAATGGTGCAATCTCGGTTCACTGCAGTCTCTGCCTCCCAGATTCAAGCGATTCTCCTGCCTCAGCCTCCTGAGTAGCTGGGACTACAGGCACCCACAACCATACCCAGCTAATTTTTTTGTATTTTTAGTAGAGAGGGAGTTTCACCATGTTGGCCAGGCTGGTCTGGAACTCCTGACCTCAGGTGATCCAACTCGGCCTCCCAAAGTGCTGGGATTACAGGCGTGAGCCACCATGCCTGGCTGGAATTCTGTGTCATTCTGGATACTTATCATGACTTCAAGCATCTAGGACTCTGTCCTGGGTATCCTGAGCCTGAGGGTGTATGTGTGTCCAGCTGGCTTGGAGGTTGTCTACAGGCAGGTTGAACTTGGCCTCTGAGTCCATGGCAGCCTCACATGGGAAATACCACCGAAGAGCCTCATCGTGTGCTTTTAGGAGATAGTTTCTATTTAGTCATTGCTGAATCTGTTACAGAGAGGGTCTCGATTTCTTGCAAGTCCTGTATGAGGTCGGTGCTGTGATTATCCACATGTTCACTTGTTCTCTCTGGCCTCTTTCAGGCTCTTGAACTTCCTTTGCTCTTTTCCTGCCACAGGGCCTTTGCATATCGGGCTCTTTCTTCCTGGAAAGATTTTCCCTCTCCCTGCCTCTTCACCTGGTCACGGTCTCATCTGACAGTGGAGTCACTACATCCTCAGGGACGCCTGGCCACACTGACTCAGTCACAGCAACCCCCTGTTATCTGCTTTCATGACACCAGGTGCCTCTCTGTGGTAGACACTAGCTCAGCTACGGCTTCCTGTTTCTGTGCGTGTCATCCTTCCCCTTCAAGACTGTGGTCACCGTGAGGGCCAGGGCCATGCCTGTTCGTGATTCTCATTTGTGTCTCTGGTGTTTAGTATATGCTTACCTAGAATTTGATTAATGAATGACGGCATACCCATTTTACAGATGAGAAAGTTGAGGCTCAGGAACATTGTGTAACTTGCTCAGTATTAGATAGTGATGGTTTGAAGCGATCTGGCTGGTCGCTGGGTGCACACTCTTAACCACTTCAGTATGGTTCTTCTCTCATGGTAGCTCTCCAACAGCAGGAGTGAGAGACAATTTTAGGACAGGTGTAGCCAGAATCCCAGGGGTTATCCTAGAAGGTGGTGTCAGGACCATGCTTGCCTATGGGCCTTCTTACTGTATTGCATAAAATACTCAGTTTTTCTGACTTGCCTTTAGTAAAGACCTTAGCAATATTTGAAGCACAGTTGTCTGTAGGAAAGGGTGGGTGTTTATACTTTTTTAAAAAGGAGTCTATATCATATTTATCTTGTGGTCTGCCATGCCCCCCGCTCTTCTTCAGCTTCAGTTATGCAAAATTCACACTTCTTCTCTTGAGTGCCTCTCTCTTACCTGTTCAGTTTCTTTTCTGTGTTCGAGATTGCTTAGAATTTTTCCCCATTACTACAGCCTGCTTCCCACCTGTATCCCCCAGCCAGCTTGTTCTGGATTTTGTCAACAACAGTTCCAGCGTTTAGTGAGGGCTGGACTGAAGGAAAGCCTTGGAAAAGCCTGTGTGATGAAAGGTGAGATACCTAATGTGCAGGCAGACATCAGGGTTAATTCAAAGGCTGGAAGAAGGGCTCACCTGGAGGACTGGAAATGTCTTTGAGCTGAAGGTCATGTGCAGGTGGAACGAAGAGGGTGAGCCTTTTGGGGTGAACTGCAAGTAGTTGATAAGATCCCTGTCCCCATGATTGGGGAAGTCTTGATAAGCATCCTCAATGTGATGGAGGGATCAAAGAACCCATGGCTCTACCTGTCTAGCATGGCAGCAACATGACACAGCCAAGTTATTGATTATTGGTTGCCCAGCTGTCATCACTCAACATCTTCTGTTAGTTATAGCTGTAATTTGCACTAGTTGTCAATGCCAGTTTTGACTTTCCTAGCCAATAAAGTGTTCCGAGAGTGGCGACTAAGGCTGAGCACTACCCATAATCATGAGTATTACAGAGGCAAGCCCCCTTGCCCACCCACCTGCAGGTGATGACACACCCTAGGAAATCACTCAGTTCTTTGGAGGACCCTGAAAAAATGCTCAAGTCCATCTGTTCATCTGTCCGTCCATCTATCCACCATTCCATCCATCCATCCATCCATCCATCCATCCATCCATCCATCCATCCATCCATCCATGCATCCATCCATCCACCCACCTACCCATCTATCCACCCACCCACCCACCCATCTATCCATCCAACCCACTCTCTTATGCACCCAGCTATCATCCACCTACCCACCCACCAACCCATCTATCCATCCACTCACCCATGCATCTATCCACCCATTCACTCAGCTACCCATCTATCCCCCTACCCGTGCATCCATTTATCTATCCCTCCACCCCCTCACCCACTTATCCATTTCTCCACCCACTCAGCCATCCCTTCACCGACTCAACCATTCATTCATTCATCCACCTGCCCACCCACCCATCTTTCCATCCACCAATCTATCCACCCACCCACCCATGTATCCATCCACTGCTTGTCCTTCTGTTCATTTATTCCACAAAGACTCATTAACCACCTACTAGATTCTGGGGAGGTATCTGCTCTAGTAATTGAGAACATGGTTTCTGGAATCTGATTCCCTGGGCTCAAATTGAGCTGCCTCCTAGCTAGCTGCTTGGGCAAGTTATAGAAACTGTGCTTTGATTTTCTTATCTGAAAATTGGCTATTAATAGCTTCTACTCTTGCAGATATAGTGAGGATTAAATAAGATGTCACATTAAAAGTGCATCATCGACACTCAATAGAGATTAGGTTTTACCATTCATTATTATTCTTGGCAGATGCTGCAGATAACATGGAGAGCATACGAAAGGCACATGTTTTAACCAATAGTGACATACAAGTGCTAAGTTCTGCAATAGGGGAAGGGCAGAAAGCCATGGAGAGGGCCTGGCCCAATCCTGGAGCCTCAGAAAAAAGTTCCCCGTTGAATTGCTGTTTTAGCTGAGACTTCTGGGATGGGTAGTAGTTGGAGATCCCAGACAGGAGGTGACCGAGTTAGCAAGGGAAAAATTGGGTCCTGGCACCCATGGCAGAGTTGAGTGATCCAGTCTTTCTGTCTCCACTGGCTGGAAGTCCACCAGATCTGGGAATGTCCAGTTGGGGGAGGGGGCTGACAATGATCATGACCTTCACCTGTCCTCACATGTCCTCTGTGTATCTGCAAAGCCTCTGCCTCAGTCTCCTCTTCTGGAAAGTGGGATTGGAAACCACATCTGCTTCTCTCCCAGGACTGCTAGGCAGACAAGATTAGATGGCAGGTGAGAGCTCTTTGAAAATGAAAACATTCTGCTATTTGAATGCAAAGTGTTCTTCTTTGTCTGTGATGTTTCCTAATCTGTGAAATCATACTGGACCTCGAAGCTGTCTATTAAAAAAAAAATAGCAAATTGGCTGGGCAGGGTGGCTCATGCCTGTAGTCCTAGCACTTTGAGAGGCTTAGGGGGTTGGATCACTTGAGGCCAGGAGTTTGATACCAGCCTGGCCAATATGTGAAACCCCATCTCTACTAAAAATACAAAAATTAGCCAGGTGTGGTGGCGTCTGCCTGTAGTCCCAGCTACTCAGGAGGCTGAGGCACAAGAATCATTTGAGCTCAGGAGGCAGAAGTTGCAGTGAGCCGAGATGGCACCACCGCACTCCAGCCTGGGCGACAGAGCGAGGCTCTGTCTGAAAACAGAAAAAAAAAAAAAAAAAAAAAAAAAAAAGCAAAGTTAACACTTCCTCCATCTCTCCCCTAGGGGAGGCAATTTGTCAAAGATTGTTGTTGGATTTTACACACAGGGAAATCTAAGGAATGTGTGGAAACCAGACCAGGACTCTCGTCTCCCTGTTTACAGGGTCTTAAATGGGGGAGCCACTTTGGGTTCTTTCCACAAGATTGCTTTGTAAAAAAAACAAGAAGCAAACAAACAAACAAAAAACTCAAAAAAACAGCCCTGACCTAAATATTCACAAGGGACCTTAGGCAATATCTGCAAACAAAAGTGAGTGATGAGTGGAATCTGTCATCTTTACAACTAAGACAGCTCCAGAGTTGAAGCAAGTGGAAATATCTCTAGAGACAGAGACTTGGGCGGGTTTTGCCAGTTACAAGCTAGGAGAACCTGGGCAGGTTTACCTCTCTGAGCTTCTGTGACCTTGTAAAATAGGCTGCATTGCGCTAAACTTGCGGGAGGAGTCCCAGCATCCTCCTGTGCACAAGGCTGGTTTCTTCCCATCCTTTTCCTTGTTCTGCCTCTCTCCTCCTCTCCAAGAGATGAATGCATTTGGACCCAGTAGGGGCCTATGTTTGCAAAAGCTCTCAGGTGATTCTAATGCAGGCAGCCTGGCTCTGGCAGTGAGTTCTTGGACACTTCTAGAGGCACATTTACTAGTGAGGAAGGTCACTGTGTGCTGAAGGCATGACTCATCTTCCATTCCTTTCTTCCATGAAGCAAGGCGCATGGGTCGACTGAGCTGGGAGAGTCCACAGTGTCAGCCTCCCCCACGCTTCCCTCCCTCCTTATTCCTTGTGTGCTGTACTTTGTCTTGATTTCCTGTACTCTGCACCAAGCCAGGAGATGGTAAGATCTCAAAAAAATCATTTTTTTGGGAAATGGGATCAAGAGGGTTTTTGTTTGCTTGTTTGTTTGTTTGAGACAGGGTCTGTTGCCCAGGCTGGAGTGCAGTGGCGTGACCTTGGCTCACTGCAGCCTTGACCTTCTGGGCTCAGGTGATCCTCCCACCTCAGCCTCCTGAGTAGCTGGGACTGCAGGTGCACACCACCATGCCTGACTAATTTGTTTATTTTTTGTAGAGATGAGGTTTCACCATGTTGCCTAGGCTGGTCTCAAACTCCTGGGCTCAAGCAGTCCTCCATCCACCTCGGCCTCCCAAAGTGCTGAGATTACAGGCATGAGCTGCTGTGCCTGGCCAAGGTTTTTTATTATTATTATTGTTATGAAAACTTTTCGATAAACATAAAAGTAGAGAGACTAGTTTAATGAGCTATCATATACCCATCACATAGATTTAAAAACTATTAACATTTGCAATATTTACTCCATTTGTTTTTCTGAAGTATTTACAAAATAGTTTACAGTAGTTATGTAATTGCATCCTGATATTCACCCCTACGTAATTTACTTTCCCTCTAAAAACATGAGGGCAGTTTTTATATGATCATTGTCATACCTAATCAAATTACCAGTAATTCCTTAATATCCTCTAAGATCAAGTTTACATTCAGATGTCTTGTCCTCAAAATGTCAATTGTGATTATTTTTTTCTTTGAGCAAAGATAATAAGATCTCAAGATTTAATGACAGAGATTCCATGTTAGCCCTGATGTCTAAGCTCTGTGGTCCATTGTGGCTTTACTTGAAAGTCTAAGGCTAGGCGTGGTGGCTCACATCTGTAATCCCAGCACTTTGGGAGGCCAAGGTAGGTGGATCATGAGGTCAAGAGATCAAGACCATCCTGACCAACATGGTGAAACCCTGTCTCTATTAAAAATACAAAAATTAGCCAGGTGTGGTGGTGGGTGCCTATAGTCCCAGCTACTCGGGAGGCTGAGGCAGGAGAATCACTTGAACCCGGGAGGCGGAAGTTGCAGTGAGCTGAGATTGCACCACTGGACGCCAGCCTGGGTGGCAAGAACGAGACTCTGGAAAAAAAAAAAAAGTCTCTCACTGTGGTCTCATAATAAAAGGACACTCCATTTCCCATCTGGCCCCTGCTCCTTAATGTTAGCCCCCTCCTGTGGGGAGGAGGGGGTGCCTTTCAGCGCAGGTTCAAACATTCCCAGGGCTGGCTCTGATCCCAATAAAGCCCATCGTCATGAATGAATGCTTCCCTTGCAGGTTATTCTAAGTATTGTAAATAGTGCACGTGGAGTGTCCTCATGATGCCTGGGATGGTAGTGAATATTTATAGGTTTCTTTTAGTGCCTTTTTAAAAATTATTTTCTATAGTTCCATGTTTCTACAACCCTTAGGAACATCAGAATCATGTGTGTGTGGGTGCTTATTAAATAAACCAGTTCCTGGAGCTCACTCCCAGTGACTGCCAGTCTGATGATTAGGGGCTCAGCTAGGACCTAGGTTTGCAAAAGCTCCCAGCTGATCTCATGCAGCCAGCCTGGCTCTGGCTCTGGCTCTGGGAGCTGGGTTGGGAACTAGTCTTTGGTGCTATTCTGCTGAAACTTCAAGTTGGGCTCTTTGACTCCGTCTTGTATTGTCATCACTTGTATTCAGGTCTGTTCTTCCCCTGGATTGTAAACTCCTTGATGTCTGGGTCATCTCAGCTCATGAGCTGAGCTTTCAGTGGGTGCTCAGTGGAACAGATGCTGAATGGAGTCAGGCTGTAGGGAGGCCAGTGTGTGTTGGTAAGTGAGAGACAAAAATCATTTTAAAAAGAATCTTTTTGCCCTTCAGTTGTGTTTGCCATGAGTTAATGTGATTTACTCTAGTGGAAGCCAGTGCAGCTTAAGTGGAGGTCTTGCCCTGAAATGGAGCCAGGTTATGGATCAGCAGAGCTGCCAAAAGCGTTTTGGGGGAAATGTTTCTGTGTCACCCTCAGTTGATTGAACTCAAGTTTTCACTCCCGTTTAACACCACGTGGGGGCCATTCTGACTTCTGCGGAGTGGGTATGATCAGATCTTCTGTAAAAGTGTAAGTGAGGGGGCTGGGCACGGTGGCTCACACCTGTAATCTTAGCACTTGGGAGGCTGAGATGGGTGGATCACTTGAGGCCGAGAGTTTGAGACAAGCCTGCACGACATGATGAAACCTCATCTCTACTAAAAATACAAAAATTAGCCAGGCATGATGGTGCATGCCTGTAATTCCAGCTACTCAGGAGGCCGAGGCAGGAGAATCACTTGAACCTGGGAGGTGGAGGTTGCAGTGAGCTGAGGTTGCACCACTGCACAGCATTCCAGCCTGGGTGACAGAGCGAGACTCTGTCTCAAAAAAAAAAAAAAAAAAAAAAAAAAAGTGTATGTGAGGAAACTGGAATTGAGCTTGGGGATGTTGGGGGATGGAGGTACTTCATTTACTGAACAACAAAAACCATAGGATACCAATGCTGGAGGAAGAAGCATCATCCTCAGTTTCTACTAACTCAACCACGCATGAGATGGGGACTTGGTGTCCGAGAGAAAAGCTTCTTTTTAGGTCTTCAACCTTGATCAAACCATTTCTGAATTCCTCATACACATATAATCAGGTGCTATGAGTGGTACTGATTGGATAATCTTTCTGTCATTTCCTGTGCTAGGAAGGAAAATACATGTACAGCCAACTTCCTTGAGGGTTCGTTCTTTTGCATCAGGGTGTCTCAAACTGCTGCCCTTAAAACACCTGTAAGAGAATCATCCAGGCGGCTTGCTCACTCTGCATGCAGGCCCTTTAGAATGAGAGTCAGAATCCCTGGGGCTGGAGCCACAAAATGAAATGACATTTCAACGAGTTTGTCATCATGTGAGAGAGAATAGGTGAGTATTTGGATACCTATAATACAAAGTAGATTCAAAAAGAATGACTTGATTATTTTAAATGTTGTGTTTTAAAAAATTTAATACAGAAAAGGCGGGGCGCTGTGACTCATGCCTGTAATCTTAGCACTTTGGGAGGCCAAGGCGGGTGGATCATTTGAGGTCAGGAGTTCAAGACCAGCCTGGCCAACAAGATGAAACCCCATCTCTACTAAAAATATAAAAATTAGCCAGGCAGTAGTGGTGCGTGCCTGTAATCCCAGCTACGGGGGAGACTGAGGCAGGAGAATTGCTTAAGCCTGGGAGGCAGAGATTTGGTGAGCTGAGATCGTACCACTGCACTCCAATGTGGGTGACGATTGTTTAACCACCACCAAAATGGGTTCTGAGTCCAACTATTAATATGAAGATGACATCCATTGTGGTCTTGTACATTTTGTTGCCTTTCCGGGGTGAAGGACATTGGTGACCATTTGTTTCCTCTGGAGCGGTCGATTGGTCATGAACTTCCTGGTCCAGGTAGTTACTGTGTCATTCATGATGGTGGTTGATCCTCAGGTAGTTAGGGAGGAAAATAAACAAGAAGTTATATATTTAAAATCACGTTTCAATTTTAGACCTGATTAATTGACTTAATAAAGGGCATTAGCACTTCTACTTCCTACAGTCCCTCCCTTTAGCTCTGGAAACTAGTTATTTCTAGGTTGTTTTATGTTGTTAAGGTTGACCACCTTCTCTTTCTGTTCTGCAATCATAGTCCTATCACTAGCCTTTTGTCATGGTCATTCAATTCACAAGTTGCTTATTTTTTAATTTCTTGGCTGACTAAATTTTATTATGAAGACTTTTTTTTAAAGAGCTCAAAAATACTGTATTCTTTAAGTTCTTCAGCTTGTGATAGTGTCTTTTGCCTATTTTAATTGGGCAATAATTTAGCTGGCTATAAAATTCTTGGATTATACTCTATTTCCCTTAGAAATTATAGGCACCCATCCACAGACATTTCATTGTGCTTTTTTTTTTTTTGAGATGGAGTCTTGCTCTGTCACCCAGGTTTGAGTGCAGTGGTGCGATCTCGGCTCACTGCAAGCTCTGCCTCCTGGGTTCACACCATTCTCCTTCCTCAGCCTCCCGAGTAGCTGGGACTACAGGCGCCCGCCTCCATGCCTGGCTAACTTTTTTGTATTTTTAGTAGAGATGGGGTTTCACCGTGTTAGCCAGGATGGTCTCGATCTCCTGACCTCATGATCCACCGGCCTTGGGCTCCCAAAGTGCTGGGATTACAGGTGTGAGCCACTGTATGAGCCCAGCCTCATTGTGCTTTGTACTAACCCCCTTTCCCTGGCCTCTTCCGGCTTGTCTTCTCTCCCAGTAGTTTCTTCATGAAGAGGCCATGTGCTATATTCCATGAGATATTTCACACTCAAAGAAGACTTCTTTTATACTCTTTTGATAATTTGTCGGGGAATCACTGTCTTGATTTATAAGGGAGTTTGTAATAAATACAGTAAAAGAGAAACACAACATATTTTGAGACATCAGAGAAGGAAGACACCAATTCTATTAATATTTGGGGTTAGCAGGGAAGGCTTAGTTAAGAGGTAACATTTGAACTAAGCCTTGAAATAAGGGAAGGATTTGGCCACGCAGTAATGGTGAGAGAGTAGAAGCAAGACATGATGGTTAGTGTTATGTATCAATTTGACTGGGTTGTGGGGTGCCCAGATATTTGGTTACACATTATTCTGGGTGTGTCTCTGAGGTATTCTGGATGAGGATAACCCTTAATTGGTAGACTGAATAAAGCAGATTGTCCTCCCCAATGTGGGTGAGCCTCATCCAATCCACTGAAGGCCTGAACAAAACAAAAAGGTAGAGTCACAGAGAATTTGCTCTTTTTACCTGATTATATTTGAGCTGGGATATCAATCTTCTCCTGACTTTAGATGTGGACTCGAGTTGGAACTATATCATTGGCTGTCCTGGGTCTCCAGCTTGCTGGCTGCAGACTCCAGGACTCCTTAGCCTCCATAACCACGTGAGCCATCTCTTACAACAAATCAATCTGTCTCTCTCTATGTGTATAGCTCTACCTCTATCTCTCTGCTCTTTCTCTGGAGAACCTAGAATAATACACAAGGTTATATTAGAGAAGAGGATGACCCAAGGAAAAGCATGGAGGCAGAAAACTGCAAAGAGGGTTTGGGAAGACTGGGGTCCTGATGGGGAGTTTGGATTTCACTGTGTGTAGCATGGAGAATCCTTGAAAATATTCAAGAGGTGAAAATTGTATTTGTGGAAGAACACCAGGAGTATGTGAAAAGATAACCACTCACTCCATTTTAGCTCCACTGAAGGGGGCATCAACTGGATGCACTGGGGACATGGGTTGGAGGGTAGTTGAGGCCATATCTGGAGGATCTTTACTTCTAGGCTGAGTCTGAAGTTATCTTTCTGGGGAGTGGGAGATTACAAATCTTTGAGCTCCACTCAAGAGATGGTTTTGCTAACAATGGCAGGGCGACGGTGGTGGTGGTGGTGGTGGTGGTGGGAAACTGGTAGCATGAATTCTAACTGGGCTTCTGTTATTCTAGCCGAGAAAATTGGGGAATGGACTTTCAGTAGAATAATACAGATCTGGGAATCAACTGCATGGAGGAGGTAGTTATAGGTGATGAGATGTCTCAGGGACAAAGTTTGGTAGAAGGAGAAAAGATACTAGGCTAGTACAAAAATAATTGCTGTTTTTGCCATTACTTTTAATGGCAAAATCGGCAGTTACTTTTGCACCAACCTAAGAGGATGCAAACTTCATAGCCATCTGCATCAGAGGGATTGATGAAGATCAACAAAGTTTAGGAACACAGGAAAGGAGCGGGGAGGGTAATGACTTGAGGGCATAGCAGGGATAATCAAGGTTTTTCTTGTTAGCATGTGGAGACTTAAGCATGATTATATGTTAAACACCTGGCACATATACGGTGCAAAATATTTATGAGTGAAATGACAAGTGAAGGTGGTGAGTCATGGGAGTTCCAAGGGAACGGATGATAAAGGCAGGTCTCAAATGAGGCACAAGTGGAGAAGGTAGCTTGGAAAAGGAGAAGGATGCTTCTCCTTATAACATGGGAAAGGCAGAGGAAGAGGGTCAAGATACAGTGATCTAGGGGTGAGATGGAAGTGAGTTGAGAGAACTCAACTCTGGGCTCTGAAACCCCTAGGGATGGGTGTTGGGGGCTTTGAGATATGGAAGAGGTTTAAAGTCAATTGTTATAGCAAATATGGTTTGGAATTTATTTGTGATACTTAAAAATATTGCTGAACAGAAGTGAAGTCTACCCTAGAGTTGGATGGTGAGATTATTTAGTGGAACTACCAGATCCATGTTGTGATTCCTTCCAGTATCATTCAGCAGCCCTTGGGCAGTTGCGAGGCAAGTCATCAATGGGGTATGGAGATTTTCCAGGTGGGTGTGGTTGAAGAAAGGGAAGAACAAGTTTAGGAGCACATTACAAGAAGAAGGTGACTGTAAGGTCCAGGCTGAGCAGGAAGGTAAAGCAAGAAGGAAACATGAGGTTGTGAAGAGAAGTTTAGAGGGATGAGGAGGCAGGAGAGGTGAACAGTTGCATGATGTAGCTAGAGTGGCGATGTTAGATCTTGGGGCCAGAGATCTTTACAATGATTATGAAGATCAAAGGGCATTAGAATCAAGCTATAAAGAGCCACTGTTTGATGTTGGGATGTGAGGATGCTGCAGGTGGATGTCTGCACATTGATGGTGAGAACATGGTCATCCTGGCCCTGCTGGGTCTTTGCTAAAGAGACTGTGCTCTGTTCTTGGGGCCGTTTTCATCATCTGATTAGAGCAGTGGTCCCCAAATGGTGTTCTTTGGACCATCTGTATAAAATGTTCATAGGTCAAGGATAAAATGGAAAAACAGAGAAAATGTCACAGAAATGTGCCTATTGTTGAAAGACCACCAGCTGTCGTTTTTGGAGGATTGTTCTTTATTCTAAAAATGTATATATTCTATTCTATTAAAACATTTTTGTATTTGCATTTTTTCTCTTTTATGAAATGCCATGGGGTAGAAATTTGTAATGTATCCAATTCTCCTGTCTTCATGCATTGCCCTGTGGTGGGGGAGGGGATGTGGCTAGTACTGGCCAAGAGGCTGGGGGCAGAGGTGCAATGTTAGACTTCTAGCCTGGAGCATTTAATTCTTAGTACAAGACTCTCTAGCATTCTTCTCCCTCTGTTCCCTGCTTGGTGATACTCGAGGTATTGCAACCCCCATTAACCTTAGTCTTAGGGCAAGTTTGATGGGAAACAGAGCACCCCACACCTCCCTGCAGATGTAGCATGAGTGAGAAAAACAACTTCTGATGTTTGAAGTTACCAAGATTTAGGAGTTGTTTGTTATTGCAGCAAAACCTCACCTATTCTGACCAATCATGGTGGAATTTCTCTCTCTCTGTGTGTGTGTGTGTGTGTGTGTGTGTGTGTGTGAAACTGGTAGTTTAAAAAAGTTCCTTCTTACCCAAAAGAAAAAAAGATAGCAACCTTATGTTTGTTCTCAAATTAAAAAAATATTTTTACTCGTTTATAAAATAGAAAAATCTGAGAATCTGTAGCTTAGAGAACTACAGTGTGGGATGTCTATAAAGACCAGGTTATTTTATCAGCTCCTAACACCCCTTAATAGAAGCTTAGCCAAGACTTGCACTACTTCAGTCTTTCCCATTCCACATTCCATGGACTCTTGAAGAGACATTGATTAAACGGTGCAGCCATGAACCACCCTAACTCAATCCTAGTGGCAGAACCCCCCTTTTACTGCAGAATGAGCTTCTTGCTACAGTGATACTGCAACCCCTTAGATATATCCTGTACTAATTATATTAAAACACGACCAATGCTTTTGCTTTGTTGTCCCCCAAATTAAACACATTAATCATGAGAACCCAGAGAATTGGATTTAGTGTAACTGATTCCAAACTGTCAGTAAGAACATAATTAAGTTATATTTTTCTCCAATTCAAGTAAAAGAAAATTGACAATAAAATGCTGATCAATATGTGTAGCTCACGAGGTAGAGCCTGCTTTGAGATGCAGAAGTGTTTGTTTTTTTTAGATCTATATTCTTGAGTAAAGAAAAAGTCCATCTCTCTTTCCTAGAGGGGAAGACTTTCAGAGCTGGGCTTGGCAACAGCCTGACTATCAGAGGCTGAATTAAACAAATAGGTACCTCCCTGGAGTGAATGGTGCGTTTCTCCTGTTCGGGGAACCGTGCTTTTATGGTGGAGTTTGTGTTCTGTCTTGGTCTCCGGATGTGTGTATCTGTGGGTGGATGTCTGCATGTAAATGGCAGTGTATACCTGTGTAGGTGTGTACAAAATTCCCATGTGAATCTCAGCTTTGTGGGGATCTCCGGTTCTTGAGCCCAGTAGATGCCATTTGAAGAAAAAAATCACTTGAAAATGAGACAGAAAGAATGGAAACTAAATCCTAGCTCTAAAGGCACCAGGCTGATTAAAAAAAAAAAAAAAAACTCTGGATCTTCTTTGTTTTGGACTCTACCTACCTCTAAATGACATTTCTGTTTCCTATGAGATGATTAGAATGAAAAAGATCCTGAGCACGAAAGAGCAGATACTGTGTGATAGTGTGTATGTCAGGGTGTCAGCTGTGACACTGCTGACATTTTGGCTCAGCAATTTCTCTGTTCTATGTGTGGGGGTTCCCTGTGCATTTTAGGATGTTGAGCGTCATCCCTGGATCCCTGCACTCACTGGATGCAGTAACACAACTCCCCCCAAGTAGACACAACCCCCAGTGTCTCCAGATATTGCCTAATGTCCCCAGGGGGCAAAATAGCCCCATCTGAGAACTGCTGCTTTCATAAAGTACAATGTCAGGTGAAATAGGTGGAGGCTGTTTGTAGTCAGGGGTTAGTAGAGATGGAAGAGACCCCAGGAATATCCTGGAAGGGTCTGTAATATTTTGTTTCTTGAATTGGGTGTCAGCAATATGGAGATGTTCAGTTTTTTGTTGTTGTTGTTGTTGTTGTTTTGAGGCAGGATCTTTCTCTGTCACCCAGGCTGGAGCACAGTGGCACCATCATGGCTCACTGCAGCCTCTGCCTCCTGGGCTCCAGCAGTCCTCCCACCTCAGCCCTCCCGAGTAGCTGGGACTACAGGCATGTGCCACCACTGTTGCCTAATTTTTTATTTATTTATTTTTTGTAGAGAGGAGTGTCTCACTATGTTGCCCAGGCTGGTCTCAAGCTCCTGGGCTCAAGCAATCTGCTCATCTCGGCCTCCCAAAATGCTGGGATGACAGGCATGAGCCACTGCGTCTGGCCAGTATGTTCAGTTTGTAAGAAAAGTACTGTGTTGACCTCTTCTATGTGCACATTTCTTTAAGTAATAATTCAATAAAGCATTTAGAAAAATTGGTCGTAATAGGAGTGATTTGTAGAGTGATTGGCATGAAAGCTGATCACCTTAATTTGAACTACTCTGAAATGAGCACCAGGGGCCACCAAGAGGACCCTTTCAAGGTGTCATAGCCAAGGAGAGGAGTGTGTTGTTTACATCTCTGCATAAAGGATTTGCTGGTTACATGGAAGGATGAAGCCTCCTTCTGAGGACAGAGGCAGCAAAGCAAGTGGAAGCCCAAAGCATTGAGCTTTCCAAATGGACTTTGCTGAAATCTTGTGGATGACTCATGCTCTTAACATACACCCATGTACATATTGTCCATATACACATTAATTCTGTAACAAGGCCCACACTTAAGGGTTTTTTTTTTCTTTTGAGACAGTCTTGCTTTATTGCCCAGGCTAGAGTACAGTGGCATAATAGTGACTCACTGCAACCTCCACCTCCTGGGTTCAAGCAATGCTTGTGCCTCAGCCACCTGAGTAGCTGGGACTACAGGTGCACAACATCATGTCTGGCTAATTTTTGTATTTTTAGTAGAGACGGGGTTTCACCATGTTGGCCAGGCTGGTCTCAAACTCCTGGCCTCAAGTGATCTGCCCACCTCAGCCTCCTAAAGTGTTGGGATTACAGGTGTGAGCCACTGCGCCTGGGCCCACACATAAGGTTTGAGTTGAGATAGAGAAACTCTGGCAGGACTGAGGAATTGGGCCACAGTCTGTGGGAAATATGCACAATTTCTGGAATCTTCTATACTTCCAGAGTTCTCACTCTCTGTCTCCTGTTTATTCAACAAACTTGTATGGAACCACAGTGTGTCTAGAACTTGCCAGGTGTGGAGGATAAAAAGATGACTGAGATCGGGCATGGTGGCTCATGCCTGTAATGCCAGCACTTTGGGAGGCCAAGGCAGGCGGATCACTTGAGGGCAGGAGTTTGAGCACAGCCTGGCCAACATGATGAAACGTCTCTACTAAAAATACAAAAATTAGCCAGGCATGGTGGCATGCACATGTAGTCCCATCTACTTGGGAAGCTGAGGCAGGAGAATCGCTTGAACCCAGGAGGCAGATGTTGCAGTGAGCTGAGATCACATCGCTGCATTCCAGCCTGGGAGACAGAGCGAGATTCCATGTCAAAAAAAAAGATGACTGAGATACAGACTCCCTCAGAGTTGACTCTAACACAAATTAGGTAAGAGCCCAAGGTCTGGCTGGGCCAGCACCTTGATCGGCCTCATCCTGCAGCGTCTACTAGAATGAAGAACACTTTTTTCTTTACCCATGAAAATGTTTTGTGCTTCATACCCACAAGTGCAATTTGTGTTAATTCTGCAAAATTTGCCATATAACTGTGCCTGTATTCTTAGCATTTTTCCTTTGAGAGATTTCTCAGCATATCATCTTTGGACTATGTGGAATTGGAAATTTACTTAGAGTCAACAACAAGTACAGGAAAGTCAGTTCTTAAGAGTTAGGTTTTCAAAGACAGTGGATAAAATAAAAAATCTAGTACAGTCAAGATTATACGTGCAAATCCCCTCATCATTCATAAAGTTTAGCAGTCAGTCTTACCGTGGCTCACCAGGTCCAATCCATACTTCTTCCTCCACGATTGGAGCAGAGGGTGATTTTTTTTCTGAGCAACTGATGAAGTCATTTAGAGACCATTTGCAGTAGGAGCCATGTGTACTAGAGACCAATCAATGTGCCCTCATGGCAGCATTTCTGCCTCTCTCCCTCTTTGTTCTTGCCAAGTACCCACAGTTCATTTTCCATAGATTGAAAGAGCCCAAGTTGGGCCTATATCTAGGAGTACAATTGCTGGGTCATTTGGCAACTCTATGTAGAATTGTTTGGGAAGTTGTTAAACTGTTTCTCACAGTGGCTACACCATTTTAATTCCTACCAGCAGTGTATGAAGGTTCTAATTTCTCTGCATCCTCACCAAAACTTGTTATTTTCTGTTTTTTTTTTTTTTTTTTTTTTTTGAGACAAAGTCTTGCTCCATCACCCAGGCTGGAGTGCAGTGGCACAATCTCAGCTCACTGCAACCTCTGCCTCCAGATTCAAGTTACTCTCCTGCCTCAGCCTCCCGAGTAGCTGGGATTATAGGCACCTGCCACCATGCCTGGCTAATTTTTGTATTTTTTTAGTACAGACAGGGTTTCACCATGTTGGCCAGGCTGGTCTCACACTCCTGGCCTCAGGTGATCCACCTGCCTCGGTCTCCCAAAGTGCTGGGATTACAGGCTTGAGCCACTGCACCAGGCCAATTTTCTCTATCTTCGATTCTAGCCATGCTTATGGGTATGAAGTGGTATCTCATTGTGGTTTTGATTTCTGTTTCCCTGATGATGAATTTCATTGAGCATCTTTTCATGTGCTTATTGGCCACTTGTATGTCTTCCTTGGAGATGCGCAATATTTTCATATTCAAAAATGAAAGCACAGGTCCACACAAAATTTTGTACATGAATAATTACAGTAGCATCACTCCTAATAACCCAAAGAGAGAGTTAATCCAAATGCCCATCACCAGATGAAGAGATACACCTATTGTTGTCTACCCACATGGTGGAATATTATTTGATCACAAAAAGGAGGAAAGTACATACGCTACAGCGTGGATGAACCTTCAAAACAGATGAAAGATCACATTCTACATGATTTCATTCAGATGGAAGTCTATAGAAATAGGAAGTCGATTAGTGGTTGCTTAGGGCTGGTAGGGGCATGGGAGGATGGGGGTGTTAGCTAAAGCGTATGAGGTTTCTTTTTGAGGTCATGAAATGTTCTAAAATTGACTGGTAATGTTTGTGTACATCTCTGAATATATTAAAAACCATTGAAATGTAAAAAATGCAAAGAAAAGCAGCCCAAGTTGCAATTTTATTCAACACTTGATTGGCTTTAAAAATAGATTCCAGGCTGGGCATGGTGGCTTACACCTGAAATCCCAGTGCTTTGGGAGGCTGTGGTGGGAGGATTTCTTGAGGCCAGGAGTTCCAGGCCAGCCTTGGCAACATGGCAAGACCCTGTGTGTACAAAAAAAGAAAAAATAAATAACAGCTGGGTGCAGTGGCTCACATCTGTAATCGCAGCACTTTGGGAGGCTGAGGCGGGCAGATCACCTGACATCAGGAGTTTAAGAGCAGCTTGGCCAACATCGTGAAATCCCGTCTCTACCAAAAATATAAAATTTAGCCTTTTGGTACTCCGAGCAGCACCATGGCAGTTGTTAAGAACAAGTGCCTTATGAAAGGTGGCAAAAAGGGAGTTAAGAAGAAAGTAGTTGGTCCATTCTCTAAGAAAGATCAGTATGATGTGAAAGCACCTCCTATGTTCAATATAAGAAATATTGGAAAGACTTGGTCGCCAGGACCCAAGGAACCCAAATTGCATCTGATGGTCTCAAGGGTCTTGTGTTTGAAGTGAGTCTTGCTGACTTGCAGAATGATGAAGTTGCATTTAGAAAATTCAAGCTGATTACTGAAGATGTTCAGGACAAAAACTGCCTGACTAACTTCTATGGCATGGATCTTACCTGTGACAAAATATGTTCCATGGTTGAAAAATGTTCAACAATGATTGAAGCTCATGTTGATGTCAAGACTACCGATGGTTACTTCTTTCATCTGTTTTGTGTTGGTTTTACTAAAAAACACAACAATCAGATACTGAAGACCTCTTATGCTCAGCACCATCAGTCTGCCAAATCCAGAAGAAGATGATGGGAATCATGACCTGAGAGATGCAGACAAATGACTTGAAAGAAGTGGTCAATAAATTGATTCCAGACAACATTGGAAAAGATATAGAAAAGGCTTGCCAATTTATCCTCTCCATGATGTCTTCATTAGAAAAGTAAAAATGCTGGAGAACCCTGGATTTGAAAGGCATGGAGCTTCGTGGTGAAGGTAGTAGTTCTGGAAAACCCACTAGGGACGAGACACATGCTAAAGTTGAATGAGCTGATGGATATGAACCACCAGTCCAAGAATCTGTTTAAAGTTCAGACTTAAAACAGTAGCAAATAAGAAGTCCTATTTGTGAAAAACAAACAAGAAACAACAATGAAAGAGCAAAATTAGCCTGGTGTGGTGGTGCATGCCTGTAATCCTAGCTACTCAGGAGGCTGAGGCATGAGAATCACTTGAACGCGGGAGACAGAGGTTGCAGTGAGCCAAGATTGCACCATTGCACTCCAGCCTGGGCAACAGAGTGAGACTCTCTCCAAAAAGAAGAAAAAAAAAAGTATCCGCGCTTGGTGGCATGCGCCTGTAGTCTCAGCTACTCTGAAGGCTGAGATGGGAGGATGGATTGAGGCCAGGAGTAATTTGAGGCTGCAGTGAACTATGATTGTGACACTGCACTCCAGCCTGGACTGCAATGACAGCTGAAAATGACAGGATTTCATTCTTTTTTATGGCTGAATACTATTCTATTGTGTGTATATTCCCATTTTCTTTATCCATTCATCCATTGATTGACACTTAGATTGATTCCATATCTTGGCTATTGTAAATAGTGCTGCAGTAAATATGGGGGTACAGATATCCCGTTGATACACTGATATCTTTTTTTGGATATATACCCAGGAGTGGGATTGCTGCATCATATGGTAGATCTGTTCTTAGTTTTTTGAGAAATCTCTGTACTTTTTTTCATAATGGCTGTACTAATTTACATTCCCACCAACAATATACAATAATTTTCTTTTCTTCACATGCTTGCCAGCATTTGTTGTGCTTTGTCTTTTTAATACCCATTCTAACAAGTGTGTGATGATATCTCATTGTGGTTTTGATTTGCATTTCCGTGATGATTAGTGATGTTGAATATTTTTTCATAAACTTGGTGATTTGTATATTTTCTTTTGAGAAATGTCTGTTTATTTTTTGATAGTTTCTTTTGTTGTGCAGAAGCTCTTTCATTTAATTAGATCCCATTTGTCAATTTTTGCTTTTGTGGCAATTGCGTTTGGCATCTTCACCATGAACTCTTTGCCCATCACTACGTACCGGATGGTATTGCCTAGGTTGTCTTCAGCGTTTTTATAGTTATGGGTTTTACATTTAAGTCTGTAGGCCATCTTGAGTTAATTTTTGTGTATGGTGTAAGGGAGGGGTGTTGTCTTTTCACTCTGTTGATTGTTTTCTTTGATACGCAGAAGGTATTTAGTTTAATATAATCCCATTTGTCTGTTTTTGTTGCTTGTACTTTTAAGTGTTAGCGATACAATCTTTGTTCTCAAGAGTTTCTCCTGTGTTTATTTCTAGTAGTTTTATAGTTGTGGCTGTTACATTTAAGTCTTTAATTGATTTTGAGTTTATTTTTGTAAGTGATGAGAGATAAGGGTCTAGTTTTATTCTTCTCTGTTTGGATATCTAGTTTTCCTGGCACCATTTAATGAAGAGGGTGGGGTGTCCTTTATTCAATGTATGTTCTTGACAGCTTTCTTGAAAATCAGTTAGCTGTAAATATGTGGATTCATTTCTGGATTCTTTAGTCTGTTTCCTTTGTTTTTGTGTCTGTTTTAATACCAATACACGCTGTTTTGGTTACTATAGCTTTGCAGTATATATATATATATATATATATATATATGTGTGTGTGTGTGTGTGTGTGTGTGTGTGTATATATATACACATATATACATATATATATACACACACACATATACATATATACGTATATATACACATATATATATATATACATATATATATGTGGTTTTTTTTTTTTTCTTTTTGAGATGGAGTCTTGCTCTGTCGCCGAGGCTGGAGTGCAGTGGCGTGATCTCTGCTCACTGCAAGCTCTTCCTCCCGGGTTCATGCCATTCTCCTGCCTCAGCCTCCTGAGTAGCTGCTGGGACTACAGATGCCCACCACCACGCCTGGCTAATTTTTTGTTTTTTTTTTTTTAGTAGAGACGGGGTTTCACCGTGTTAGCCAGGATGGTCTCGATCTCCTGACCTTGTGATCCACCCGCCTTGGCCTCCCAAAGTGCTGGGATATAGGCTTGAGCCACCTCGCCCGGCCTCTTTGCAGTATATTTTTAAATCAGGTAGTGTGAGGCTTCTAGCTTTGTTCTTTTTGCTCAGTATTGCTCTGGCTATTTGGGGTCTTCTGTGGTTCCATATGAATTTCAGGGTATTTTTTTCCTGTTTCTGTGAAGAATATAATTAATAGGGATTATACTGAATCTCTAGATTGCTTCAGGTAGTATGGTCATTTTAACAGTATTAGTTATTCCAACCCACAAGCATAAGATGCCTTTCCATTTGTTTGTGTCCTTCTCAATTTATTTTATCAGCGTTTTGTGGTTTTCATTGTAGAGGTTTTTTGTTTTTTTTTTTTTCCTCATCCTTGGTTAAGTTTATTCCTAGGTATTTTATTTTTGTAGCTATTGTAAATAGAATTTCTTCCTTGATTTCTATTTTAGCTAGTTTGTTACTGGTATATAGAAACATTACTGATTTTTGTATGTTGATTTTGTGTCCTGAAGCTTTACTGAATTATACATCCGTTTTTAAAAATGTTTTTTATTTTTTATTTTTTGAGAGAGTCTCACTCTGTTTTCCAGGCTGGAGTGCGGTAGTGCAATCTTGGCTCACTGCAACCTCCACCTCTCGGGTTCAAGCGATTCTCCTGCTTCAGCCTCCCAAGTAGCTGGGATTACAGGCACCTACCACCATGCCTGGCTAATTGTATTTTTGGTAGAGACAGGGTTTCACCATGTTGGCCACGCTGGTCTCAAACTCCCAACCTCAGGTGATCCGTCCACCTTGGCCTCCCAAAGTGCTGGGATTACAGGCATGAGCTACCATGCCCAGCCTAATTTATTTTAAGAGTTTTTTGGTAGAGTCTTTAGGTTTTTCTGTTTACAGGTATAAGATTATGTCATTTGCAAAGTGAGACAATTTGACCTCCTTTTGTCCATTTGGATGCCTTTTATTTCTTTATCTTGTCTGATCACTCTGGCTTGGATGTCCCATACTGTGTTGAATAAGAGTGGTGAAAGTGGACATCCTTGTCTTGTTCCAGTTCTTAGAGGAAAGGCTTTTCAATTTTTCCCAGTGAGTAGGATGTTAGCTGTAGATTTGTCACATATGCCTTTTCTTAGGTTGAAGTGTTCCTTGTATGCATAATTTGTTGAGAGTTTTCATCATGAAGGAATGGTAAGTTTTACTGAGTGATTTTTCTGCATCTGCTGAGATGATCAGATAGTTTTTGCCTTTCATCTTGTTGATGTGATGTATCACATGTATTGATTTGTGTATGTTGAGCCATCTTTGCATTCCTGGGATAAATCCCACTTGATCATGGTATATTATCTTTTTCATTCCTCATTAGATTTGGCTTGGTAGTATTATGCTGAGAATTTTACCATCTATGTTCATTAGGAATATTGGCCTGTAGTTTTCTCCTTTTGTTGCGTCCTTGTCTTGATTGGATATCAGGGTAATGCTGGCCTTATACAATGAGTTAGGAAGAATTCCTTCCTCTTCAATTTTTGGGAATAGTTTGAGAAGAATTGGTGTTTGTTTTTCTTTATAAATTGGGTAGAAATCAGCATAAAAGCCTAGTCTAGGGCTTTTCTCTTTTGGGAGACTTTATGTTACTGAGTCAAACCTGCTATTCATTTTGGGTCAGTTCAGGTTTTCTGTTTCTTCCTAGTTCAATCTTGGTAGGCTGTGTATGTCTGGGAATTTATCCCTTTCCTCTAGGTTTTCCAATTTGTTAGCCTATGGTTGTTCATAATAGCCTCTAATGATCCTTTTTATTTCTTTGGTAACAGTTGTAATGTCTCCTTTTTCATTTCTGATTGTATTTATTTGGGTCTTTTTTTTTTTTTTTTTTTTTTTTGGTTAGCCTCACTAGTGGTTTATCAATTTTGTTTAACTTTTCAAAAAACCAACTTTTATCTTGTTGATTCTTTGCATTTCTTTTTTGTCTCTGTTGCATTTGGTTCTGCTATGTTATTTATATTTTTTCTTTCTACTAATTGTGTGTTTGATTTGTTCTTGCATTTTGAGTTCCTTGAGGTGCATCATTAGGTCGTTTATTTGAAATCTTTCTACTTTTTTGGTGTAGGCATTTATTGATATAAACTTTTCTCCTAGTACTGCTTTTGTTGTATCCCATAGGTTTTGCATGATGTGTTTCCATTTTCTGTTTAAAAAAAATTTTTGATGTCCATCTTAATTTCTTCATTGACCCAATGATTATTCAATAGCATGTTTAATGTCCATGTATTTGTACAGTTTCCAAATTTCTTCTTCTTATTGATTTCAAGTTTTATTCCATTGTGGTCTGAGAAGATACTTGATATGATTTTAATTTTTAAAATTTTATTGAGCCTTGTTCTGTGTCCTAACATATGGTCTATCCTGGAGAATGTTCCATGTGTTGATGAGATGATTGTATATTCTGCTGCTGCTGGATGAAATATTCTGAAAATATCTGTTAGGTCCATTTGGTCTAAAGTGCAGCTTAAATCAATGTTTCTTTGTTGATTTTATGTCTAGATGAACTGTCCAATGCTGAGAGTAGGATATTGAAGTTCTCAACTATCATTGTATTGGACTCTATCTCTCCATGTAGATTTAATAATATTTGCTCTATGTCTCTGGATGTGCTTGTGTTGGTTGCATGCATATTTGGAATTGTTATACTTTGTTGCTGAATTGATCCCTTTATTACCATATAATGACCTTCTTTGTCCTTTTTACAGTTTTTGACTTAAAGTCTGTTTTATCTGATGTAAGTTTAGCTACTCCTGATTATTTTTGATTTCTGTTTGTGTGGTATATCTTTTTCCATCCCTTCACTTTCAGTCTGTGTGTGTCTTTACAAGTGAAGTGAGTTTCTTGTAGACGTTGTTGGGTCATTTTTTATCCATTAAGCCTGTCTCTATCTTTTAGGTAGGTAATTTAACCCATATTCGAAGTTATTATTGATAGGTGAGGACTTATTCCTGTCATTTTGTTCATTGTTTTCTGGTTATTTTGTATATCCTTTTGATATGGTTTGGCTGTGTCCCCACTCAGATCTCATCTTGAATTCCCATGTGTTGTGGGAGGGATCCAGTGGGAAGTAGTTGAATCATGGAGGCAGGTATTTCCCATGCTATTCTTTTAATAGTGAATAAGTCTCATGAGATCTGATGGTTTTAAAAGGAGGAGTTTCCCTGCTCAAGCTCTCTCTTTGCCTGCTGCCATCCCTGTAAGATGTGACTTGCCTCTCCTTGACTTCCGCAATGATTTTGAAGCCTCCCCAGCAATGTAGAACTGTAAGTCCATTAAACCTCTTTCTTTTGTAAATTTCCCAGTCTTGAATGTGTCTTTATCAGCTGTGTGAAAATGGACTAATACAGTAAATTAGTACCAGAAGTGGGGTGTTGCTAAAAGATACCTGAATATGTGGAAGTGACTTTGGAACTGGGAAACAGGCAGAGGCTGGAACAGTTTGGAGGGCTCAGAAGGAGACAGGAAAATGTGGGAAAATTTGGAAGAGATTTCCTAGAGACTTGCCCAAAATGCTGATGGTTATATGGACAATAAAGTCTAGGCTTAGGTTGTCTCAGATGGAAATGAGGAACTTGTTAGGAACTGGCACAATGGTGACTCCTGTTATGTTTTAGCAAAGAGACTGGTGGCTTTTTGCCCCTGCTGTAGAGATTTGTGGAATTTTGAACTTGAGAGATTTAGGGTATCTGATAGGGTATTTGAACTTGAGATTTAGGGTATCTGATAGAAGAAATTTCTAAGCAGCAAAGCATTCAAGAGATGACTTGGGTGCTGTTAAAGGCCTTCAGTTTTATAAGGGAAGCAGAGCATGAAAGTTTGGAAAATCTGCAGCCTGACAATGCAATAGAAAAGAAAATCCCATTTTCTCAAGAAAAATTCGATCTGGCTGCAGAAGTTTCTTTAAGTAACTAGAGTCAAATGTGAATCCCCAAGACAATGGGGAAAATGTCTCCAGGGCATGTCACAGGTCTTCATGGCAGCCCCTCCCATCAAAGGTCCAGAGGCCTAGGAAGAAAAGATGGTTTTGTGGCCTGGACCCAGGGACCCATGTTGTGAGCAGCCTAGGGTGCCTGAGTCCTAGCCACTCCAGCTGCAGCTAAAAGGAGCCAAGGTACAACGTGGGCTATGGCTTCAGAGGGTGCAAGCCCCAAGCCTTAGCAGCTTCCACATAGTGTTGAGCCTGTGGGTGCACAGAAGTCAAAAATTGAGGTTTGGGAACTGCTGCCTAGATTTCAGAAGGTGTATGGAAATGCCTAGATATCCAGGCAGGAGTTTGCTGCAGGGGCAGGGCACTCATGGAGAACCTCTACTAGGGCAGTGCAGAAGGGAAATGTGGGGTCGGAGCCCCCACATAGAGTCCCTACTGCAGCGCCACCTAGTGGAGCTGTGAGAAGAGGGCCACCATCCTCCAGACCTCGGAATGGTGGATTCACTGACAGCTTGCACTGTGTGCCTGGAAAAGCTGCAGACACTCAATGCCAACCCGTGAAAGGAGCCAGGAGGGGGTTTAAACCCACAGGAGTGGAGCTGTGGCCTTTTTTCTCCCAAGGCCATGGGAGCCCACCTCTTACATCAGCATGACCTGCATGTGAGACATGGAATCAAAGGAGATCATTTTGGAGCTTTGAGATTTGACTGCCCCACTGGATTTTGGGCTTGCATGGGTCCTGTAGCCCCTTTGTTTTGACAATTTTCTGCCATTTGGAATGACTGTGTTTACCCAATGCCTATACCCCCATTGTATCTAGGAAGTAACTAACTTGTTTTTGATTTTACATGCTCATAGGCAGAAGGGATTTGCCTTGTCTCACATGAGACTTTGGACTGTGGACTTTTGAGTTAATGCTGAACTTAGTTAAGACTTTGGGGGACTGTTGGGAAGGCATGATTGGTTTTGAAATGTGAGGATATGAGATTTGGGAAGGGCCAGGGGCAGAATGATACAGTTTGGTTGTGTCCCCACCCAAGTCTCATCTTGAATTCCCACATGTTGTGGGAGGGACCTGGTGGGAAGTAATTGAGTCATGGGGGCAGGTCTTTCCCATGCTGTTCTCATGATAGTGAATACGTCTCACAAGGTGTGATGGTTTTGAAAAGGGTAGTTTCTCTGCAGAAGCTCTATCTTTGATTGCTGCCATCCATGTGAGACATGACTTGCTTCTTCTTGCCTTCCAACGTGATTCTTAGGCTTCCTCAGCTATGTGGAAGTGTAAGTCCATTAAACCTCTTTCTTTTGTAAATTGCCCAGTCTCAGTCAGGTATGTCTTTATCAGCAGTGTGAAAACAGACTAATACACCTTTGTTCCTTTTTTCTCTCATTATTTATGGTTGCAGTTTGGTGGGTTTCTTTAGTGGTGATGTTTGAATCCTTTCTTCTTTGTGTGTCTGAACTACTAGTGAGTTTTATACTTTCATGTATTTTCATGATGGTAGATATTGTTCTTTTGCTTCCCAATGTAGGACTCCCTTAAACATTTCTTGTAGGACCACAACAAACAAGACACAAACAAACAGTCTTTTGCTTATCTGGGAAATACTTTTTTCTCTTTTATTATTACTATTTTTTTTTTAGCAATGGAGTCTCACTCTGCCACCCAGGCTGGAGTACAGTGGCATGATCATAGCTCACTGCAGCCTTGAACTCCTGGGATCAAATGGTCCTCCTGCCTCAGCCTTTTGAGTCTCTGGAATTGCAGATGTGAGCCACTGTGCCAGGCTTCTTCATTTGTGAAGGATAGCTTTGCTGGATATAGTATTTTTGGCTTACATTTTTTTATTTTTATTTTACTTGTAGTATACATCCCCTTTTCTCCTAGCCTGTAAGGTTTCTGCTGAGAAATCCCCTGTTAGCCTGATGGAGATTCTCTTATAAGTGACTTGATGCCTTTCTCTTGCTGTTTTTAGCATTTTCTCTTTGTCTTTTGACAATTTTACAATAATGTGCCTTGGAGAAGACCTTTTTGAGTTGTATTTATTTGGTAATCTTTGAGCTTCCTGCATTTGGAAGCATTCAGGAAGTTTTCAGTTATTATTTTATTAAATAGGTTTTCTATGCCTTTACCCATCTCATCTCCATCCAGAACTCCCAGAATTTCAGTTTTTGGTGACATATGTGTCCCATATGTCATGTAGCCTTGCTTCATTCTTTTTTCTTTCTTTTTGTCTGACTGGATTATTTTAAAAGACTAGTCTTCAGGTTCAGAAATTCTTTGTTTTGCTTGATCTAGTCTATTGTTAAAGCTGTCAATTATCTTTTGTATTTATTTCAATGATTTATTCTCTTCCAGGATTTGTGTTTGGTTCTTTGTTATGCTGTCTATCTCTGTTGAATTTGTCGTTCAGATACTGAATTGTTTTCCTGTTTGGTTTTTTTTTTTTTTTTTTTTTTTTGTATTCATTATCTGTGTTCTCTTGTATCTCCCTGAGTTTCTTTAATAACATTATTCTGAATTTTTTTCAGGCATTTCATAGATTTTCTTTTCATTGGATCTGTTGCTGGAGAATTATTGTGCTTCTTTGGAGATGTTATGTTTCCTTTTTCATATTTCTTGCATCCTTATGTGACTATCTGTGCCTCTGACATAACAGTCATTTCTTCCAATTTTATGGATTGGCTTTTATATGGGAAAGACCTTTTCTTATAGCTGTATCTACAGTGTTCATTGGATATCACACTTTGGCTTTGATTCTGGGTGGGTACAGTGGTATAGTCTGCATATGATTCCTTCAGCTGTAATTGGCATGAGTGGTGCCTGTGAGTCATTCAGTGGCTTAGACTGCAGTGTTTTTTTTTGTGGTTGTTGAGATGGAGTCTAGCTCTGTCACCAGGCTGGAGTGCAGTGGCACAATCTCAGCTCACCGCAACCTCTGCCTCCCGGGTTCAAGCAATTCTCCTGCCTCAGCCTCCTGAGTAGCTGGGACTATAGGCACGTACAACCATGCGCAGCTAATTTTTGTATTTTTAGTAGAGATGGGGTTTCACTATGTTGGCCAGGCTGCTCTCGAACTCCTGACCTCGTGATCTACCCGCCTCGGCCTCTCAAAGTGCTGGGATTACAGGCGTGAGCCACCACACTTGGCCAGACTGTAGTTGTTATTGGAGGCTGTGGTGAGGCTTTGCTGAGGATGGGGATGCCAGGAAGTCTTGTCCTTCAGCATCAGTGGTAGCGGTGGTGGACCAGGTGTGTCAATACTAGGGACTGTGGGCAGTGTTTGTGGGCACTGATGATAGCCTGTCTGCGTGGGCCAATCCCTGGGCCTCCAGGTGGCTCCTTTGGTTGCTGGCAGTGGCAGCACTGGGCCAAGTGGGCAGGTGCACCACTGGGCTCCTGGGTGGTGTGCGTGGCAGGCTGATCTCTAGTTCTCCAGGTGACATATGCAGGTTCTGGTGGTGGGTAGGCAGGCATTTCCTCAGGCCTCTCAGTAGTAAGTGTGAGCACTAGCTCTGGAGGCAGATGAGTCAATCTCCAGGCCCCCAGATGGTACATTCAGGCACCAGCATATTCCTATGCATTTCTAGATAAAAGTATTTTTCAGAAAACCTGAGTGTATGTCCTATTAATACAACTAACCCTCATCAGCTCTGCATGAGAAGAAGGGGGAATTCCCTCAGTAGAACAGTCAGAATGGAATCACAGACTTGTTTTTAGCCAGTCACTGGTAAGGGGGGTTAGGCTAAAATGATAAGCTCAGAATCTAAACCTTAGACTAGGGAATGGCAAACTTTTTCCATAAAGATGCAAACGGTAATATTTTAGGCTTTTGGTCTAGATAACCTCTGTCGTAGTGACACAGTGGTGCCATCGTAGCCTAAAAGCTTATGTAGACAATGGATAAATCAATGGACCTGGTTTTATTCCAGTAAAACTTAATTTATACAGTCAGAGGGCCAGATTTGGCCCTTGGTCTATAGTTGGCCAACCCTGTTTAGAGCAGTCAAAATTTATTCCCTGGGGCTGGGCCAACTTTTTCTTAAAAAAAAAAAAAAAAAAGAAAGCAACCCACTGTCAGAATAAAATAAGGTTTCTATTTAAAAAGAATAAGAGGCTGGGTGTGGTGGCTCATGCCTATAATCCTAGCACTTTGGAAGGGTGAGGCAGGAGGACTGCTTGAGGCCAGGAGTTTGAAACCAACTTGGGCAATATAGTGAGACCCTCTCTCTGCAAAGAATAAAAAAATTAGCCAGGCATGGTGGCACATGTCTGTAGTCTTAGCTACATAGGAGGCTGAAGGGTAAGATCACTTGAGCCCAGGATTTTGAGGTTACAGTGAGCTCTGACTGTACCATTTGTACTCTAGCCTAGGCAAAGAGGGAGAACCCAAAAACAAACAAACAAACAAAAGGTTGGTTGGGGCGGGTTGGAGAAGAAAGTATTTCTGAATTTCTGGATAGGTTACTGGTAGTGTCAGGCCAAACAAGCTCTACAGTCATATTCATTATAAATAAAGGCAACTAGAAGATCTCCATCTAGCTATTAAAAATTGGTTAAAATCTACAGAGATAAAGGATGGTGACCCTTGTATCAGTTAGTTGTTGTCACAAAATGCTGCATAACAAGTCACTCCAAATCTCAGTGGCTTAATACAACAATCGTTTATTTTCATGGATCTATGGGTCAGCTGAGGATTGGTCAATCTAGCATGAGCATGTCTGGGAAGCTCGACTTTGCTCTTGGTGTCTCTTATCTTCTGCTGGAAGCAGCAGTCTGGCCTGGGCTTGTTCTCATGGTGATAGCAGGAGTGAGCGAGCACAATTGAATGCACACTTTCCAAGTTTTTGGTCATACAGATTAATATTCCAGTGGCCAAAGCTAGACACAATTCAAAACTCAACATTAGGGACTGGAGAAATATACTCCGATTCTTCAGTGGGAGGAACTGCAGAGACAAATGACAGAGTCTTGGATACAGGGAGGACATGCATCCATTAATGTACCTTAATCAATCGCAACCCTCTAACCACCAATACAATTAAGTAAGTATTGGTTGAATGCACTTGTGCCTGAATGCTTCTGGCTGCAGCCCAGGCAATGGGGGCCTGACTGGGGAGGGACCATAGCAGGGACTCGATGTCCTGCAGGTCTGCATGTAATTGTGCACGGCCGACTCCACATTGGTCATGGATGACTTGCTTTATCCTGCGTCCCCAAGGGGCAACGATTGGCTGATTATATTTCTGAACAATTTTGACAAAGTTGTTTTCAGGAGCCCAGGAAGCAAATCAGTTGTAGATTTGAATTTTGCAGGGGGTCAGAATTGTTGAATATATATATAGACTTTTACATGCTGATAATTATTTCCACATCACAAAGATGGCCGGCTATTAGGAGGCTGCTGTTCAATTCCTTTGCCCTGTGAACTCATGAGCTGTGTCTATGTGGGGGGCACTCAGTTGTTAGAGCTGTTTTCCTTCATAATAACATCAGCCAACGTTCTAAATAAATTCAGGAAATTAAATAGTCTTCCCCAGACAGGTACTTTGCCCTTCTAAAGTGAATTACACATTCTAAAATAAAACACAGTCACATTAAAAAACCAAAAGGTCTTTGTGTCAGGTTGGTCTGGCTTCAGCAAAGATAATATTAGCCTCCAGAGTAGAAGATCCGTGGAATCCACAGTATTGCATTTGGCAGCCCCACGTCTTGTTTTCTTTTCTTTTTTTTTTGTTTTTAACTAAAGGAGTTGGCAATTTTATTTTCACATTTCCCTATACAAATGAAAACTGCATCTTTTTTGGCCCCACTTCTCCCCTCCAAAACTATTCTCTTTGATAGGGCAAGGGGGCAAGTCTTCCTTATGCTGTTAAGAAAACCCGATATCACAGCAGCATGATCTCCTGGTGAAGGGAGCAGGTAAATATAAAATTCATATAGGCCAGGCGCAGTGGCTCACACCTGTAATCCCAGCACTTTCGGAGGCTGAGGCGAGCGGGTCACGAGGTCAGGAGATTGAGACCGTCCTGGCCAACATGGTGAAACCCCGTTTCTACTAAAATAAAAAAAAATTAGCCGGGCATGGTGCACACGCCTGTAGTCCCACACTACTCAGGAGGCTGAGGCAGGGGAATCGCTTGAACCCGGGAGGTGGAGGTTTCAGTGAGCTGAGATCATGCCACTGCCCTCCAGCCTGGGCGACAGAGGAAGACGCTGTCTCAAAAACAAAACAAAACATTACAAACAAAAAAAACACAACAGTAACAACAACAAAACAACACTGATGCAATGAGGCCTCCCCTCTATCCTTATCTGTCTGGTTGAGTCATTCTGGGCTGACTGGGCACCATCATGAGACGGGCAGGAGGTCTCATCATTGGGCACCCAGGCATCATGGGCATGTGGCCTCCCATGGGCGGCCTCATTCCAGGAGCAGGTCCCACTGGCATCATCCCAGGAGGAGGAGAGCCCATCATTGGCATCATGGGCGGGCCCCCCATATGGGCTGCTGCCATCATTCTGAAATGTGCGAGAAGTGTCAAATACACATTAGATTGTGAAGACTTAATATAAAAAGAAAGCAAAGTATTTTGTTATTGTTAAAATATTTTATACATGTTGACCTGGTATTTTGGATAGATTTGTTTAAATCTGTGATATTATTCCAATTACGTTCACTTCTTTTGTTTTACTTTTTAAAATGTGGTTACTACAAAATGCAAAAGTAAATATGTGGCTTGCATCATATTTCATCACATTTAGTGTGGACCCTGAGGATCTAGGGGAGTTATGAGCCTTAAGTTGAGGGTGACCCAGGTCAATGTGAATTGCTCTGAAAGAGAAGCAAAGGGCTTAAAGAGAATGTATAAATGGAGAGAGGGAGCTCAGTCTCACAGGGTGAGGAAAGGCTTTCTTTCTTACACAGTCTGGCACTTCTTCCAAAGATTAAACACAGAGTTCTATGACCCACCACTTCCACTCCAGTTTATGAAAGAAATGAAAATATATGTCCGTCCAGAAACTTGTACACAAATGCTCATAGCAGCATTATTCATAATAGCGCCAAAGTGAAAACAACACAAATGCTTGTCTACTGATGAGTGGAGAAATAGAACATGGTTTGACTATGCAATGGAATATTATTCAGTCATCAAAAGGAATGAAGTACTAACACGTGCTACAACACGGATGAACTATGAGAATATTAAGCTAAGTGGAAGAAACCAGTCACAAAAGGTCACATATTCTAAGATGTCATTTATATGAAATGTCCAGAACACGCAAATCTATGAAGACAGAAACCCTGTCTCTACTAAAAATACAAAATTAGATGGGCGTGGTGACACATCCCTGTAATCCCAGCTACTCGGGAGGCAGGAGAATTGCTTGAACCCGGGAGGCGGAGGTTGCAGTGAGCCGAGATTGTGCCACTGCACTCCAGCCTGTGACAGAGACTCTATCTCAAAAAAAGTAGATTGTCAGGGCTTAGTGGGAGGAGGAAATGGCAGGAAACTGCTCATGGATACAGCGTTTCTTTTTGGGGTGATGAAAATGTTTTAAAATTGATCATGATGGTGGTTGCCGAGCTCTGTGAATGCACTGAAACCATTGATTTGTTCACTTTAAATGGGCAAATCATACGGTACCTGAATTATATTTTAATAGTTATATTAAAAAAGTAAAATCTTCCTTGAAGAGATGACCTAAGGAGAGGCCTAGGGGGTGGGATGAGTTCACTATGTAGAGAAATGAGGAACAGCATTTCAGGGTGAGAAACAGCGTAGTGAAGTCCCTGAGGTTGATAGGCATAGAGCAGATTTAAGGGACTTTTTTTTGGAGACGGACTTTCACTCTTGACGCCCAGGCTTGGGTGGAGTGGTGCGACCTTGGCTCACGGCAACCTCTGCCTCCCGAGTTCAAGCGATTTTCCTGCCTCAGTCTCCCGAGTAGCTGGGATTACAGGTGCCATCCACCACACCTGGCTAATTTTGGGATATTTAGTAGAGATGGGGTTCCACCATGTTGACCAGGCTGATCTCGAACTCGTGATCTCAGGTGATCCAGCCGCCTCAGCTTCCCAAAGTGCTGAGATTACAGGCGTGAGCCACTGCGCTCAGCCAGATTTAAGGGACTTTCAAGAAGTTTGTGTGGCTGAAGGCTTCAGGGCAAGCGAGAGAATCAGGAAATGAGGCTGGAGAAAGAGAGGGGCTAGGTCATGGAGGGTCTCACATTAGTGTGTGGAAACTTCACACGAGTGGTCCCACCTTGGGCATTCCACCTAACTACTCTGTGTCCCAGCTTCCCCACTGGTGAAATAAAGGGCTGATGTAGGGATGGAATGAGATAGTGTGTGCTCAGTAAAGGTGACCTTTTATAATTTTTTTTTTTTTTTTTTTTTGAGATGGAGTCTCACTCTGTCGCCCAGGCCGGAGTGCAGTGGCGCGATCTCGGCTCACTGCAAGCTCCACCTCCCGCGTTCACGCCATTCTCCTGCCTCAGTCTCCCAAGTAGCTGCGACTACAGGCGCCCGCCACCACGCCCGGCTAATTTTTTTGTATTTTTAGTAGAGACGGGGTTTCAACGTGTTAGGGAGAATGGTCTGGATCTCCTAACGTCATGATCCGACCGCCTCGGCCTCCCAAAGTGCTGGGATTACAGGCGTGAGCCACCGCGCCCGGCCGAGCTTTTATCATTGTTAACCGACACAGCAGAGGGAGCCATTGAAAGCGAGTGATCGGTTTGGATGCACCTTCTGAAGTGATCGCTTTGGTCCCTGTGAAGAGTGCAGATTGTCACAGGGCCAGGGGAAGACAGAGGCCAGTGAGGAGGCATTTGCAGTCAAACAGCTGGAGGTGATGGTGGCTTGGTTTATAGTGGTGTCAGGAGAGTGGCTGAGCAGTGAACGGATCTGAAAAGATTTAGGAGGTAAAACCCACGTGACTTGGTCACTGAATGTGGGTTGGGTGGGCTGGAGGGAAGGTAAGAAAGAATGAGAAGAAAAACATACCCAAGTGGGCCCTCCAGCCTAAGGTTACTTGAGGTCCCTTTGTGAAGAGGAATGTTTGTGTTTATGATGAAGATGTCTAGACTTTCAAAGGCCATTTGCAGTATTTTTTTTAACAGCCAACAACTCCTCCTTCCCTATGCCCTAGACATATGAATTTTTTTTTTGCCCTAATTTATCACAGAGGAATGAATGTTTATTTGCTTTAATGAGAAATGCAGAATGCCAATAAGAAAGCATATTAAATTAATCTGGATTGCTGTGAGGGAGTTAAATCTGTTTAGATGTGCACCAGTGTTACTATAATAGTTTGGCCTAAACCCATTTCTGGCCTGCGGCTGCAGGAGGTTGACTCCCAGCTTGCTTCCATTTGAAAGATCCCAGCAAAAAGCACACTTGGCATTTCCAGCCAAACCCACTTTGTGCAGCGAAGGAAAAGTTGAGGAGTGCCTCTGTTGTTTTCCCCCAAATCATTTGGCAGAAATGTGGCTGGGAGCTTCATTGCTGATTTTTTCAGTTTTAATATTGCTGTGGAAAGCCTGTACCAACACTCAGCCATGTTTTTCATCCACAGCTCCAGTCTGGGCTGTGATTTGTTTTTCCTTTGAGTGACACAACCTTATTTTCCATTACGACTCAATGCAAATAGACACTCATGCACCACCACCATCACTCCCCCTGCTTGGCGGAGGGAAGTCAATGGAGTGATTCTAGTTTGGTGTTCATATCGGTGGTATTTATTTATTTATTTATTTAATCTCTCTCTGTAAGTCAATGGAGTGATTCTAGTTTGGTGTTCATATCGGTGGTATTTATTTATTTATTTATTTATTTATTTATTTAATCTCTCTCTGTCTCCAGGCTGGAGTGCAGTGATGCGATCTCGGCTCACTGCAACCTCTGACTCCCTGGTTCAAGCGATTCTCCTGCCTCAGCCTCCCGAGTAGCTGGGCTTACAGGCATGTGCCACCATGCCCGGCTAATTTTTTGTATTTTTAGTAGACACGGGGTTTCACCATGTTGGCCAGCATGGTCTTGATCTCCTGACCTCGTGATCCGTCAGCCTCGGCTTCCGAAAGTGCTAGGATTACAGGCGTGAGCCACTGCGCCTGGCCTGGAGTTGTTTTTAAAAGCACATTTCTCTCAAATTAACTCCGGGGTGTCCCACTGTGACTTGGGAAAAGGTTGGATTTTCTGGAGGGGGAAAGTCAAACTTCAAATAGAATTTGGAGGCTGCCACTGTGGCTCATGCCTGTAATCCCAGTACTTTGGGAGGCTGAGGTGGGTGGATCATTTAAGGCCAGAAGTTCGAGACCAACCTGGGCAACAGGACGAGACCTCGTTTCTACTAAAAATATAAAAATTAGCCAGGCGTGGTGGTACATGCCTGTAATCCCAGCTACTTAAGAGGCTGAGGCAGGTGTTATCGGTTGAACCTGGGAGGCAGAGGTGTCCTGTGTCCAAACCCCATGAGGCGTATCAGCTGGCTGAAGATAAAATCGGTCACGCTGTGTTGGGATTGGGGTTGCTGTTATCATCCCTCATCCCCACCCCTGCTAGGCATCCACAAACAGTCATCTTCAATGAGACGTCCCTCCTGCCCCTGGCTGCCTTATTTCATCTGCACCCAATCGTATCCATTGCTTGTCAGTGGGTCTCAACCTTGGCTGCACCTTGGAATCTCCTGGGGAGATGAGACGATACCAAGGCTCTCTCTCACTTAGCGTGATGTTGCCAAGGTCCATCCACATGTAGTAGGCACCAATATTTCCATTGTATGGATACAGCACATTTTGTTTGTTCATTCATCAACCAAATGGCCATCTTGGTTGTTGCTACCTTTTGGTTATTATATATATTACATGATTCCATTTATGTGAAAGGCCCAGAATAGGCAAATCTATAGAGGCAGAAAGCAGGTAAGTGGTTGCCAGGAGCTGGGGGAAAGGGGAGGGGATGGAGAGTGCTTGATGGATACAGGGTTATTTTTTGGGGGGGCGGGGGGTGTTAATGAAAATGTTTTGGAACTAGACAGAGATGATGATTGCTTAACATTGTGAATGTATTTAATGATACTGAAGTGTATGGTTTCATACAGGGACTTGTATGTTATGTGAATTTTGCCTCATTAAAAAAATACTGCTAGGAGCAATGGCTCATGCCTGTAATCCCAGCACTGTGTGAGGCCAAGGTGGGCAGATCACCTGAGGCTGGGAGTTCGAGACCTGCCTGGGCAGCATGGTGAAACCCTATCTCTATTAAAAATACAAAAAGTTAGCCAGGCGTGGCGGTGCACACCTGTAACCCCAGCTACTTGGGAGGCTGAGGTAGGAAAATGGGTTGAACCCGGGAGACAGAGGTAGCAGTGAGCTGAGATCGCACCACTGCACTTCAGCCTGGGTGACAGAACAAGATTCCATCTCAAAACAAAACAAAACAAAACAAAAACACACACACACACACACAAAAACCAAAAATACTGATGCCCATGTTTCATCCCCAAGGGATTCTGTAATAATTGATCTGGGCTGCAGAGCCCGGGCACTGGGGTTTTAAAATCTCCCCAGGTGATTCTGATGTGCAGCTGTGTTTGAGAATCTCCTTCTGGAATGAACTTGTTCATGTTTTACTTCTGTTGTTTTCTAGCCTGCCAATGTCTTTCTGTTTCCCTTCACATCTTTGGGGGGTAATTTTTACAATGCAGTCTTAACAACCAGCTGCCTCAAAATGCACTGGGATCCCTCGTAACCAGGTAGCTCCCCATCTCCAATTCTGACCTGCCAAGTCAGAATCTTGTGCGTGGGGCCCAGGACTGTACATATTGAAACAGGCAGTGACCTGGGAACTATTTCTGAACACCCCTAGGTTTCCCCTGTGTTCGCCCTTTCCTTTCACATTTGGACCCCTTTGTGTGCTGACCACTGGGCTGTTTCACATGGATGTAACATAAAAAAGACAGGCCAGGTGCATTGGCTTATGCCTGTAATCCCAGCACTTTGGGAAGCCGAGGTAGGCGAATCACTTGAGGCCAGGAATTCAAGATCTGCCTGGCGAACATGAGTAAACCCCGTCTCTACCAAAAATATGAAATTAGCTAGGTGTGGTGATGCACACCTTTGATCTCAGCTACTCAGGAGGCTGAGGCTGGAGAATCCCTTGAGCCCAGGAGGCAGAGACTGCAGTGAGCCGAGATCACACCACTACACTCCAGCCTGGGTGACAGTGAGACTCTTAAAAAAAAAAAAAAAGACAGAGATGATCCTTCCTTTATGGAGCTCTCAGTAAAACAAGAAAGCTCACGATGTCCTGGCATTTGTCAGAAATACATTTGGTATATGTAGCTGGGGTCACATGCTTGACATGCCTATTGAAAGCTTCTGGGTAGGAAGAGAACAATCATCACAGCATCACAGCCTGGCATAACTGTCTCCCAGGACAGGTCTCCCTGGGGAGACTGAGACCACAACTCTGAAATCAGAGCTTAAATCCAGGTTCTACATTTCGCTCAGTAATGTACATGATGTAGGACAGTTTTTATATTAGTTATCTATTGCTGTGCAACAATATTACTGCAAACTTTGTGGCTTGAGACAGCACACAGTTATCACTACGTGGTTTCTGTGGGTCAGGAATCCAGCGTGACTCAGCTGGGTTCAGTGCAAGGCTGCAACCATAATGTCAGCCAGGGCTCAGTTCTCATCTGGAGGCTTGACTGGTGATCTGCTTCCCTTCTCATCTGGTTGTTGGCAGCATTCAGTTCCTTGCAGGCTGCTGGTCTCAGGGCCCCAGGTTCCTGCTGTCCTCAGCTTCCTGCCACATGGGCCTCTCCATCTGGCCACTCATGACATGGCAGCTCACATCTTCAAAGCCAGCAAGATAGCCTCCTAGCAAGACAACTTAACATCCTATCTAACATAATCACTACATCCCATCACCTCTGCCATATTCTCTTGGTTATAAGAAAGTCATAGGTCCCTTTGTCAGACGAGTAGATAGCAAAAATTTTCTCCCATTCTGTAGGTTACCTGTTCACTCTGATGGTAGTTTCTTTTGCTGTGCAGAAGCTCTTGAGTTTAATTAGATCCCATTTGTCAATTTTGGCTTTTGTTGCCATTGCTTTTGGTGTTTTAGACATGAAGTCCTTGCCCATGCCTATGTCCTGAATGGTATTGCCTAGGTTTTCTTCTAGGGTTTTTATGGTTTTAGGTCTAACATTTAAGTCTTTAATCCATCTTGAATTGATTTTTGTATAAGGTGTAAGGAAGGGATCCAGTTTCAGCTTTCTACATATGGCTAGCCAGTTTTCCCAGCACCATTTATTAAATAGGGAACCCTTTCCCCACTGCTTGTTTTTGTCAGGTTTGTCAAAGATCAGATAGTTGTAGATAATGTAGCATTATTTCTGAGGGCTCTGTTCTGTTCCATTGGTCTATATCTCTGTTTTGGTACCAGTACTATGCTGTTTTGGTTACTGTAGCCTTGTAGTATAGTTTGAAGTCAGGTAGCGTGATGCCTCCAGCTTTGTTCTTTTGGCTTAGGATTGACTTGGCAATGTGGGCTCTTTTTTGGTTCCATATGAACTTTAAAGTAGTTTTTTTCCAATTCCGTGAAGAAAGTGATTGGTAGCTTGATGGGGATGGCATTGAATCTATAAATTACCTTGGGCAGTATGGCCATTTTCACAATATTGATTCTTCCTACCCATGAGCATGGAATGTTCTTCCATTTGTTTGTATCCTCTTTTATTTCGTTGAGCAGTGGTTTGTAGTTTTCCTTGAAGAAGTCCTTTACATCCCTTGTAAGTTGGATTCCTAGGTATTTTATTCTCTTTGAAGCAATTGTGAATGGGAGTTCACTCATGATTTGGCTCTCTGTTTGTTATTGGTGTATACGAATGCTTGTGATGTTTGCGCATTGATTTTTATCCTGAGACTTTGCTGAATTTTGCTATTTTTAGTAGAGATGGGGTTTGCTGAATGCAGCCCCAGTCACGTACTCCCTTCTTGGTCAATCGATCACGACTCTCTCATGATCACGACCCTCTCATGTGGACCCCCTTAGAGTTGTGAGCCCTTAAAAGGGACAGGAATTGCTCACTTGGGGAGCTGGGTTGTTAGAGACGTGTGCCACCACTCCCAGCTAATTTTTGTATTTTTAGTAAAGACGGGGTTTCCCCATGTTGGTTGGCCAGGATAGTCTCGATCTCTTGACCTCGTGATCTGCCCACCTTGGCCTCCCAAAGTGTTGGGATTACAGGTGTGAGCCACTCCACCCAGCCCAGAGAAGGCTTTTCATACTTGCTTGGCAGCCTCCTGCATCCTACGCCATCACCTGGCGCTCACAACCTGTGGGCTGCTCTCATCCGTGATCATCTCTCCCCAGGCCTGCTGTTCCTTGAGAAAGGAAGTTGTAATGGGCAGAATTCTAGGACAGCCCCCAAGAGAACCCCTCCCTTATATCTGCTCCCTGTATCATCTCTTCTTGAGTGTGTGCAGAGCTTGTGATTTGGCCAAGGGGAAGGAATTTTGCAAATGTGATTATGGTCACACTTGCTTTGTTAAGCACATTTGCTCAGCTGACTTTGAGTTCATCCAAAGCAGGATGATCTTAGGTGGGCCAGACCTAATCAGGTGAGTCTTTTAAAGGTGAAGTTTCAGAGATTCAACCCTTAGCCTCCAAGGAGACACAAATGGCCATGCTGTGAACTGTCTTTGGAGGTGGCAGCTCTAGGAGCTGAGGGCCTTCGTTCAACAATTGCAAGAAATTGAATTCAGTCCACAAACTGAATAAGCTTGGAAGAGGACACTGAGCATCTGATGAGACCCCAGCTGACACTCTGGTTGCAGTATTGTGACCCTAAATAGAAGACCCAGTTAAACCCTGCCCAGACCCTTGGCTCATGGAAACAGATAATAACTGGATGGTGTTTTAAGCTGCTCAGTTTGCACTGGTAAATCCACCAACAGGAAAGTAATATAGAAGTTAAATGGGCCAGGCATGGTGGCTCATGCCTGTAATCCCAACACTTTGGGAGGCTAAGGTGGGTGGATCACAATATCAGGAGATCGAGACCATCCTGGCCAACATGGTAAAACCCCGTCTCTACTAAAAATACAAAAATTAGCCAGGCGTGGTGGCACGCACCTGTAGTCCCAGCTACTCAGGAGGCTGAGGCAGGGGAATCACTTGAACCCAGGAGGTGGAGGTTGCAGTGACCCGGGACCATGCCACTGCACTCCAACCTGGGCAACAGAGAGAGACTCCATCTCAAAAAAAAAAAAAAAAAGAAGTTAAATGAATACTTTTGACCATTGATGGAAGTTGCTTTCATTCCCTCTTACTTAATCATCTTTATCTTAGCCCTGAAAGAGGGATGCTTTAACCCCATTTGTAACAAGTGAGTCTGAGGCTCAGGAAAGTGATAGAATTTAGCAAAGTCCACCTTGCTACCTGGTGGCCCCAGCTAGAACTCAGCCCCAGGTCCATATACCTAAAGTCATTACAGCGTCCACTAAAATTTTGCCCCTCTCTCGATGCCTTCCTCTTTAGAAGCCTGTTCCTTCAGGGATAGATCCCAACTCAGTGTTACAAGGTACTGAACTCTGATTTTCACAAAATATAGTAACTGCCCCCCAAAATTAATAATAGTATTTTTGAGCTGGGCACGGTGGTTCATGCCTGTAATCCCAGCACTTTGGGAGGCTGAGGTGGGTGGATCATGAGGTCAAGAGATCGAGAGCATCCTGGACAACATGGTGAAACCCCGTCTCTACTAAAAATACAAAAATTAACTGGGAGTGGTAGCAGGCACCTGTAATCCCAGCTACTCAGGAGGCTGAGGCAGGAGAATCGATTGAATCCAGGAGGCAGAGGTTGCAGTGAGCCGAGATTGCACCACTGCACTCCAGCCTGGCAACAGAGCAAGACTCCGTCTCAAAAAAAAAAAAAAAAATATGTTTGAGTCCTTATGTGTCAACCACTGGGCTATCCCAACACCAATAGCTATTATGATTATGATTATTTTTTCCATTTTATTGATGAGGAAACCAACACATAGAAAGGTAAAGGAACTTGCCAAAGGTGACGGTCACACAGCCAAAGAGCTGTAGAAGCAGCACAGGAATACCAGCAAACTCACAGCCAAGCTCTGCTTTTCACCTTCACATCATACAGTCCTCAGACTAAAACCCTAACTCTGACCTTCCAAATCAAAAATCATACTCAAGGCCGGGTGCGGCGGCTCATGCCTATCATCTCAGCACTTTGGGAGGCCGAGGCAGGTGGATCACCTGAGGTCAGGAGTTCCAGACCAACCAGGCCAACATGGTGAAACCCCATCTCTACTAAAAATACAAAACTTAGCCAGGCGTGGTGGTGGGTGTCTGTAATCCCAGCATTTTGGGAGGCTGATGCATGAAAATCACTTGAACCCAGGAGGCAGAAGTTGCAGCGATCCATGATCATGCCACTGCACTCCAGCCTGGGCAAGAGAGTAAGACTCTGTCTCAAAAAAAAAAAAATTGCCTAATAATAGCTTGGAAGTGCACATGTCTTCTGTGAAGGTTGATGGACTACAATTAGCTTCAAAACACAAATAAGTAACTGTGTTTAAATGAGGCCTTCTGTGTAATATCTAGGGAAAATCAATGTGGCTATTCAAATTTGTTTCCCCTTCCAAGCACAGAGAAGTTGCTCATGACTCTGTGATCCGTTTTGTCCAATGAACCATGAGCAGCAGCAGCAACTTGAGTCACCTCCAGGTGGAAGTGTTAAGAGGCTCTATGATCCACCACATTCCGTTTCCCCTGAAGGGTGATCAAGGACACATGCAGAGATGGGGCTTTTGTCAGCCTGGATCCCTGAGTGAACACAATGAACAGACCACCACACAATGCCCTAACACAGCCCAGACATGCAACGTGACCAAGAATAAGCCTCACTGTGGCCAGGCATGGTGGCTCATGCCTGTCATCCCAGAACTTTGGGAGGCCAAGGCGGGTGGATCATTTGAGGTCAGGAGTTCAAGACCAGCCTGGCTAACATGGTGAAATCCTGTCTCTACTAAGTACAAAAATTAGCCAGACAGTGGTGGCATGGGCCTGTAATCCCAGCTACTCAGGAGGCAGGAGAATCACTTGAGTCTGGGAGGCAGAGGTTGCAGTGAGCTGAGATTGCACCACTGCACTCTAGTCTGGGTGACAGAGTGAGACCCTGTCTCAAAAACAAACAAATACCTCACTGCATGGAGCCACTGAGATTTGGGGATTGTCGTTACTGCACCAGAACCCAAATCATCCTGACCGCTAGGGTGTCCTAACTAGGGTTTCTTCCCAAAAGCAAAGGCATTTTTAAAGTTCGTGACATTTAAACAAAAGAGCAAATACCAATATCTACCACTTCGTCAGGCTAACAAACCCAAACAAAGCCAACAGCCAGAAGTTAAAATAAACAGATCATTAGGTTGAAAATAGAACTGTCAAAACAGGCACAATTGACTTCATTTAGTGATTGCAAAGAACATCAGGCAAGACACACGTGTGGTCATCATAACATTTATCACATGCTTAATTGCACATGTTTGACTAAGAAAAACACAAAGTATTTAAGCTCATCTGTAGTTCAAAGTGCCTATCCGTGTATTTATCTATTCATCCTGATGTATTTATTGAGCAACTCTTTTGTGCCAGGCACTGTGCTGTGTTGCGGGAAGTCAGGGACCCCAAACGGAGGGACCAGCTGAAGCCATGACAGAAGAACGTGGATTATGAAGATTTTATGGACATTTATTAGTTCCCCAAATTAATACTTTTGTAATTTCTTATGCCTGCCTTCACTGCAATCTCTAAACATAAATTGTAAAGATTTCATGGACTAAACTTATCACTTCCCTAATCAATACCCTTGTGATTTCCTATGCCTGTCATTACTTTAATCTCTTAATCCTGTCAGCCGAGAAGGATGTATATCGTCTCAGGACCTGTAATAATTGCGTTAAGTACACAAATTATACAGCATGTGTGTTTGAGCAATATGAAATGTGGGCACCCTGAAAAAAGAACAGGATAACAGCAATTGTTCAGGGAATAAGAGAGATAACCTTAAACTCTGACCGCCGGTGAGCCAGGCAGAACAGAACCATATTTCTCTTCTTTCAAAAGCAAATGGGAGAAATATCGCTGAATTCCTTTTCTCAGCATGGAACGTCCCTGAGAAAGAGAATGCGCACCTAGGGGTAGGTCTCTAAACTGGCCCCCCGGGGCGTACCTGTCTCTTATGGTCGAGACTGCAGAGGTGAAATAAACTCCAGTCTCCCATAGCACTCCCAGGCTTATTAGGAAGAGAAAATTCCCACCTAATAAACTTTGGTCAGACCGGTTGATCTCAAAACCCTGTCTCCTGATAAGATGTTATCAATGACAATGGTGCCAAAACTTCATTAGCAATTTTAATTTCACCTTTTGCATCTCCTTGAAATGTCTGCCTTTGCACACTCTCCCTGAAAGAGGAGGGCAAGGGAGCCAGGATAGAAAGTGAGGTGGAGAAGTGTAGAGCTCTGGACGGACAAGCAGGAGATACGCAGCACAAGGAAGCACACTAGGTAACACACCAAGCAGGGGAACCTGTCTTTCACTACATAGGCAAGATGCTACGGGAAATGGGCTCTGGGTTTACACAGATTATGACTCAGTTCTCTACTGTTGTGAAGCTGTGTTTGGATAAATCCCTCAACTTTTCTGAGTCTTATTTTTTCATTTGTAAAATGTAGATAGAAGACCTACTTTCCCACATTGCTCTCAGGTTTAAAGTACGTCAATTAGGATACAGCAAAGTCTGTTTGATACTGAAAACTTTCCAGCAACAATGAACCTTAGAACAAGTCATCTCTCATCTTTGCTCTTGCCTGTAACTACTAAGCGACTACTCCATCTTCTGTTCTTAGGGATTTTAAATTGTTGACGTTTTTGATTTAGTCAGGAATGCGTTGTATGGGGATATCAAACCTGCATGCTCTCCAAGCATTGACTGTAGTCTGATCTTAGTAGGTCGTGCACATATAATTTTACTATTTCTCAATTTATTTCGGTGCTGATGTAATTAGTAAAATACGATTTAAGAGTGTTATGATACTTTTTAAAAATCGTGATGTCTTTTCTTCATCAAAGAGATACTTAAAAGCACATAATCATCTTGTGGAGGCAAGTTGACAAAATCCTTTTTGAGATTCTAAAAGGAATCTTTGTACTTAAAATGTTTAAGGACCACTGATGTATTTTGGCTTCATGTATCAATTAGATTTAGATTTTATTGTTTTAGAGATGGGGGTCTCCCTTTGTCGCCCAGGCTGGAGTTGAGCTCACCTCAGCCTCAAACGCCTGGGCTCAAACTATCCTTCTGCCTCAGCCTCCTGAGTTGCTGGGACTACCATGGTGTGCCACCAATTTTTATAGAGATGTGATCTCGCTGTGTTTCCCAGGCTGGTCTTGAACTCCTGGTTTCAAGTGATCCTCTTGCCTTGGCTTCCCAAAGTGTTGGGATTACAGGCGTGAGCCACCGCTCCTGGCCCCGATTTATTAATAGATCTTATAAGGACATTTTAGGCCTCACGCATCAGTTTCTTAGGACAAGCTTTTCTCTGCACTGCATAATAAATCAGACGGCAGTGCAACAAAAAAACGGTGATGATTTCCCGAAGAACAAACCAAGTTCAGAAGCCTCCCTAATTGTCAGAACAGCAGGTAGCCTGGGCGGAGCTCTGAGGCTATCCTTAAACAGGCGCACTGAGACGCAAGGCGCTGGAAACAAAAGAGCTCCTCCTTGCGCCCTTCCGCCGCCCCACTTAGTCCTGCTCCGCCCCGGACACCCCGCGGCCCCGCCCCTGTGCGCGCTGGTTGGTCCTCGCAGGCATGATGAAACTTCCCGCACGCGTTACAGGAGCCAGGTCGGTATAAGCGCCAGCGGCCTCGCCGCCCGTCAAGCTGTCCACATCCCTGGCCTCAGCCCGCCACATCACCCTGACCTGCTTACGCCCAGGTGAGCCGGGTCCTGCGCCCCGTGCCCTGCGCCCCGCGCCAGCATCCTCCTCGCGTGCCCTGGGGCTGCTCCGGAAGGAAGGGGTGGAGGATGCGGTCTTCAGCCTGGCACCCGGCAGACGCGGTTCGCGGGCGCCTGCTGATGCTGCGGCTCCTGCGGTAGGGAGGGCGGGGCGGACGCCTAGCGATTGTTACGCACCTGACAGCTAGCGGAAGGACCTTTCTGTCCTGGTTCCCTGAAGCATCGAGAGGGAACCGCGGCCGGCAGGCCGGACCGCTCCGGAGAGGAGGCAGCGGCAGTTTGAGCCCCTGTAAATGTTATATGTGTACTTTTTTTTACTATGTGGCGTCGAAGCCTGTGGACATTTTCGCGGTCCGGGTCCCTGCGGCGGACGGGTCGGATCGTGCTCGTGGCCAGGGCGCAGTCAGGTGTCGCGTGGTCCTGATCTAGGAAGAGACTGCGGCCTTATCACCGTCTCGGTGTCTGCTTTCACCTTCAACTGCCCCCCTCCTCACCTGGACCGCTCACCCTCCTCCTCCCCTCTCACCCCGCCATCCCCACCAGTCCCCACCTGTCTCTGTAGACTGCAAGACTCATCAAGTGACTTGCTGAGCAAACCCTGCCGAGAAGAGGTCTGTTTAGGGACACAGGCGACCAAGTACAGAAAAAGGCAAAAGAACTAGCATGCCTTTTTCAATGGCTGTCATTTTGCAGGGCTGGCTTCAGATGATTGTTATAGCTTTAAATAAAAAGGACAGTTTTCATCTCGGCCCGTGGCCTACATTATTTCTTTACTGTCCATTGCCCTGGGCGCTTGACTAATAATTTAACAGCAGTTTTTTTTTTTAAATTTTAAATCATGATTCATAGCATTGCTGTAAGAGTAATTAGAGGTAAAGTAGGGCTTGAACCTGTCTGTAGTTGGTTACTTACTGAGATCTTAATATAAAAGTAAAGGGAGAGGGTGAAGTTGTAAGTAGCACTAAGTGGAATAGAAATTAAATGCACTGAAACTGCCATGTCCAGTTCGGTAGGCGCTAGCCACCTGTAACTGTTGAGCACTTGAAGTGCTGGCTAGTCCTAACTGAGATGTATTGTGTTAAATACACTGGATTTTGTCGTTGGAGTAGGAAGAACAGTGTAAAATATCTGCTCGATAATATTTTATATTGATTACATATATGTTAAAATGTTACTATTTGGGACATACTGAGTTAAGTTTATTTAAAATTAATTTCACCTTTTTCTTTTAATGGGGCTACTAGTATATTTAAAATTACATATGTGGCTTACATATATATTTATTGGACAGCACTGTTCTAGAAGTTTAGGAAGAAATAAGAAAAATATTGAGAACAGGTAGCGGCAGTAGGAACTTTGCCCTCCTATAAGACTGATTCCAATAAAAATAATAGGTTATAGTTTTAATTGGCTTTTTCCTACTAGAAAAAATAAGTGTACTTTACATGCCTCTTTGTTCTCCCTTTTTCCCCTCCAGTTTAGTGGTTAGAATGTATTTATTATAGCAGGATTAATACAGGGATTCACTAAGCAGCGTTAAGAAGACTTAGGTAACTGATTCCCTGATGACCATACTTGATTTTCAAAGCACTTTCCTAACCCGTTTTAAATTGATATAGAGTCAAAGGCAGATGGCTTATTAGTAGTCATCTCATTTAAATCTTATGGAATTTTTCCAGTAAATCTCAAATAATTTGTTATAGGCTATTTGGGCTATTTGGTCAAGTGCATGGAAGAGACAGCATAGGACATGTGGTACTTCATTTCCAAATTGCTTGAGATGATTTTCATTCTAACCATATATTATTTGGTTCTGGTTTTCCGGAAAAGCCAGCTAAACCTTTGGTTCTTTTAGATATAAATGAAATATCATCAAAGAATAGCTCAAAGTGACTTATGCAACTTGAATGTATATTTTTTCCTTAGGGTGTTTATCCCAAACTATTTGGGCATTTGCTGCAATTCGCAGTTTTTTTAAAAAAAACACCAAAATAGTTATTTTTCAAGTTAGAGATGTTTTAATTAAAACATCTTGTTTTTGGTGTATCCATTGACATTCTCAAAACGGAATGTATCTGGACCTCTGTGTACAATCTTCGTAGCACTCAGACACTGAACAGAAAGGCAGTCATCACTGCCAAACAGGGCCCAAATGCCACACATGGTGCAATGTGTCATTTTGAGCTGGCAGCAGCCAAATAAAACAGCCCTTTATTTCACAGTTGAGAATTTGAAATTGGAAAGTAATTAACGTATGTAAGGGTGATTTATTTGCTTCCGGGCTTATAGGGATGAGCTAAGTTTTTTATTAGGGATGTTGTTGGTGTATATGTCTCACCTACTTTGCTTCCTTACTGAACAATGCAACTTTGAGACAGAAATATTTGAGAACATTTTTGTCAGTGAGGACATTTTGATAGTGAATATTTTGTATCTTCTATTAACTTGAAATGTTTTATTTGTTATAAAGCCAGGATATCTGATATCAAATTAAATTGTTTTTTTTTTCCCTTTAGATTTTCTTCAATCACATCTGAATAAATCACTTGAAGGTAACCTAGATGTAATATAGTGAAATGCTTGAAAGAGCTGCGTATCTTTTACACTTACAGCAGTATGATTTTCTGTTGTACCCATTATATGGTACCTGCAGCTAGTTCAGATAAAGAGGGCATTTAACTGTCAAGGGAACCTGAGAGGAGACTCTAGTAATCTGGAAAGTCTGTTGGATCTTTGAGGGATTTTGGGATGGTGAGAGTGGGGCTAGGATCTCTGGCTAGGTTGGAGCCAGCCTGCATTTGTATCTGTATCTTGGAAGCAAACTTAGAATGCAGAGACAGATGTGGCATGGACGCTGTCAGCTCTAGCCAACCACTAAATCCTAAGGTGGGAGAGATGCAGGCTTTGGCTAGGTGCTAAGCTGCTGTAGCCGGTTGAATGTAGAGGTCACTATCTTTTCCGAATACCTGTAAGTAAATTAAATCATTCTCTACTCCCATGTGCCTGCCAACCTAATGGGAAATCGCTATAGAAAAGATGGTTTAAATTTTAGTCTTTGAAGTGGTTTATGCACGTTTCCGGAATCAAGATTTAATGCAGAGTTGGATTGGATATTGAATATTTTTGATTTGTCTGCTTTTCTCTCCATAGAAAGCTTATAGCTTCATTGCACCATGTGTGGCATTTGGGCGCTGTTTGGCAGTGATGATTGCCTTTCTGTTCAGTGTCTGAGTGCTATGAAGATTGCACACAGAGGTCCAGATGCATTCCGTTTTGAGAATGTCAATGGATACACCAACTGCTGCTTTGGATTTCACCGGTTGGCGGTAGTTGACCCGCTGTTTGGAATGCAGCCAATTCGAGTGAAGAAATATCCGTATTTGTGGCTCTGTTACAATGGTGAAATCTACAACCATAAGAAGGTGAGGAGAAAGAAACCAGATGTCTGGATGCGATTAAACTTCAGAGTTTGTTGGTTACGATGATGTTACATATTCTGTATCATGCTTTTTCCTTTGCAAAGCACTCTATGTTCGTTATCTCATTTGCTCTAAGTATGTAAATAGGGAACTGATGAATAAAAAGGTGAGTGAAATGACTTGGTCACAAAAAAAGTGATAAAAATGGGGATTACAGTTCAGTTTCATTGACTCTTAGAATTTTTTCTCCTTCTCCCCAGCTTTTCATTTTGAAAAAATTCCTAACATACAGTAAAGAACAGAACAACAAGCACCTAGATTAAATAGTCATTAATGTTTTGCCATAGTTGCTTGATTTTTCTTTCTACACACACACACACACACACACACATGTTTTTGCTGAATCATTTGAGAGTACAGTGCAGATATTATGACACTCCTAAATATATAAGCATTTATCTCCTAAGAATAAGGACATTCTTCTACATAACATCAATGCCATTATTAAACCTAAGAGTCCATAATACCACCTAATATCCAGTTAATACTTAAATGAAATTTCCCTAAGTGTCCCAAGAATATTTTTATTTATTTATTTATTTTGAGACAGAGTCTCATTCTGTCACCCAGGCTGGAGTGCAGTGGTGCGATCTCGGCTTACTGCAACCTCTGCCTCCCAGGTTCAAGCAATTCTCCTGCCTCAGCCTCCCAAGTAGCTGGGACTACAGGCACCTGCCACCATGCCCAGCTAATTTTTTGTATTTTAGTAAAGACAGGGTTTCACCATGTTGCCCAGGGTGGTCTGGAACTCCTGAGCTCAGGTAATCTGCCCACCTTGACCTCTCAAAGTGCTACCAAGAATATCTTTATAGCTGGTTCTTGTTTGTTTTGAGCCAGATTTCATTCAAGGTTCATGCATTTGGTTGGTATGTTTCTTGGTATTTTTTGAGACTTCTTGATAGATACCTGTCAGGCATTGATAGAGATTTACATCCTAATCACATTTTGGACATTTTTATCTGTGAACAATAGCTTTTGTCATTGTTTGTTGCCTGCTCATAGGAAGACTCTTAATAATAGTCTTCTCATTTAAAAAGTTTTAAAATAGTTATTCAGGAAATTCCTTTTACACATTTCTTTATTCCTTTATTAAGGGTCTACTATGCACCAGACATCATTTTTCTAGGTGATTGGAGATGAAATGGTGAAAAGGAAAGGCAAGAATGGAATTTCCTGCTAGTGGGAGGTAGAAGAAGAGAGTATTAAAAATTTTTTCTAAGTCAAATAATGTCATATACATGAGAACGCTAGGTGGTATTATGGCATTATCAGCTTGGCTTTCCCCTTAAATGAAATAGGAAGTGCCCTGTTTCACTTGAACAGTGTTATTTCTTTTATTAAAAAGTTACAAGAAGTTAAATATTTTGAAAATAATTAATTTCTATTCTAAATTAGCCAAATGTTATATTTGTAAAAGTAGAGAAGTTTGTTCCATTGCTTCTACCAAGCATCTAAGTTTATGTAGTTGGGGCAGCTAGCAGTCTGTCTAATGAGCAGAATGTATACTTTAGGCTTATATAAAGTATTCAGAAATCCCCCCCACACCTCCTTTTTGGTAAAAATAAAGTTTACCACTACAATAAAATACAGCCAGAGGTGTACTGGGAGTAGAAGGAGACTGAATGAAAGAAAGGAGGAATGGGGTAAAGGCTGGGGCAAAGAGCAGGCCCTCTCCCTGCAGGGGAGTATCAGGGCCTGCAGCCAAGTCAAATGACAGCATGACGTCAGGAGGCAAGATTTGAGGGCTTTTATTTAAGGTGCAGCATTGGAGTTTGGTTTTAGGAGAGTAGGAAGTAATACATCCGTTACCCAAAGGACCCTTCTCCTTTTTAAATAAGTTACCTGCAAAGTTTAGGCCAAAGAGGTGGGTAAGGTAGATTTGGGAAGCTGTTGCTTACTAATATCACCGAATGCTTTATGGTCACTAACCCTTCAGGCAGTTCAGCCCAGAAGAGTCAGCAGAAGACTGTTTACAGGCCCCCACCTGCTAGTTACAGATCATCCCTGATAGAGCAGAGAGGGGTGACCAGGTAGTGACTTTGTAGTCACTGGAGGCAAAGCCCATTTTTGGACAGTTCAGTGAGGACTTATAGACAAAAGATTCACAAATTATGGAGTGAGTTGGATGGAGTGTGAAGCATATTTATGGGTCATGCACATACATAATAGGTTTACTTTTTGAAATTTGAAAGCATGTTTTAAGCTTATCTAGGATTTCCACCTGATTTAAACCTCTTCTTTCTCTAATGTCAGCCAAAAACCCGAGTACAAAGAAGAAAGAGGAATACATCAAGGACTTTTCATCCTCATAGTTTGCCATTAATGGCTCATAGTTTGCCGTTGATGGTGGAGAGTGTCAGAATTGGGGAGTAGCCTAATCAAACCTTCTTACTCTGCATGCAGTGGCAGACAGTCCCTTTGCTGTTCTTTTGGGGAATGCAGACTAATAAAGCGCCACCGTCATTTTATCTATCAGTAAGGAGTAGCTTTAATGCTGCTGCAGTGGTGGAAGCACTGGGCATTGTCATCCACCCCTGGGGACCAGCAGCTTTGTTTTGGATCATGTATCTGTTATTGTGATGGAGCCATTTATTTTTCAGGGAATGATGCCAAATGATGTTTGTCCCTTTGCTTTACATTTTTATAGCTAGGACTTTGAAGCTGAACTGGAGGAACTTCTTAGCCAATACTATCTTCTCAAATCAAAAGTTTATAGTTGCAAAAGACACGTTTTTTAGTGTCATGGCAACCAGGCAACCTATTATCTTAACTTAAATTTAGAGGTTGAGCATCCCTAATCTGAAAATCTGAAATTTGAAATGCTCCAAAATCTGAAACTTTTTGAGCACTGACATGACATTACATGTGCATTTTGATGTCACAGTCAAAATGCAGGTGTAAAACACGCAGTTTATTTGGCGTTCCCTAGGGAAAAAAGACCCTCTCAGCCCGCTTCAGCTGCAGTATAACTTTTCTACACATGCCCGGATTTCCCCATGCAAGCACGCCCACAAAGGGTAATAGAATGGCACATGTTCAAGCTGGATACGCCATTGGCAGGATCCCCACAGATGGGACTTATGTGCATTATCCATTGTGTATTTTTGCTTATTTTCTGCTCTGTGGTGTTAAGATACTGAAAATGTCAAAAAGACCTGTAGATATTTCTATGAGCAGCAGTGATAAGGAAAAGTAGAAACACTTATAACACAGAAAGTCAAGCTGTAGGAGAAACTGGACTGTAGTATAAAGGTATAGATGACATGGTGAAAATGTGTGATAGAGATATTGAAGGACTAGAGCTACCTGCATTCATAACAGAACAAGAGGTCATGTCAGTTTATAAAATCAAAGAGAGCCTTCCAAGACAAAAGCCATTGTTAATGAAGCAGATGACTCTGGAGAAACATTTAAAAGTCATCTGGCCGAATGCCTCTTCAATCTCAGAGGACCCGCTTCCTAGTTGCTCAGCTGCTTCTGATGTTTCTTCTCACCTGAAAAAGGAAAAAAAAATACAGTGTATAGTAACCTTTTAATCAAAACGCAGCATTGTAGGTGGAGTCTGAAAGCCTGCCATTGTTTGTACAGCTGTTTAACAGCTGATGCAGGTATTCTGGTGATTCTACTATGCTACTTATTACTTTCTTACTGTATTAATGGTATGTCATATTTTATAAGCATATGAAAATGATTGCTCATCAGCAGCATAATAAATTCAGAGTCAGGAATGATGGTCAATGATGTCAAACAGCCACAGATTTTCCACATGGTAGCTGAGATAGTGACCCCTTTGCTTTCTGATGGTTCCATGTATGCAAACTTTGTTTCATGCACAAAATTATTTGAAATATTATATAAAATTACCTTTAGGTTTTGTGTATAAGATATATGAAACATAAATGAAGTTCATGTTTAGACTTGGGTCTCATGCCCAAGATATCTCACATATATGCAAATATTCCAAAGTCCAAAACACAAAACACTTCTGGTTCCAAACATTTCAGATAAGGGATACTCAATCTGTATATATATAAATATATGTATGTATTACATATATGGTATGTATATAATATACATTTCCATCCCTCCACAGGTTACTGTTCTGGCACATTCCCATTATGTTCTGTTTATCAGACTGCAACTAAAATTTTCATGGGTTCGGCTTTATGTTGAACAGAATTTGCAGAATATGAGTTGAAGCGAACCATAGTTTAATAATGCTGTGATTCTCCTAAATCACCAAAGTGCATGAAAGGATTATAGAGCTCAGAAATACTGAAGCATCTTTGCAATAAAAAATTATTAGTGAATGTACAAGGAGTCTAACATTTTGGTTTTGCTTTCGCTTCCTAAGATGCAACAGCATTTTGAATTTGAATACCAGACCAAAGTGGATGGTGAGATAATCCTTCATCTTTATGACAAAGGAGGAATTGAGCAAACAATTTGTATGTTGGATGGTGTGTTTGCATTTGTTTTACTGGATACTGCCAATAAGAAAGTGTTCCTGGGTAGAGATACATATGGAGTCAGACCTTTGTTTAAAGCAATGACAGAAGATGGATTTTTGGCTGTATGTTCAGAAGCTAAAGGTAATAATAAATTTTTCTATAGATTTTCATTATTGTCTTGGTTGTACGTTTTCTTTTAAATTATATTTGAAAATCTCTTAGAGAGCAATCCAGAATTTTACAAGTGACTAAGTTATGAGTCTTTACCTTTTTTTAAAAAAACAGAGGAGTTGTACTCTCCTTTTCAGCACTTAAATTCTGTAATCCTTGAAGGATGATTCTTTAGTGCAGTCGTTTATTTTTTGCTGTGCTAATATGCTCTACATCTAGCTTGATCTTAAGTGCAGTTTTAAGTTTTCCTGTGTCATACTATAATCGTAGGGTTGACTCTGCAATTATTGCATTGTGGTACTTTGCGCAGTTATAGCACAGCAAGTGTTAGGATTTCTAAAACAGCTTTATTGATAATTCACATACCATGTAATTCACCCACTTGAAGTATACAGTTCAGTGGTTTTTAGTATATTCACAGATGTTGGTAAACAACACTCCAATCAGTTTTAGGATTGTTTTTCCACCTCAAAAAAAACCAAATCAAATCCTATGCCCTTTACCTTAGTTTTTGCTGGCAGGATCAACTAGGTTTTTGTTTGTTTGTTTGTTTGAAGAGATGGGGTCTTGCTCAGTCGCCCAGCCCAGGCTGGAGTGCGGTGGTTTGATAGCTCAGTGCAGCCTTGAACTCGTGGGCTCAAGCGATTCTCCCACCTCAGCCTCCCTAGTAGCTAGGAGTATAGGCATGCACCACAACACCCTGCCTCCTGTGCCCTTTAGCTTTGAATTCCATCTCTCCATATCCATCAGCTGCACCCCTGCAGTTGTAGCCCCGGCAATCACCAGTCTTTCTGCCTCTGGATTCCCTATTCTGTATGTTTCATATGAACGGGATTATATATCATACCGGCTTTTGTGACTGGATTCTTTCACTTGGTATAGTGCTTTCAAGATTTGTCTATGCCGTAGCATGTATCAGTACTTACTTCTTATGGCCAAATGATATTCCATTACATGGATACACTGCATTTTGTTTATTCGCTTGTCAGTTGATGGACATTTAGGACATTATTTACCCCTTTTGGCTATTATGAATAATGCTGCTATAAACATTGGTGTACAAGTTTTTGTGTGGACATTTCCCTTGGGTGTATATCTAGGAGTAGAATTGCTGGGACACATGATAACTATGTTCAGTTGAAGAACTGCCAGACTAATTTTTGAAATGGCTGCATCATTTTTTATTCACTCCAGCAGTGTATTAAAATTTCTGTTTCTCCACATCTTCACAAACAGTGTGTGACTTTAATTCTAGCCATTCTAGTGTATGTGAAGTGGTATCTCATTGTGATTTTGATTTGTATTTTCCTGTTGACAGTGATGTCCAGCATCTTATCTTATGCTTATTGGCCATTTGTATATCTTCTTTGGAGAAATATTTGTTCAGATCCTTTGCCATTTTTTTTTCCTGTTAGGGATCATTTTATTTTAAAAACATAATAGACTTTATTTTTTTTTTTGAGCAGTTTTAGAAAAAATTGAGAGGAAAGTGCAGAGAGTTCACATATGCTCCCCCTACAGTGCCCCTGCCCAGTTTTCCCCACTCTTAACATCTTGCATTACTGTGCTACATTTATTAGATTTGATGAACTGATACTTATATATTAACTGAAGTTCATAGTTTACATAAGGGTTCACTCTTTGTGTTTTATAGATTTTTGGATTTGACAAATGTTTAATGCCATGTACCCACCATTACAGTATTATGTAGAACAGTTTCATTGCCCTAAAAATCTCCTGTGCTCCACTTATTCTTTCCTCCCGTCCTCTTCCTCCTAACCCCCCAGTCATTACTGATCTTTTTGCTTTCTCTCTCACTTTGCCTTTCCCAGAATGTCGTATAATAGTTGTAATCATATAGTATGTAGCTTTTTCAGACTGGCTTCTTTCACCTAGCAGTATACATTTATAGTTCTTCTGTGTTTTTTCATGGCTTGATAGCTCATTTATTATTATTATTATTATACTTTAAGTTCTAGGGTACATGTGCATAACGTGCAGGTTTGTTACATATGTATACATGTGCCATGTTGGTGTGCTTGCTGAATAATATTCCATTTGTTTGCATGCAATGCAATTTGTTTATCCATTCTTGAATTACCCATTTCTAATTGAGTTATTTTGTCTTTTTATTACTGAATTGTAATAGTTCCTTATGTATTCTAGATACAAATCCCTTCTGTTCATCAGGGTTGCAGGATACAAGATGAATATACAAAAATCAATGGTATTTGACACACTTTAACTGAATACTACATACTTAAAATGAGCAATCAAAATGAAATTAAGAAAGCAACTTCATTTATAATAGCATCAAAAAGAATAAAATACTTAGAAATAAATTTAAGAAGTGTAAAACTTGTACTCTGAAAACTATAAAATGTTGTTGAAAGAAATGAGAGGAGATCTAAATAAATGGAAAAGTATCCCATGATCATGATTTGAAGGCTTAACATTGTTAAGATGGCAGTCCTCCCTAAACTGATTTACAGATTTAACTTGATCCCTATCAGAATCCCAGATGAGTTCTTTGTGAAATCTACAAGCTGACTCTCAAATTCATATGGAATTGCAAGAGACTAAGAATAGCCAAAACAATCTTTTGAAAATGAAGAACAAAGTAGGAGACCTCATATTAACTGATTTTAAAACTTACTACAAGACAATGGTAATAAGGACAATATAATACTGACAGAAGGATAGATGTATAGACTAGTGGGATAGAATTGAGAGTCAGAAATGAACCCATACATATATGATCAACTTATTTTTGACAAGGGTGCCAAGATTATTCAGTGGAGAAAGAAGTTTGAAAACTGGCACAGGGGCAACCAGATATGTAACCATATGCAAAACTTGGAGTTGAATCTTTACCCAACATCGTATACAAAAATTATGGATACAGAAAAATGGATCAGGCCAGGCGCGATGGCTTATGCCTGTAATCCCAGCACTTTGGGAGGCCGAGGCGGGTGGATCACGAGGTCAGGAGATCGAGACCATCCTGGCTAACACAGTGAAACCCCGTCTCTACTAAAAATTAGCCGGGCGTGGTGGCGGGCGCCTGTAGTCCCAGCTACTCAGGAGGCTGAGGCAGGAGAATGGCGTGAACCCGGGAGACGGAGCTTGCGGTAAGCCGAGATCGCGCAACTGCACTCCAGCCTGAGTGACAGAGCGAGACTCATCTCAAAAAAAAAAAAAAAAAGGATCAAATGAATCAGTTTTGAACTAATCCACTTAAATGTAAGGGCTAAAACTATAAAATCCCGAGAAGCAAACATAGAAGTAAATTGTCATGACCCTGGATTTGGCAAAGCTTTCTTAAATATGAGACCAGCAACAATAATAAAAATCAATGAATTGGACTTCATCAAAATTAAACATTTTTGCACATCAAAGGACACCATCAAGAAAGTGAAAAGACGGCCCACAAGTTGGAAGAAAATACTTGCAAATCATGCATAGCACTTTTTGATGGTAAACTTGAGGAAGACATTTATCTTTTATCCCTTACCTGTGCAGCAGTAACATCCTAATATCTCTCTCCCTGCCTCTTTTTGCCATTCTTTAAATTCTTTCTCACTTAATTTTCAGATTTAATATTGGCTGAAGCAGGGATAATGAGATCAATCAAAGGGGTCCTTAGGACACTAGTCACAGTGTTTGTACTAATACTGGAACTGGCTTATTTTCAGGCATTTCTAGTGTGATCAGATGGCAAAGAACAAGCATATATATATGTCAGTTGCCAGGACTGCTGGGAAAGCCTGGTAAAGAGAACACTGGGGAAAAGCAGCCTCCTGCTCCCCTGGGCCTTCTTTGAGCCTGATGATCACTTGATATGGAACTTACCCTCTGAAATTCCTTAATTGTTCTTTTCTATATCCTTGACACTGTCCTTTTCCAGACCAAATTATCTCATCTGGAATACTGCAACAATTTTCTTTTCTCAGTGCTTTTAGAATAACCTGTCAAAATCTCATCTGATTATAGTATTGCCTGCTTAAAACCTTTTAATTACTCCCCATTCCCTATCCGGGTTGTGTAGCTCACTTGAGCTCTGCTGGCTGGTGAGGGAATCTGGGTCCTTTTTCTGGTATTTGAATTCAGTGCTACACAGGTTACTGGCTGGGTAGACAATCTCAAATTGTAAATCACGAGTATTCCATGTAGATAGTCCATTACGATCTACAATAAAACATTGATGTTTGTATCAAAGATCATGGTGATGAGAGGTTGGGTACTGTACTGTCTGTGAGAATTTATTGAGGAAATTTAAGTTATATGGTTTTATTCACATATAGTGTATAACAACTAGTTAAGGGATAGATGTCTTCTTATCTGACTTTAAAGTAGGTAAAAGTGGATCATTGTACTTGTTAAAGGTCTGGGAACCATGGCTGTGTTCTGAAAATACCTCAGTGATGACAAATAAATGACTCCCAGCCTATCATAACATTAGGACTCCAGTTCATCCCTTTGCTTCATAAGTGTGTCTTTTCCTTTTGTGTATTTGCTTTAGTATAGAAAATAGGTTTTCTTGATTAGAAATCTAAGAAGAAGAAATTGAACACTGGAGATTTTTCTATTTCTTTGAATTACGAAAAGTTAGTGTAATTTGGCAGTATATCCCTGTGCCATTATTGTCTCTCAGGTAAGTAGATGGTAGGGCTTAGGAAAATAGAAAATTTTTTTTCCTATTTTGCTTATTTAATGGGTATGTGTTTGTATTAAAAAGGGAAAATAGGAATGTAGATGATGTTAACTAATCGTGAAAGTTATTGGGAAGGGTTACCTAATTTGAATAAAGGTATCATTGTGAATTTCTAGGTCTTGTTACATTGAAGCACTCCGCGACTCCCTTTTTAAAAGTGGAGCCTTTTCTTCCTGGACACTATGAAGTTTTGGATTTAAAGCCAAATGGCAAAGTTGCATCCGTGGAAATGGTTAAATATCATCACTGTCGGGATGTACCCCTGCACGCCCTCTATGACAATGTGGAGAAACTCTTTCCAGGTAGCAGACACCCACCCACCTATTCCCCATCCTTCTCCAAGGGAAAAAAATTTTAAGTTGTATTCTCCCATCATTTGAATGATTTTAGTTTCAAGACCTACTTCCTATTTTGTTTGGAGGGAACACATTAAGATTTGGCACACTCCACCATTGAGTAAATACCATCATGATAGATGTTGATGATTGTGTATTTCATTTCAATAACTAATCCAGCCCAAGATTTTCTGGAGCTGTTTGATTTACTGCTGTGTTTATAGGTTTTGAGATAGAAACTGTGAAGAACAACCTCAGGATCCTTTTTAATAATGCTGTAAAGAAACGTTTGATGACAGACAGAAGGATTGGCTGCCTTTTATCAGGTGAAGTCAATTAAAAAAACCTAATTATATTTCATGTGTGTTTAATTGAAATGATTTGTAGCCATCCCTTTGGTTTTTACTATAAAATATTTACTGTATGATTTACTCTTTCCTTCATTATAGGATGGAAATGATTTTTTATAAGCTGTATTTAATAGTCATAGTCATACTCCAACTTGAGTTACACTATAGCTATGTTATTGGTGTTAAGAGTGAGTCAGTGAATGTTCTTTAGAATTCTGTGTAGTGATTTTTAACCAATTCAAATACTACTATTATCACAGTTTATATATTTTTCTCTTGTTGAAGTTGATTTCAGTTTATAAAACTTGGCGGATTTTAAATAGTAAAACTATGATCTTGGTGTTTATCAGGAATATACATCTTCTGTCCCTGTCTTATGCAAGGCACATAACTAGGACACTTCCACTTCCTCTTTTGCATGTAGGGGGCTTGGACTCCAGCTTGGTTGCTGCCACTCTGTTGAAGCAGCTGAAAGAAGCCCAAGTACAGTATCCTCTCCAGACATTTGCAATTGGCATGGAAGACAGCCCCGATTTACTGGCTGCTAGAAAGGTAAGGTGCTGTCTCTGTCCCTTGTGTAGTGTAGTTAGAGTAGACTTGTTATTAGAATGAAAATGGAGTCAATAATGGGTGATTCTACTGCTGCTGTATTGACTGGGTCAATTGTTTTAAATTGATTGTATTAAAATAGAATGAAATGGCTGTTGGATATGCACTGTGTTGTACACTGTCCTCTGTGTACTTTTATCTGTTATGACCCATGCAATTCTCACAAAGACCCTATGATGATAAGTATGCTCTTTTGAAAGTAAAGGTGTCTGGGCATGGTGGCCTACACCTGTAATCCCAGCACTTTACGAGGCTGAGGGAGGTAGATTACCTGAGGTCAGGAGTTTGAAACCAGCCTGAGCAACATAATGAAACTCCATCTCTACAAAAAAATACAAAAACTAGCCAGGCTTGGTGACGCATGCCTGTAGTCTTAGCCTTATGGGAGCCTGGGTGACAGAGTGAGACCTTGTCTCAAAAAAAAAAGAAAGTAAAGGCATAAGTCAGGTGCAGTGGCACACACCTATAGTCCCAGATACTTGGGAGGCTGTGGGGGGAGGTCTGAGCTCAGGAGTTCAAGTCCAGGCTGGGCAACGTAGCAAGACCCCATCTTGAAAAATTAAAAAAACGGGTTTTTTGTTCGTTTTTTTTTTTTTTTTTTTTTAAACGTAAAGGCATAGTATCATGGCTAAGACTGCAGACTTTGGAACCTGACTTGTGGTTTGAAATCCTGGCTCTACTCATTTATGTAACCAAAATAATAGTGTCTGCTATGGGGAAATTTTAAGGTGAAATGATATAATTCATGTAAAGTAAGTAGGGTAGAACTTAGCATGTAGTAAGTACTTAATGAGTGTTAGCTGTTATTATTATTTTTGAAAGTACTGTATTTAGAATACTGTGGGCAGAGGGCAGCTTGTCTGTATTCAGTGAGCGGGAGACCTAGTTCCCACTATGGAGGACTTTCGTAGCATGGATGAGAAAAAGCTAGAGAGCAGTCTCAGTGCAAGGTAATCAATGCCGAGAGAATCCAAAATAGCCAAGGAAAGCAGAATGAGGGGAAGGGCCATTCTATATAAGAATAACATCCTGGATATAAAATTAGGCATTTAAGAAGGACCAAAAAAGACCAAGCTTAGCGTGGGACCATGTTGGACTAGAGAGAGATGAGGTGGGTTAGGTAAAATAGGTAGAGAGGGAGGTGCCAACTGGGAGAATGGTTGAAGCCTTGGCACCAGAGGAGCTGAGGGGAGACTTACTTCCTGGTGGTGGAGTTGAAGCAGGCGAGGGAACAGTGCTGGATGGGGCTTGTATGTGGTGGGCTGTAAAGTCATTTTTCTTTTTTTCCCTTGTTTAGTTTTCACCATTGTTAATTCATAAAGCTTTGTGAACTCCCATCATGTTTGATTTTCAAGGGAAGTTATTTTCTTTAACAAGTAAATGGGTATTTCTTTATATAATAAGGTGGCAGATCATATTGGAAGTGAACATTATGAAGTCCTTTTTAACTCTGAGGAAGGCATTCAGGCTCTGGATGAAGTCATATTTTCCTTGGAAACTTATGACATTACAACAGTTCGTGCTTCAGTAGGTAAGGTATTATGATATTCTTAAATAAAAAGCTTTTTTTAATACTGAAAAAAATGTAAGGTTTAAAAAAATTATTTCAAGCCATAGTTTTAAAATGTTATTTAAGGATGAATGCAAATTAAATCCCTATGTTACTGATTATTTAAGACCACTTAAGAATTCTCTGAATCTCTTTTGGAGTGAAGGGAATAGTAAATACGTAGTTCAACCTCCACATTGTTGGTGTCACTGTTGGTGTTTCCCCAGGGAGCAGATACATATTTTCTGCCCTCTACCTCCCATTTCTCTTATAGTTTCTTGGGCTACAGTCTATATACAGTGAGGAAATAGGTCTTTTTGGTAATGCATTTTTGATAAGAAATAGTCATTTTAGATATATTCCATCACACAACTTACCAGTCACTAGCTATCATTGCTCTGCAAACAATACTAATTTTATCTTGTAGATAATGTATCTACTGAGATTGGAAGTATACCCCAAATCAGACTGATCCAGTGTTATTGAGCCTTTATATGCTACTGCCTCCCTTGAGAGACTTGCCTTGGAAGGCAAAAATATCTTAGGTATTACAATGGTTTATGGCCCTCCAAAACATCACAGTAAATAAGCAGATAGACAGGATAGCTCTGGTATTGGAATTTCATGGGGCTGGGGTGAGGTTAGGAAAATAAGTGTCTAAAAAGGCTCTCTAGCTGAGGTGATAATAAAAACAAGGTTGAGAAGAAACACTGGTTTAGAGAGATGTGGTGCAGGACCAAGGAGGCAAGTTTAATAACTTATATAGTCTCCCCAGCTTTATGTGAAATCTGGTAAATGGGGAGTGGCAGGGGGAAAATACCCATCAAAATTAACACTAAACCACCAAAACGGTTATTCTTATTTTTGTGTCATAATACCACTATGAAAGGCATGATTTTTAGGTATTTGAGTCATTGTTCAGCTTAGCAAAGTTTTGAGGTGGACATTCTTGGTCTAAAAACATTAGAATTTTAAAACCTGTTTAGAAAATGACAAAATGGTTCCGGGTTATTTTATTTTACAGTAGTACTTTTGGATTAAGTACATATAAATGGCTTATAAATACAAGGTCATTATTGTGGAAACTACTTTATATTAATATGAAGTCCAGTATAGTAGTAAAGCTTTCAATTATTTCCAAAAATCAAATCAAAGGCATTTTTGGTGGAAGGTTATGTTGACATTAAAGTTAATTTCTCTCTCTCATTTAAGGTATGTATTTAATTTCCAAGTATATTCGGAAGAACACAGATAGCGTGGTGATCTTCTCTGGAGAAGGATCAGATGAACTTACGCAGGGTTACATATATTTTCACAAGGTAACCACTCTGAAGTGGAGGGATATTCATGCTATATTAAGAAAAGTATGAATTGTTTGACTATTTTCTATCATCTTTCAGTATGACAGTGATATTTTTGAGTATCTTGTGAGGTTACAAAAGGGAATCTGATAGTGTTTGCTTTCTATCTCTTGGGGAAGAAAGAAATTTTAATGTGTCAGATAATTTTTATTCTTTAAAACTAGTTACAGCTGGGTATGAGGGCTCATGCTCATACCCCCAGCTGCTGAGGAGGCTGAGGTGGGAGGATCACCTGAACCCAGGAGATTGAGGCTGCAGTGAGCTGTGATTGCACCACTGCACTCCTGCCTGGTTGACAGAGTAAGACCCCGTCTCTTAAAAAAAAAAAAAAAAAAGTTAAAAATAAATAAATAAAACTACTTAAGCTTGAGAATCCCCTTTCTGCCATTTCTTAGCATCCTGTGGAATTATGACTGTTGCCCATTGTGTTCATTTTATTCTAATATTAGCAGTTTGGTAGGAAGGAAGGCATGTTTTGTGAAGCATTGCTTACCTCTGTTCAGTTATTTACTCCCTTCCCTAAATTTGTTTAACTTTTTGTCTTATCCACCTTTAGGATTGGAGAGGGAGAAAGAAAAACTGCTTTGTGTGCCAAAAGCAAAACTCTTGGTGTTTTTGTTTGTGAAATAGGCTCCTTCTCCTGAAAAAGCCGAGGAGGAGAGTGAGAGGCTTCTGAGGGAACTCTATTTGTTTGATGTTCTCCGCGCAGATCGAACTACTGCTGCCCATGGGTAATATTTTTAGAGGCTATTGTAAAACAAAAACAAAAAAACACCAAAAACAAAACAAAACAAAAAGCTCAATACCCTGAGAAAATAAAAATCAATAGCTGATTGGCTATATGTTACATATAGTTGGCTATATGTTACAAAGTGTGACTTTTATAGAGAAAATGAAGCTGTTTCTTAACTTTGTCCCAAAAGGATTAGGCCACATTTCAAAGTGGTGTTGTGGTATATGGAGAGAAGTCTTCTTCCATAGGTTGTTTGAGGTGGAGTTTTCACCTTTAAAGGGTAACAACATTCTGCTCACATCTGAACAACCAAGATGGAAGAGGCAAGGCTGCTACAGCAGCTACCGTTAAGTGTTTTAAAGAGAAGTAAAGATCGTAAACATCATGTGACAAGTAGTGAGTGCCCACCATGCCCATGTGGTGCTGTAGTGACCCTGAGGGAATAGAGTAGTGAAGATACAAGGGGTTTGATTACATTATAAAGAACCAGGTTTCTTTGGTTATCATTTCTAGTTGTCTAAAGTTATGTTGAAGAACTGAAGACTTTTACTGTACAGGATAAACAACTGACATTAAATGTCTTAGTTGCCTCTGCTGAATCACACCTAGATAAGGATATAATTAAATATGGGTTTGAGGAATGAACTGAATCTGGTCATTATCCTCTCTGCTTGTCCTAACTAGAGTCACTAGGCTTCAGGAAACCGGTGATTTGGAATTTGATGAAATATAGTGGGACACTGGTTTATATCGCATATTGTATGTGAATTTTTAATCAGTGGCAAAAAAATACTGTATCGTCATCACAATTGTTAGAAGAGATGGTCTCACCTAGTAAACACTGAGTTAGGTCTAGGCAAGGTATTTTCTTAATGATTGGGTCACTCATGTTTTGTAACTTTTTCTGCTTTTTGAAATATGCATTTAACTATTCCTAGAAGGGAAAGTAAAAGTAATAGTCTCAGTTAGTTTTACTCCCTAGATGACATGATATATGTATTATTTTAAATGAAGATTTATTTTTTGTATCTATTCATTAGTGTAGGGCAGTCATTAGGAGGCTTGTATGTGACTGTATGACCTTAACATTTCTTAAGATCTGGTTGAATTGATGGGAAACTGAATCAGAACCTAACCTGGCAGGCACTAAATACCCATTTTAATTTAGATTTTCTTCTTTTCTCCTTTAAGTCTTGAACTGAGAGTCCCATTTCTAGATCATCGATTTTCTTCCTATTACTTGTCTCTGCCACCAGAAATGAGAATTCCAAAGGTAGGTAAATCAACTCAAGGTAAAACTGTCCATTGCCATCAGATTATATTTGTAATTTTTACCTGATGCTCCTTTTTTTGTCACGTCAGAATGGGATAGAAAAACATCTCCTGAGAGAGACGTTTGAGGATTCCAATCTGATACCCAAAGAGATTCTCTGGCGACCAAAAGAAGCCTTCAGTGATGGAATAACTTCAGTTAAGAATTCCTGGTTTAAGATTTTACAGGAATACGTTGAACATCAGGTATAATGTCTTTAAAAACATTTTCAGGAATAAGACAGTTTGGATGCAGAGCTGTCATTGCTGTTCATTTTGTATTTAGTTTGAATGATACATGTATTTAGTTTGAATGATACATGTATTTAGTTTGAATGATACATACATCAGATATCTCTCTGATAGGATGTCCCTATCAGAGAGATTCAGAGTCTCTGTAAACAATTATCTCTTTTGTAAGAATTACGTAAGAATTAAGTAGCATGAAGGATTATAAAGTAGCATCTAGAATCGAGAGAGAGAGGAGACTTACTACTAATCATCACTGATTTTCATTTATCAGATTTTTGGGCACCTGCTGGGTGCCAGATCTTGTTAGGCACAAATGACTAAAACAGAGCCACCAAGTATTAAAAATATGCATATGAGTGTTCTTTAAAAGGCACTGCAGCTATCCATATTATGAATACTTTAGCATTTTCTAAGTGATGGGTGATTCAAAGGGTCTCATACAAGTTACAGTCACGTCTTAACATTTTCTGTTTCGTGAAATGAGACTAAACACAAGTATTTCCTGCCATTTTAAGCCATTTTGCTCTTATATGCTTATTCTTACAGGTTGATGATGCAATGATGGCAAATGCAGCCCAGAAATTTCCCTTCAATACTCCTAAAACCAAAGAAGGATATTACTACCGTCAAGTCTTTGAACGCCATTACCCAGGCCGGGCTGACTGGCTGAGCCATTACTGGATGCCCAAGTGGATCAATGCCACTGACCCTTCTGCCCGCACGCTGACCCACTACAAGTCAGCTGTCAAAGCTTAGGTGGTCTTTATGCTGTAATGTGAAAGCAAATATTTCTTCGTGTTGGATGGGGACTGTGGGTAGATAGGGGAACAATGAGAGTCAACTCAGGCTAACTTGGGTGTGAAAAAAATAAAAGTCCTAAATCTAAACCATTGCTGTAGTCATTTATGTTCATGCAGTCTCTTCATAAGAGGTAACTAGAACTGTTTTGCTGTATCACAGTAAAGTGGAGGGTAAGCTAGGAAAAGGGAAAATGATCAGATGTCTGCAAGAACTCACAGCCCTCTCCTGGCAGAGCTGCTTTAGATGACATTTGCATCTTGTGCCCGTGTGGCTTCCTTCCAGTCCTTGCCTCATCTTAGGGACGTCATCAAAGGACTACACTATTTTTGTTCTGCCTACATTCCTAACAGCTGCCTAGGCAGACTCAGACTTGAATCTTCTATAGGAGTTCATCACAGCTCTATTTTGCAAGATAGTAGTTCATTTTTTTCTCTTTTATGTTGAGCCAAAGCCACTTCTGGAGACTTGTCCTAGAGCAGGGGTCAGGCTTTTTTTGAATTTTTAATTTGTTTTTAATAAAGAGCCAGATAGTAAATATTTTAGGCTTTGTGGACCTCTTTTGGAACTGTTCAGCTCTGCCATTATAGTGCAAAAGCAGTTACATAGGCAATATGTAAACAAACGAGCGTGGCCATGTTCTATTAAAAGTTACTTATGAAAGCAGATGGTGGGCCAGATACGGCCTGTGGGCCATAGTTAGTTGATTGCTGTTCTAGAGGAACAACTAAGCTAACTAAGCATTTCTGATGAAAGTCTAAACCTTTGTCAGATGAGTAGATTGCAAAAATTCTCTCCCATTCTGTAGGTTGCCTGTTCACTCTGATGGTAGTTTCTTTTGCTGTGCAGAAGCTCTTGAGTTTAATTAGATCCCATTTGTCAATTTTGGCTTTTGTTGCCATTGCTTTTGGTGTTTTAGACATGAAGTCCTTGCCCATGCCTATGTCCTGAATGGTAATGCCTAGGTTTTCTTCTAGGGTTTTTATGGTTTTAGGTCTAACATTTAAGTCTTTAATCCATCTTGAATTAATTTTTGTATAAGGTGTAAGGAAGGGATCCAGTTTTAGCTTTCTACATATGGCTAGCCAGTTTTCCCAGCACCATTTATTAAATAGGGAATCCTTTCCCCATTTTGGAATCTATTCATCTGTCAAAGGGCTAATATCCAGAATCTACAAAGATCTCAAACAAATTTACAAGAAAAAAAAAACCCCTTCAAAAAGTGGGCAAAGGATATGAACAGACACTTCTCAAAGGAAGACATTTATGCAGCCAACAGACACATCAAAAAATACTCATCATCACTGGCCATCAGAGAAATGCAAATCAAAACCACAATGAGATACCATCTCACACCAGTTAGAATGGTGATCATTAAAAAGTCAGGAAACAACAGGTGCTGGAGAGGATGTGGAGAAATAGGAACACTTTTACACTGTTGGTGGGACTGTAAACTAGTTCAACCATTGTGGAAGACAGTGTGGCGATTCCTCAAAGATCTAGAACTAGAAATACCATTTGACCCAGCCATCCCATTACTGGGTATATACCCAAAGGATTATAAATCATGCTGCTATAAAGACACATGCACACGTATGTTTATTGTGGCACTATTCACAATAGCAAAGACTTGGAACCAACCAAAATGTCCAACAATGATAGACTGGATTAAGAAAATGTGGCACATATACACCACGGAATACTATGCAGCCATAAAAAAGGATGAGTTCATGTCCTTTTTAGGGACATGGATGAAGGTGGAAACCATCATTCTCAGCAAACTATCACAAGGACAAAAACCCAAATGCTGCATGTTCTTAGTCGTAGGTGGGAATTGAACAATGAGAACACATGGACACAGGAAGGGGAACATCACACACCAGGGCCTGTTGTGGGCTACAGGGAGGGGGGAGGGATAGCATTAGGAGATATACCTAATGTAAATGTCAAGTTAATGGGTGCAGCACACCAACATGGCACATGTATACACATATGTAACAAACCTGTACATTGTGCACATGTACCCTAGAACTTAAAGTATAATTAAAAAAAAAAGTGAGTACCATAAAAAAAAGTCTAAACCTACTTGAAAGAGAAAGTACAATAACGCATTCAAAGAACAGGTAGAAGATTTTCATTTGAATGCTCATTGGTTGTTTAGGGACAACATTTTGAAATACATTATAAAGGTGAATTTAGTTCTTAGAAACTTTTGAAAAGGGAATTGCTGGTGTACAGATAAATACAAGGATGCTTAATAGAGGAGTGAGTAGGCAGAAAATTATCTGGTAAGTTGGAAGAAGGGTGTATTTTAGGCTACCCATAAGCCTGTATGATTTAAGAATATCGCTAAGAAAGTGAGGAAAGTCATTCATCTTAGATGACTTTTTTTTGTTTGTTTTTGTTTTGTTTTAGACAGTCTTGCTCTGTCACCCAGGCTGGAGTGCAGTGGCTTGATCTCAGCTCACTGTAACCTCCACCTCCTGGGATCAAGCAATTCTTGTGCCTCAGCCTCCCAAGTAGCTGGGATTACAGGCAGGTACCACTGTGCCAGCCAATTTTTGTGTATTTAGTAGAGATGGAGTTTCACCATGTTGGCCAGGCCAGTCTCAAACTCCTGGCCTCAAGTAATCTACCCACCTTGGCCTCCCAAATTGCTGGGACTACAGATGTTAGCCACTGCACCCGGGCCTAGTAGATGACTTTTAATGATAATCTTGTGTTTGTAGGTGCTTAAGTTGCCTAAACCTAGAATGATTTGATTCTAGGCATATTTATTCCTGGTAAAGCCTCAGACAGCCAAGCTAAATGACATCGAAAATACTTGGGAAACTTGGTTGAGAATGATTACACAGTGTACATGACAAGATTCATGTATGACATAAACCCCAAATTGCCAGTTTTCCAGGGAGTGGGGTCTGGCTCTAGATTTTTAACTTTAGTGACTGAGATTTGGCATATTTAGTTATCACCCAGAAGTTTGATAGTAAAGATACTTAGTTAAGCCAATTTCATAGCAGCAAACTATACGTCAATTATAATGGCAGCACCTTTCTGGATTTCAAACTACACACAAGGCTTATAGAAGGTTCTTGGCACAAAGAATAAAGCTAGCTTTTTCTCTTCTTTTGCAATTTAAATTATAGAAGATTTGAAGAAACGGCCCTTGAATTGTTGTACACATGACTTAATAGCTCACTTATTGGCTAAACCTGTTTTCCTGGATATTGGTAATTTAGTGCCAAGGAGGCACTAATCTACACAGCATCTCTAACAGCCAATAGTCCAGTTCTTTTGAGCATAAACTAAAAGATTATTAGCTGATGTCATTCTGCCATTTCAGTCTGATGTGAGCACTGTCGTGAATGACCCGCCCTTTAGAGGTTTATTTCACTTTCTCTTAAAATCTGCTAAAAGGTACCGTATAGTTTGACAGAATGATACACTTCTATTTTAAAAAAAAAGAAAAGTAAAATCCACCTAAAATCTACTTTTAAAGTTTTAACATTTTCTTGAAGATCTTTTGCTACAAAGGGACAATTGTATATGTGTGGTAGGTTATCTTGGTTGACATAAGGCCTGAAAGCTTCTTAAGTCCTTTACAAGGAAAAACATAAAAAGGAACTAACCTTAAGCCTATGATAGCCCAGTCTCCAGAGGATTATACTTTGTGGGAAATTTGCTTGTATTAGACTGTGATATGAACATCTTGAGCCCACGGAGTCAGAGCATGCTCCTGAATGCCTCCTGTCTTGGAATTGCCTTAGTTTGGTCTAGAATCTTTGATAAAGGATCATTGGACTAGGTCCCTAAGAAGGGAAAGTCTGGCCACGAAGAAGCAAAGTGGAAGCTGGGCAGGGAGGCAGTTATGTGTGGTTCTAGACTGTGCAGTGGAAAAATCAATACCAAGCATGTACTTTGCAGCTTTTCTAAGTACTTTTATTGTGTTAGCTCATTCCAATCTTAGGAAGTGTGGCAGATTTTATTTTCTAAAAGTGGCCATAGCAGTGTTCCTGGTCCCATGTACTCTTCCGGAGCCTGGCTGCCCCCGTGAAGAAGCAGCCTATTTCTTCTCTCCTTGAGCCTGGGCAAGATTTTGCAATTGCCTAGTAGTAGAATACAGTGGAAGCGATGCTGCATGACTTCTGAAACCAGGTCACAAAAAATGATGTAGCTTCTGCTTTCTCTCTTTTGATGTATAAGGAAGCCCAGGCCACGTGGAGAGGCTGTATGTGAGTTTGGGCTGACTCCCCTAGCAAAGGGCTTAGTCGACAGCCAACAGCAGCCACCAACTGCCAGCTGTGTCAGGGAGTGAGGCTCCAGATGGTTCCAGCTGCTAATCTTTGAGTATTCTACCTGGAGCCCATGCATGGGAAGGAGAGATGAGCCATCCCTGTTGTGTGCTCTGTCCAAGTTCTTCATTCACAAATCTGTGAGCATAATAAAAAAGCTTGTTTGACACCATTAAGTTTTGTGGTTTCTTACACAGGCATAGTAACTGAAACAGATGAACACTGTTACCCCCATTTTACACATATTAAATACGTTGCTCAGTCATTTGGCTAATTAGTAAGTGGTGGAACCTCAAATTAGCTAGGTAGGTTGACTGCAGAGCCTTTGAGTTGTTCTTTTCTAAATATTGTCTTGCAATGTCAGCCTGAAACTATATCCTGGGTCTCTGGTGTGAGTTGGGAGACTAAGGGAAAGGGCTTTTATTGGGAGCAAGAACAGGGATTGCAGGGAATCTCCCAGGGATGGCAGTGAGGCTAACTGTTTTCTGTAATGGCATGAGCTAGGTGATACTGAAAAAACAATTCCAAAATTTCAGTGCATTGTCACAAAAGGTTTTTTTTTTTTTTTCTCAAACTATGTGTCCACCTTAGCCCATGGGGGGCTCTGCACATTGTTGAGGGGGTTATAAGCACTCTGGAACCGAGGCTGATGGAGGGACGACCTTGACATAATTCCACCATCAGCAAGGCAGGGGATGGAGAAAGTGGTGAATTATTTACTGAAACTTAAAGCTTCCACTCTGAAGTGACACATCACTTTTGTTCACATTACATGTAAGTCACGTGGCCACACCTAACTTCAAAGGAGCATGTACCAGAAAGGAAAATAAAATATCTGGAGAATAGCACTAGTGACTCCCCAAATCTGCTCTTCGGTAACAAAATACTGAATTCACTCTCCTATGCAAGAAATATATTCACCCCCTTTGGAAGGTTACAACTGTGGAATTCCATTGTGCAAGGATTCCAAGCCCAGAGTTTAGGATCTCTGGGTGATGTACTTATGTGGAAATCTATTTCAGGGCTGGAGACGGCACTTCATGAACTAAGAAAAAAGTGATCTGCTCCCCATCTGTCCACTGCATAATTCAGCAGGAATAGAATAACTGCGGCAACAACAAAACATATTCAAAAAGAATAAAACAGAAGAAATATAGCAAGCCCTACTTAGGAGCAATTTTGACATCCTGTGGTCAGTCACTTGAGGGCCTCCAACTCCAGCAGAAAATTACCCTTCAGGGCTCATCAGCCGCCAAGTCATCAATGTGTTGGCAGAAGGAGGCAGATTGAAAGAACTGGGAGAATCAGTATCTGAGCACAGGTGAGAAAGGGAACAGTTTGTAGGGAAAGGGTTGATTTCGAGCAATAAAGCCAATTTGGCTCATACCATTATAATTGTGGTTATACAGAGTAAGTGTTAACATTAATTGGTTACCCTTCCTGAGTGCCAAGGACTGCTCTAAAAGGTATAATCAGTCTTCACAACAGTTTGTGAAGTTTGTTCCTTTGAGCTCATCCATGTTTTGTGGATAAGGAAAGCAACATACAGAGGTGTTACATTGCGTGCCTGAGGTCACATAGCTAACACCTAATAGAAGTGGGATATTGGATCCCAGGTTTCAGGGTTTTAGAGACCTTATGCTTAACCCCTACTCTGTGTTACTTTTCAAAGGGATAGACTATAGAATATAATTACATACATGGAAAAATTATAATTCCATATTTTTTCTCTACTTCTGTCTTGTTAATGGGAGTATATGGCCTATTTTATGGGTAGCTCATAAGTTATTTAGGATATCTATAAATTTAAGCATAAGATACTATTTTAATTTTTAAAATTTGCCATGAGCATGTATATGTATGCATCAGTGGAGTAATTTAGATCTTCTGTGACTTAGATGTGATTTTGATCTTTGTGAGTTTTTACCTGATTTCAGGACCTACCTAGTCAATAAATTGATACTGATAAATTAATTCATAGTCCTCTTTGCAACTTGGTGAATTTTTAATAATACTAAGAAAGCCATACCTAGAAATTGCCAGTATATTTTACAAATTGCTTGTGGCAGTATAAAATATTTATTTACTATCTGAGGGCTACAATATAAAACAAAACCACAGGGTGGCAGCAACAACACATATTTTTCTCTGGAGGCAATTTTATGCCTTTTCTGAAAGGTAGTGGTGTGGGGAAACTTTTATGCTAAATTGAAGAGATGACATCTTTATTTCATAAAATCACCCACGCACCGAAGCTCTATAATTTGCTATAAGTAATTAGTGAGCAGTTTTAATAATTAGCTATAAGTAATTAGTGAGCAGTTTTAACTTGTAGACATCATATGACTGTTGTACAGGCCACTATGAACTTGTATATGTATTGTTTTTGTGAACCTTTTATCTCCCTCTTCTTTGATCCACTAGCCTAAACATACCTGCACGATGTGTATTCTTACATAAGTGAGATCCTTTATAATCTGGAAGGTAAGAAAAGATGTGAACAACCTCAAATCTGCTATTTGCTTTTTGAATGTAGCAAAAATCTACATAAACTCATTTTCATAATTACCCACTCTACTAAACCCTGGCTTGTCTCAGTTTATGCAAATGTAGCTAAAAGACAAAATGTGTATTGAGCACTTAGTTTACACATAATACCAGCTAATGTGTACTGATGACTTACTGTGCACCTAACACTGGTGTACAACCATACTCAGTCTCTATGACAATTCTGGGAGGCACCCACTGTTGGTACCATCCCCATTTTATGGCTGAAGAAACAATGTATAAGCAGCCCAAACACTGAACAAGAAGATGGTCAATTTGTGGCCAACAGACTCGTCTGTCAATTATAATGGATACCACAGAAAAGAGCTCCATATTACAAGGCAATTTGCATATGTAGACAGATGATTCATAGAACTTGGTGAGCCCCCATTACGATGACCTTCTTTCTATGTAAGAAGTGCCTTTAGTTCCTACCAGCAAAGCTGTATCCTCTATCTATTAACTTTATGCTTCACAGAATTGAACTCACAGGTAGTGGATTTAGTGGAAATGTTGGAAGTTATGGAGCAGCAGGTTTGAAAGTGGAGGGGCAGGTAAGAACCCAGCATGTCTGTTGGTCCATTTCAGGGAGTGAGAAGAAAACACAGTGAAAAAGAATGATTTAGGCCGGGCGCGGTGGCTCACGCCTGCAATCCCAGCACTTTGGGAGGCTGAGGCGGGCGGATCAACTGAGGCTGGGAGTTGGCGACCAGCCTGACCAACATGGAGAAACCCCATCTCTACTAAAAATACAAAATTAGCCGGACCTGGTGGTGCATGCCTATAATCCCAGCTACTCGGGAGGCTGAGGCAGGAGAATCACTTGAACCCAGGAGGCGGAGGTTGTGGTGAGCCAAGATCGCGCCACTGCACTCCAGCCTGGACAACAAGAGTGAAACTCCATCTCAAAAAAAAAAAAAAAAAAAGAATGATTCATTATTGCATAAAGTGGCTGGGTTTCTGGGGCTCTGTACCAACTGACCAGATCAAATTCAATGAACTGCTAGCTTGGGAGCTTTGCTAAACACACTGAAGGCAACCTTATAGCAATCCTATTACATTATTCTGTGACCAAGGATAATGTAAGACATTATCTGTTTTATTTGGCACAGGAGTTATATAGGTTGTATGCTCCCAAATGACCACACGGTGGGGTAGGATGATCCTCAACTGACTGTTCAACAAACGGGAATTTTTCTATTGGTTTTAACATCTGAATCTTGTGCATCTGTTAATTTGTAGTTTAGCTCTTTTTGTGGTCATAGATTAAAACCAAAACCCCAGCTAATGACCTTGTACACATCTTTGTCATATTGTGCCATGTGATACGTAATGTCACAGACCTTGGATTGCATTGCAAAGCCACCTTTCTTCCATCTTCCTGACATTGAAATACACTATTTCCCGTGCTCCACCCTGACTCTGATTCACTTTGGCTAGTGGTGGGGGAGGTCGTCTCCCTAGCAGAAATAGTGAATACAGGAGAAAGCAAGGGTTGGGAAGGGCCACTGGGAAAGGGGGGGAAATGTGAGTTCTTCTTTGGGCAGTAATATGGTTTAGATGTTTGTCCCCTCCAAAATTATGTTGAAATGTGACCTCCAATGTTGGAGGTGGGCCTAGTGGGATGTATTTGGGTCATGGGGTCAGATCTCTTACGAATGAATGGCTTAGTGCCATCCCCTTGTTGATGAGTGAGTTCTTGCTCAGTTAGTTCACATGAGATCTGGTTGTTTAAAAGAATCTAGACTCTCCCCCCACCCCTGCCCCCACTCTTTGCTCCCTCTCTGGCCATGTGACCTGCCTGCTTTTCCTTTGTCTTCTGCTGTGAGCAAAAGTTCCCTGAGGTCTCCCCAGAAGCCTAGCAGATGCTGGTGCCATGCTTGTACAGCCTGCAGAACTGTCAGCCAAATAAACCTCTTTTCTTTATCAGTTACCTAGTGTCAGGTATTCCTTTGTAGCAATGCGAAAGTGAGAGGTGACAATGTGCTAGCAGCTTTCGCTCGCTCTCAGCCTCCGCATCCACTCTGGCCGCGCTTGAGGCGCCCTTCAGCCTGCTGCTGCACTGTGGGAGCCCCTCTCTGGGCTGGGCAAAGCAGGGGCCGGCTCCCTCTGCTTGCTGGTTGGTGTGGAGGGAGAGGCGCCAGCGGGAACCAGGGCTGCACATGGTGCTCACAGGCCAGCGCGAGTTCCAGGTGGGTGCAGGCTCGGTGGGCCCGCACTCTGAGCAGCCGGCTGGCGCCGCTGGCCCCGGGCAGTGAAGGGCTTAGCACCCGGGCCAGCAGCTGCGGAGGGTGCACTGGGTCCCCCAGCACTGCCTGCCCGCCTGCGCTGTGCTCGAATTCTCGCTGGGCCTCAGCCACCTCCCTGCGGGGCAGGGCTCTGGACCTGCAGCCCGCCATGCCCGAGGGCCCCCCCGCCACCACGGATGGCCAAGCCTCCCCTAGAGGGGAGCCGCCCCCTACTCCCCAGCGCCTGGTCCCATCGACTGCCCAAGGGCTGAGGAGTGTGGGCACGTGGCACAGGACTGGTGGGCAGCTCCACCCAAAGCCCCCCACACCTGATCCACTAGGTGAAGCCAGCTGGGCTCCTGAGTTGGGTGGGGACTGGGAGAACTTTCATGTCTAGCTGGAAGATTGTATATGCACCAGTCAGCACTCTGTGTCTAGCTCCGGGTTTGTGGATGCACCAGTCAGCACTCTGTATCTAGCTAATCTGGTCGGGACTTGGAGAACTTTTATGTCTAGCTAGAGGATTGTAAATGCACCAATCAGCACTCTGTGTCTAGCTCACGGTTTGTAAACACACCAATCAGTGCTCTGTGTCTAGCTAATTTAGTGGGGACTTGGAGAACTTTTGTGTCTAGCTACAGGATTGTAAATGCACCAATCAGCACTCTGTGTCTAGCTCAAGGTTTGTAAATGCACCAATCAGCACCCTGTCAAAACGGACCAATCAGCTCTCTGTAAAATGGGCCAATGAGCTCTCTGTAAAATGGGCCAATCAGCAGGATGTGGGTGGGGTCAGATAAGGGAATAAAAGCAGGCTGCTAGGCTCTCTTTCCATGCTGTGGAAGTTTTGTTCTTTTGCCCTTGGCAGTGAATCTTACTGTTGCTTGCTTTTTGGGTCTGTTTTGTGTTTATGAGCTGTAACACTCATGTCAAAGGTCTGCAGCTTGGCTCCTGAAGCCAGCAAGACGACGAACCAGATGGGAGGAAGGAACAACTCCAGATGTGCTGCCTTTAAGAGCTGTAACACTCATCGAGAGAGTCCGCGGCCTGATTCTTGAAGTCAGCGAAACCAAGGACCCACCAATGTGGGACACAAAAGGACTTAGAACAGGCAGAAAAGTTTGTGATGATGGCAGTGGACATATGGACCATGTGATATGTAATATACGTTATCACCCAACCAGAAATTATATACTGACATACTGCAAGGGGCCAGGCAGGTGAACATGTGAAGCCTCTTGGGCAGGGATGGGGAGCTGTGGCCAATGGCAAGGAAAGCCCAGGAACAGTTTGCTCCTCAGATCCGGCCTTTTCATGCCATGTGGCAACACTGGTGGTCTTTTATTGTGAGAGAATCCAGAAATCCAGATTTTTGTGGAAAAAAATTCCTGATTTTAAAGTATCAATTAAAATGGTTATTTTTATTTATTTATTCATTTTTTTGAGACGGAGTTTTGCTCCTGTTGCCCAGGCTGGAGTGCAATGGCACAATCTCTGCTCGCTGCAATCTCTGCTTCCCACGTTCAAGCGATTCTCCTGCCTCAGCCTCCTGAGTAGCTGGGATTACAGGCATGTGCCACGATGCCTGGCTAATATTGTATTTTTAGTAGAGATGGGGTTTCCCCATGTTGGTCAGGCTGGTTTTGAACTCCTGACCTCAGGTGATCTGCCCACCTCAGCCTCCCAAAAAATACTGGTTAAAATGTTTAAGAATTTTCAGGTTAAATAAACCATGTCCTGTGTGCTGAAATTAATCTAGATAAATTAATCTACACATACTCCGTACAACTCACACAATCAGTAGCCCTCCCTTGACTCTTCTTCTTAATAGACCATAACATTACTAAACACCAGAAGGAATTTTGTGCAGTTTTATTTCACCTCTGCCTTGTGGCATTCCTTCAATAAGCCTGTGTTGAGCGTCTTCTTGTCAGGCGTTACTCTACTCCGTGGAGAATAAGGACTGTACGTGTAGGGAAGGAAAATATCTTTTCCTCACCCATCCTAGGTTCATGGCTGAGGCTCCTATAACAAAATACAGATTAACAAGAAAAAGGCATACATATCTATTTATTTGTTTGTTTATTTAGGAGGCAGAGTCTTGCTCTGTCACCCAGGCTGGAGTGCAGTGGCGCAATCTTGGCTCGCTGGAACCTCCACCTCCCAGATCCAAGCGATTCTCCTGCCTCACCCTCCCAGGTAGCTGAGACTACAGGCACGCGCCACTATGTCCAGCTAATTTTTTTTGTATTTTGGTAGAAACGGGTTTCACCATGTTGCCCAGGCTGGTCTCGGATTCCTGAGCTCAGGCAATCTGCCCACCTCGGCCTCCCAAAGTGCTAGGATTACAGGTGTGAGCCACTGTGCCCAGCCAAATTTATTTAATGTTTTATGTGACATGAGAATCTTCATAAGAAATGAAGACCCAAAGAAATGGTTAAGCCAGTATATTTTTATGTTAGGTTTGATGAACAGTGGACCGTTGAGAAATGTGATAAGACAAAGAGGGCATGATCTGATGGCAACAAACAGGGAAACTTAAAAGACTGTTTGCTCAGATTCCTTTGTGATCCTTCATCTTTAGAGATAAGGACACTCCTTTTCTCTGGGTGTAGAGGACACCTCTTCCATAAGGGTCTTATGTCTTACTTTAGGGAAAGGTGAAAAAAGAAATTCTTCCTAGGTTTTATGATCTACTCCAGGGAAGAAGGGGGGCAGAGGAAACTCAGAGACTTCCCTGTTTCTGCCAGTTTTCAGGGTGCCAAAGTGTTATATTTTGGAATAGCATGTCCTGAACCCCATCCTGTGTTATCTGCCCTGTCATATATAGGTGTCTTGATTCTCTTGTCTCTGACAAAATTTTTAATTCCCAGTGGTCACGAACCATAGTGCTTTAGTTTTAAATATAGTATGGAGCTTAATTTGGAATCATGAGAGTAAAAGGCTCTGAATAAAGATGTTAATTGATTTATGTACCATTTGTGCTTATTCAAAAGACATCTCTGTCTCTATTTTGCAGAAAGAGACATAAAGATGTTTTTATTACGTGGAACAACTGGTAGAGCAATAGAAATACAGTCAATCTCATTCTCCCATCTGTTCTTATTTGCCCCTAGAACTAAAACTTCATCAGATGGTTCGGTGTTAAATGTGATAAAAATGTCAGCACTTTAGACTCATATCTGGCTTCCTGTTGGGCACCTCCACATGTCCTCTGCTGTTATCACAAATTTTGCTGCTCAACTCAGATCTCACATTCCCACATCCCAATTTCTTTTATATTCCCCATCTCAGCTGGGAGACTACCTTCCCCACCATCAGCCAGGTGAGTCACAGATCAGGAAGGAGCACTGGGCATGGCATACTTTAATGTCAGGAGCATGGAAGAAAGCTGGAATTGCAATGCAACCCAGGGTCTGAGAAAGACACAAACAGTGCAGTCTTGGACCATACTGACTTCTAGTCACATACAAATCACTCATATTTTTCAATTTTGACATTAGGACGAAGTATTTGTCAAGGTGGTAGGATGGGACATATTTTATTGAGCAGTTGTGTTTGCTTATTTATAACTTTTGCTCATTTAGATATGTGATACGTGGTATTCCATTTGTACTCTTGTACCAGTACCCACAACTGTTAGTAAGGTCAAAGTGATGCTGGTGGTGGAGGTGACAATTTCTTACCTGGACCCAGTGGCACTATGGATGGGAGATTCCTGCTTGTTGTGAGAGATGTCTGAGGCTTCCTTTGCCAGATTCTAAGATACAACCAGAGAAAAAAGAAGACCAGAATAGGAGTAGGGTTACCTGCCGGCCCTCCTCTGCTCCCCCTGAGGTTAAAAGGCTTCCTACATGCCTCTGCCTAGTGGCAGTGAGCAAGGATGGCTGGCATGGATTCACAAATGGAACAGGAGACTGTGAAAATGTATCCCAAGAGATATTTTGGGACTTGCTTACTTCTAAGAGAATAGTTGCAGTCTAGCAAAATGGGGGCACTGGGAGTGGGGACTAGACATGAAAGACTTGGAGATAGTGGGGAGAAAGGAGTAACATGGAGCAGAGAAGACAGGTACAAACAGGATAGTTTTCAATGACCTCAGAAATGTTCTATTGTCCCACCCAGAAGGTGTAGTGAGATCAATGCCTTCTTAAGGTATAGAGAATGAAAAAGCCAGTGAGGGAGAGACTGATTTATTACTGGGTGCAGGGGGCACCTGATATTCAATCCCATCTCTTACATCTGTATTATTTAGGTTTTTTCCCTAAAAACCCTGGTAAAGAACTGCTTGAAGTGTGTGTGTCTGTGTGTGTGTGTGTGTGTGTGTGTGTGTGTGTGTTTCTTAGGCAAGATGCCCATCAACAGAGGAAATAGATTACCTGAAATCTCTACTCTGTCTCTCCACAAGAGCAGGCATTAGAGACCCATCCCAGCAAAAAAAATGCAGATCCATACTATTGGTTTAAAGACAAGAAGCCTAATGGGATCATAGGTCTGGAATAAAGAGCTGACCAACCTTCCTCTCTGCCCCTATGGTCCCCACAGTGGTGCATGTCACCTAAGGCAGGGTGCAAGGTAATCTGTTGAAATACAGGGGAAGCTGAACTTCTATTTTTCATTTTTTCCTTTAAAATTTCTATTTTTGTACATCATTTACAAAATGTATGGCATGTCAGTACATTAATAATTAAATATATATCATGCTCTAAATTTTTTACTGATGGTGTGGACAAATGTTGGAAGATCATAGTACTCATAGATAAAGTTCACACTCCCTTCATACAGCTTACAAGAAGTCCTTACATTATTAGGCTAAATGCCTATCTCTCCAGCTCATAACTCACCATGCTTTGTTTGCATGCTCAGGCAATTCCAGACTGTCTGCAGTTTCTGCCACACATCAAGAAGTGAGGAAAGCAGGCCGGTTGCGGTGGCTCATGCCTGTAATCCCAGCACTTTGGGAGGCCGAGGCGGGCAGATCACCTGAGGTCAGGAGTTTGAGACCAGTCTGGCCAACATGGCAAAACCCCGTCTCTAATAAAAATACAAAAAAATTTGCCGGGTGTGGTGGTGCATGCCTGTAATTCCCAGCTACTTGGAGAGGCTGAGGCATAAGAATCACTTGAACCTGGGAGGCAGAGGTTGCAGTGAGCCGAGACTGCGCCACTGCACTTCAGCCTGGGCGACAGAGGGAGACTCCGTCTCAAAAAAACCAAAAGACCAAAAGAATAAAAAAAGAAGTGAGGAAAGCAGAAAATAGGACAGAGGAAAAGTTAAGCAAAGATGAAGTTTCTGCTGTAGTTCAGCCTTAGCCTGCTCCCACCGAGTTTGAATGGCATACCAAAGTTGGCATCACCTTAGGATGAGGGGGCCAGGTTTTGCAGGCCTGTATGTCAGCCCTCACCTGTGAATGCCTTTGGAGGAAGTCAGAGTCTTCCGGAAACTTCCAGGTGAATAGCAATTCTTCAGAGAAGGCTGCAGTTGTGAGCCATTAGTGGCTATCATTCACAGCAGCTGGCGAACTTGGTGTACCTATCTGGTAAGGGTTTGGGGTGGAAGAAGCACCAACAGCATTACTGCATTTTGCCAGACTGATTTCTACAAATGTGTAATGAGCTTTACAGGAATGGTAATCATGCAAGAAAACTGTTGTTTTATTCTTCATCAACATGCTAATTGTAAGTCTGGCAACTTTTTTAGTCTTGTGTGTTTTCCCCTTTAAATACAGTTTTATTTTTGGTTATCCAGCCCTTCTAAAACCTAACTTATTTTCTAAATACCTTAGTTTCTGAATCTTTCTTTGCACCTAGATAATTTCTGTTAATCTGTGAGACTTACCTTAGATGCCGGTTTCTCTGGGAAGCCTCCTTCAATCATCTACAGCTGGGATACTTTCCTGCCACTCAGCTCTCATAAAATCTGATGTAGTCTGATTTTCATGACACTATAGCAATGTTGTAGAATTATCTAGCTATATGAATTATCTAGCTACGTGTCTGAGTCAGTCAGGATTGGTCAGGAAAACAGAAGGCACTCCGTGTTTTGGGGGCAGAAAGGGTTTGTTATTAGGAATTAGGGGCTTGCTTGACTATTGGAAAGGCTGGGGAGTAGTGAAGACCAGGCAAGCCAGCGGGAAGGAAGCGGACACTGGAGATCTTATCCTGAGGCAACAGGGCAGCGGGTTCTCAGGAACTTAACAGCAAGCTGCTGCAAGTCTTAGGAATCTCTAAGAGGTCCCCCAGCGTCTCACGGTGCAGCAGCAACACAGATGGGTTCTCAAGAGCTCACCAGGGAGCCACTCTGAGCCTCTCATTTTCTTCAGTCAGGATGCAGTTGCCTCTAGAGAATAAAACTTCTCTATTTCTTCTGTCTTCCACATCTTGAGTGACTTCTATGGGAAACTCCGTGTCCTAGGTAAATGGATTGTGGGAGAAGACCTTAAAAGGGATGATGGTGATGCGCAGTTGACAATAGATGATTCAGCATAGTATCTCATGATAAATGTCAAGAGACAAAATTGCAACAAGTTTAGTTAAATGATCAAATTGGCTTTTATTTGTGATTCATGAGTCAGGTAGCATCTCATCTAAGAAACAGAGTGGTGCTCTGTTGGGCGTGATGGAAGAGTCAGTTTTTAAAAGCTTGAGCAGGAACAAGGAAACAGCATAATACAAAAAGCAGATTGGTTAACAGCAGGTTACCTTCCTTGTAAGGGTTAAAGCAGAGGGGACTTTCTGATCATATTGGCTAAAACTGGCCTGTTTGGGGTTTGGCTATTATTTCTTTTTCTCTTTTAATTTCTCAGAAGGTCAGATTAACAACTTAGTTTCAATTTGGTGATATGGAACTTTAGCATGGGTTACTCCATTTTGGTTTGATCTGTTGGGGCCTAGTGCAGGGAGCTTAGTTCAAACCAATGGCCTTCTAGAAATTTTACTTAACAGAGTGTATGAGCTTTTCACCAGCTGGAGAATGTATCTTTCTCATGTTTATGTTCCCAAAGTCTAGTGCAGTTCCTGGAAAATAAAGGTGTTCAATAAATGTTCATTAAATAACAGAATAAGTGATGAGGAGAGGACAATAGCTCCCCAAAGTCAGATAATTTTGGTTATGTTATAAACGATGTTATCAGAGATCAGTAGTTCATCTCCAGAAGAGCCTCGTGTTTAGTAATTTACGGTAGAGATAACGGCAATTCAGGTTGATATTTTTTCTATGCTGACCAAAACTGTCACATTTCTGAAAGCTAAAATCCTAGGTAGAAGGAAACCTTTGCAATTCAGGGCACTGAAGCTGTTGAGGCATGTTAGGCCAATCTCTGCAATATTATTACCTCTTTTCAACTTTTTCTTAAATTTCTTCCAGCGCTCAGGAACCATGTGTATATTAAGTGAGCTGCCACGAGGTGGCACTCTTGCTTATTTGTTGTAGTAGGCCACTGCCTTCTACACAAGGGATGTGATGGAGCCAGAAATGTTAGTCTTAAAGCGACTAAACTGCCCCTCAAATTAAAACATTGTCGTTAGTTGAAGTAAGATACACACATTGCTTCAAATAAGAATTAAAGCAAACGCGAAAATGAAAGAGAAAATCAGAGCCTAATGTCGTTGTCTATAATGCTTTCACCATCTGAGTCACTTGTCAATTGGCACTAGAATCTTGTTCTCCAAGGTGTCCCCAGGGGCTCTTCTTCCCAGTTACTCTGTCCCTGCTTCGTGTGTAAGGTGGGATGATTCAGAAGTTTATTGTCTTATCTTACTTCTGAAGTCTATGGGGGACTCAATTTTCTTCTTTTTTGTTTGTTTTTGAGACAGTACCTCCCTCTGTCATCCAGGCTGGAGTGCAGTGGTGTGATCACGGCTCACTGCAGCCTCGACCTCCATCCAGGGCTCCAGCGATTCTCCCACCTCAGCCTCCTGAGTAGCTGGGACCACAGACATGCACCACCGTGCCTGGCTAATTATCTTATTTTTTTTTTTTTTTTTATAGAGACAGGGTTCCCCTATGTTCCCCAGGCTTGTCTTGAACCCCTGGGCTCAAGCTATCCTCCTGCTTTGGCCTCCCAAAATGCTGGGATTACAGGCATGAGCCACCACAGGTGGCCTGGAATCACTTCTCTATGGGAGAAAAACCCCAGCAGGTGAGTAGGCTTTTAAATTAGCTCAAATTATGGCTAAGAAAGTGTTGGTCATGACCAATAGAGGCACACTTGCTGTAGCATGACTGAAATCCTTCCCGTTAAGATCCACAAATTTCCTTCCAACCAAATTAAAGCTTTCCATAGGACTTACACTTTTTTTTGAAATCACAGAAGTAATCCATGCTCATTGTATAAAACCCCCGAAATAAATATAAACAAAGAGAAGAAAGAAAAACATAATTAATCTCAGCCTCAATAACCAATAGCATTTTAGGGAATGTCCTTTATTACCAATTTATTTATACATGTGATTGACTTGGTATACTCTTAGTACATACTCTGTTCCAGGCACCATGCCAGGTTTTGAGTTTGCAAAGAAGAACAAGATTTTCTCTACAAGACAAATATAGCCCCCTCTCTCTGATTATATAAACACATGCATATATAAGTTTTATAAAAAGGTCATATTTTACAAACAGTGGGCCCTCTGTGTCTGCCATTCTGCATTCATGAGTTCAACCAACCACAGATCAAAAATGTTTGGAAAAAATTTTTACAGTACAATAGAAAGTAATACAAATAAAAACCAATGTAGTATAACAACTACTTACATAGCGATTGCAATGTATTAGGTATTATGAGTAATTTAGAGAAGATCTGATGTATCTGAGAGATTGCGTGTAGGTTAGATGCAAATACTATGCTAGTTTATATCCGGGACTTGAGCAACCTTGAATTTTGATATCCACTGGGATCCTGGGACCAATCTCCATGGGTGTGGAGCCTTGCGTTTCCCCATTAATGATATACTAAGATCATTTTTCCATGTCCCTAAATACTTTTCAAAGGCATTATTTTAATTTCATAATATTTTATTTTCTAGATATACCATAGTTTATTCATTAAATTTTCCTATTCTTGAAAATATACGTGTATCTACTCTTTTACTACAAAAAATAATGATTCATGACTATGAACATATAGTCAGAATGAATAAGATCTAGTATTTAATAGCACAACAGGGTGACTACAGTCAAAAATAACCTATTGTACATTTCAAATTAACTAAGAGTATAACTGGATTGTTTATAACAGAAAGAAAGGATTCATGCTTGAGATGATGGACACTTCCATTTATCCTGATTTAGTTATGCATCATATGCCTGTATCAAAATATCTTATATACTCCATAAATACATACACCTACTATATACCCACAAAATAAGAAAAAGAGATTCAGTGAACAATATTGTAGCCAATTTTTTGCCTGCAACCACAATTACATTCCTAGTCTAAATTGCCAAAGTTGGGGTTGATGGATTAAATGACTTTTAAAATTTTAAGGCTTTGCTAGCTATGTCTAAATTTCCTTCATAAGGGCAACATCAATTTTGTCCCTATTCTTGTACTTCTGTGAATCCTCACCAATACTGAGTGTTTTCATTTAAATATATTTTCACTGTAGGTAAAACATATAAATATATTTATATTTAATTGTTGTTTAAATGTATATTGTTTATACCTGATTACTAATGAGGTCGAATATGGTTTTTTATGTTATTAGCCATTTGTCTTATTGTTTGCTTGCTAATTCCTCAGTTCAGTTTTTTATTGGACATTAGTTTTTTCTCATTGCTATGTAGGGATTTTTTGTATATTTATTAACCCCTGCAGTTATGTTTCTAGTTTCATATTTGTATTTTATTTTGTATTCTGTTTTTGTCATACAGAACTTAACATTTCATAAGTATTTTTTATTTTATCTTATTTTTTGATAGGCATTTTTCCTTTAAAGTTTGTAATTTTAGATTAGAAAATCATTTAGGCATCATTTAGAAAGAAGAGTAGAAGCAAGGATGAACATTTTTATTTGCTCATTGGAAATTATCCTCTAGAATTAGCTCTCTTTTCTTTGATTTAGAATTTCTCTAAAGAATACTTGACCCTGCAATAGGGAAGTTACTAAATCCTTCAACTTCTTTTGGGAAGCCTTCCCAAAGATTGTTAACTGGGAGAGAGGGCAGCACTGTTTCCTTGGGGGCCATTCTGAAACATATGGGAGCGTTTCCGGTTCCCATACATATATGACTGGGACAATCTACTGGCACTTAGTGGGTAGGATCCAGGAATGCTAAACATCCTGTAATGTACAGAACAATGAAGAATTGTTACTCCTGACTAAGAATAGCAGCTCCCATTGAGACAAACTGTTAGACTATCCAAAGACATCTTTAAAAAATACTGTTTCTTGAAAACATTGTATCAAAACACATTTCCAGCAGAGACGTGGTAGTATTTTTTTCCACAATGTATTTATATATGTACACGTAATGGATTGGATGAAATACATCAAACCTTTGCTTTAATAAGGTTTAAATTGCTTTATCCAATCTGTCAAGATAACATAGGCTTGAGTTGAGTAAGGTCACTAGACAGGTGACTGGTTATCAATTTGACTTATCAGGTAAGTTAAATTACTGATTTGCTCAGAAAGAGTTGCAGAGGGGTTGGAATTAATTAATTGGACTTGTAAACTGAGAGTAGTTATAATCTTAGTGATGCTAAAAAAAACGCTAGTGGGGATACCTCTCTTTCCCATTTCATCATGCTCTCATTCTGTATTCTTTAGTAAAGATTGTGACCTCATGGTTGCCAGTGCAACTGCTTTTGCTCAATATTATTTTTCTGATTGCTCTGGGTGCTGTTTGTACCAATGCAAATGTAGAGGGCAGGAAATAGACAAGTGTATTTTTATCTGTTAGTGCATCGTTCCTGGAAATATAATTATTTTGTTCACCTGAAACTGCCTTTGATCAAACAAGTTGGTATAAACCAGAGGGGTTTTTTTTGTTGCCAGCCGATGGCAGTGATTATTAACTTGTCATTCCAAATACAAGGTGTTGGTTTTACCCAGGAGTCTAAAGTGCTATATTAATTGCAGGGTTTATTGTGTTCTAGTAAAAATTAGTAAGAGTCACACACTGCCTTTGGGGGAGAGGACTGAATTTACATGCTTCATATAATGTCGTTTAAAATATTAGTTAACAAGACATGGAACACAGAAGAGTTATAAAATTTACTTTTATGCAAAATATTGAATAGTGACAAGGATTTAACAACAAAATTTGATTATTGTGACCAAATCAAGTAACATGTCTTGGAAAATTAGATTCTAAAATATACTTAGAATATGATAAACTTGTTCTTTAAGTTTTAGCTCCAGAGAAGGATGTAGCAGTAATGGTTGATTGTTCTTTGCAGGCACTGGCAAGATACATTCTGGAATACAGACAACAAATGATGCAGTCCAAATGGAAGGAATCATCAAAAAGGTAATGGAAATCAAACTACAAACACCACCTTCCCGTTACGTAAGTTCTTGGATAGTGTATGCAAATCTGAGGAAGATATAGTGGAGCTGTAGAAGTCTAGGAAGAGTCCACTAAAATGGTCAAAAGAAATGAACAGGAACCATGTTAAGGTGGACTCAAAGGATGAGTCTTCACCAAACAATAAAGGGGAAATGGGAATGTGATCAGAATGATTTTTTTCCATGGTCATTGGGCATTGGTTTACCTTCTAAAGGGGTTAATATATGCTTTCAGATTTGTACATTCATGCAATTTGCATATCAAGAGTGTGTAGAAGATAAAATTGCAAACATGTTGAAGGCAATGCATCTAAATAAGGTGTTTTCTAGTAAGTTTAAAAAGGGAGAAAATGAAAGTTTTGGAGATACATCCCATCTTCTGAGGTTGAAGTAACTGAGTGAAGATAGCTTTGCCTTTCTACAAATGACTGTGGGTTATGGAGACAGGTCACTTGAGCTAGAAGAACTCAAACCCCGTGCCAGAGATTATGTTTATATTTTTATCAGAATTACAATTCAGTTTGGAAAGGTAAATGCAAATCATTGTACTACCATGAGTCTAGAAAATTAATAGATTGAATTGACTCTTCAATTCACATATTGAATAGTCTTATTGGAGGTGTTCAGAGGAAGCTGGACAGATCTTATTGGAGATGCTAGAGAAGACTTATGCATTTGATGTGACCAGATTAGATTTGTGATTCTATGACTTACTCTTTTGAAAGGACTGTTAAGAGAGGAAAATGAAGATCAATCTTATGAGTAGTATGAACCTAAATATAAAATGTTTTGATTTAGGGCCAGGCGCAGTAGCTCACGCCTGTAATCCCAGCACTTTGGGAGGCCGAGGCAGGTGGATCACAAGGTCAGGAGATCAAGACCATCCTGGCTAACACAGTGAAACCCCGTCTCTACTAAAAATACAAAAAAATTAGCCAGGCGCGGTGGCAGGCGCCTGTAGTCCCAGCTACTCGGGAGGCTGAGGCAGGAGAATAGCGTGAACCTGGGAGGCGGAGCTGGCAGTGAGCCGAGATGGCGCCACTGCACTCCAGCCTGGGTGACAGAGCGAGACTCCGTCTCAAAAAAAAAAAAAGTTTTGATTTAGCAATAGACAATGGAGCTGCAAGTTCTCTTTATTTCTTTTATTTCTCTGTCTCCAAATTGAAATTACCTGATTTATTTATTCAGTAGATATTTGTAAAGCTCCTACTCTGAGCCAGCACTATAGGCCCACAGTAGTTTCTCAATACGTGTTAATTTAATGGACAAATTATAACTAGTAAGAGGACAGGGAAGATCAAACCATAGTTTCCCTCCTCACGTGGGCAGAAAGAAAATAATGAGGAAGAGAGGAACACAGTTGAAGAAATGGGCTATAGATCTACTGAGGAAATAACCATAACGTGAAGTCCTAAAAGTTTCCCTAAGTAATTCTTTGACACTATCCCATAAATTTTGAAATGTATTTTTATTGTCACCTGTTCAAAATACTTCCCAATTTCCCTAATGATTTCTTCTTTGACCTGTGGGTTTCTTAGAAGTATGTGATTTAGTTTTCAAGTATTTGGGGAATTTTCCAGCATTACTTTATTTGTTGATTTCCTATTTTATTTCTATTATGGTCAGAAAGCATTGTTTGTGTGATTTGAATTACTAAAAAATTATTAAGTTTTTAAAACTTTTATTTTAAGTTCAGGGGTACATGTGCATGTTTGCTATATAGGTAAACCCATGTCATGAGGGTTGTTTTGTCATCCAGGTATTAAGCCTAATACCAAATAGTTATTTTTTCAGATCTTCTCCCTCCTCCCATCCTCCACCCTTTGATAGGCCAGAGTGTGTGTTGTTTCTATGTGTCCATGTGTTCTCATCATTTAGCTCTCACTTATAAGTGAAAACATGTGGTATTTGGTTTTCTGTTCCTGCATTAGTTTGCTAAGGATAATGGCTTCCAGCGCCATCCATGTTGCTTCAAAGAACATGATCTCATTCTTTTTTATGGCTGCATAGTATTCGATGTTGTATATGTACAACATTTTCTTTATTCAGTCTACCCTTGATGGGCATTTAGGTTGATTCCATGTCTTTACTATTGTGAACAGTGCTGCAATGAACATGCATGTGCATGTATCTTTATGACAGAAGGATTTATATTCCTCTGGGCATATACCCAGTAATGGGATTGCTGGGTCAAATGGTAGTTCTGTTTTTAGCTCTTTGAGGATTCGCCAAACTGCTTTTCACAGTGACTGAACTAATTTACCTTCCCACTAACTATGCATTTTCTTTTCTGTGTAGCCTCACCAGCATCTGTTGTTTTTTGGCTTTTTAGTAATAGCCATTGTGACTGGTGTGAGATGGCACCTCATTGTGGTTTTGATTTACATTTCTCTAATGATCAGTGATGTTGAACTTTTTGTCATGTGCTTGTTGGCCACATGTATGTCTTCTTTTGAAAAGTGTCTGTTCATGTCCTTTGCCCACTTTTTAATGGAGTTATTTATTTTTGCTTGTTGAATTTTTAAGTTTCTTATAGATTGTGGATATTAGACCTTTGTCAGTTGCATAGTTTGCAAAAATTTTCTCCCATTTTGTAGGTTGTCTGTTTATTGACAGTTTCTTTTGCTGTGCTGAAGCTCTTTAGTTTAATTAGATCCCATTTGTCAGTTTTGCCTTTGTTACAATTACTTTTGGCATCTTTGTCATGAAATCTTTGCCATTCCTATGTCTAGAATGATACTGTCTAGGTTGCCTTCCAGGTTTTTATAGTTTTGGGTTTTACATTTAAGTCTTCAATCCATCTTGAGTTGATTTTTGTATATGGTGTAAGGAAGGGATCCAGTTTCAATCTTCTGCCTATGGCTAGCCAGTTATCCCAACATCACTTATTGAATAGGAAGTCCTTTCCCCATTGTTTGTTTTCGTCAGCTTTGTCAAAGATCAGATGGTTGTAGGTGTGTGGCCTTGTTTCTGGGTTCTCTATTCTGACCCATTTGTCTATGTGTCTGTTGTTGTACCAGCAGTACCATGCTATTTTGGTTACTGTAGCCCTGTAGTATGGTTTAAATTTAGGTAGTGTGATGCCTCCAGCTTTATTCTTTTGCTTAGGATTGCCTTGGCTATTCAGGCTCTTTTTTGGTTCCATATGAATTTTAAAATAATTTTTTCTTTTCTTTTGAGTGACTGTACAGAATGGGACTTTTGGATTTGGGTAGTCACTTAGTATATTGCCAGCTGAAGTAAAACTAGCTGCTAGCGCTGCTGTAATAAACAACCCACAGATCTCAGGGCTTAACATAATAAGAGTTTTTATATTTTTCATAGCCTAAATAGTAAGGGGCAGCTGTTTCTTTAATGATTGAGGTACTCAGTCTCCTTCATCTAGTGGCTTTATCATCCTATAAGTTCTTTTCAAATTTCTGCACTGGAACCTCTGCATTCAGTTGCCTAATGAGCAAAGAGAAAGAATATGAAGATGATATAAGAAGTTACAGGAGTCAATTTTGAAAGTGTTTTATAATACTTCTGCTCACTTTCCACTAATCGGACTCCAGTCACATGGCCCAACATAGTAAGGTGGGCAGAAGATGTTGTTTAGGGGAGTTCTCAGGAAGAAGATAAACAACATGGATAATGAGGAGTGCTAGTGTTCTCAGCTGTAATAAGTTTACAATTATGAACTAGGCTATTAGATAAAGGCATATATTCCTTGAATATTTATACTTTCTGAAGTTATTGGTTACTTTCATCTCTAAACAGAACATCTTAAGCTTTCTTTCTGTAAAACTGCAGAAAATTTCAATAAAGTCCTTATAGGATTGCTGCTTGTCACGTCTCACCCAATAGCTGTTCCTGGCTTTTGATGTTTCATCTCTGCTACTGCAGGCTGACCCAATTTGCTATAAATATGAGCACAGCTCCCTTTCTTCATTCTCTAAGACCACACCAATGCAAGCTAGACAATAGGTAGTAGTGATTATCAGCAAAGCTTTATTGAAGGCCTAGATGTACAATCAAGGGGGCATTCCAACATGGAAAAGAAAGGAATTCAATTTGCTGTTTCAAAGCTCCAGCAACCAAACCCTACCATGGAAGTTTCTCTGCAGATCTTAGGATCTGACCTATTGGCATGAATCTAGAGGCCATTCAAAGGCTGTCTCCCAATTTCTTCTTTCTCTTATCCCAAAGTCCTTCCGTAAACAAACAAACCAAACAAATAAACAACCTTTTCTCAGCTGCCAGAAGAAATCAGCAAAATGCTCACTTAAGAATACCATACCTATTGGCTAAGCAACCAATCAAGCAACAACAAAAGCTATGGGAAATAGCTTTTCTGCCAAAAGGAATCATCTTTTACCTCATTATGCTGGAAAATTCCAACCACTTTAAGACTCATTATTTCCCATACAAAGTAGTCTTTTGTTCTTGCTTTGTCCATCTAAAAAGGCTTATTTATTTATTTATTTATTCATTTATTTTGAGATGGAGGCTTGCTCTGTTGCCCAGACTGGGGTATAGTGGCATGATCTCGGCTCACTGCAGCCTCCACCTCCAGAGTTCAATCAATTCTCCTGCCTCAGCTTCCCAAGTAGTTGGGACCACAGTCGTGCACCACCATGCCCAGCTAATATTTTTTTGTATTTTTAGTGGAGACTGGCCAGGCTAGTCTCGAACTCCTGACCTCAGGTGATCCGCTCGCCTCAGCCTCCCAAAGTGCTGGGATTATAGGTGTGAGCCACCACGCCCCATCACAAAAAGCCTTTAAATAACTTCCCCAAATAACAATTTTCTCCCTCAAGTGCTCTCCTACTTCTTAGAAAAATGATTCCTCATACCCCCTTGCTTTGTTTTTCTGTTTGATTCCCTCTGACATTATTTCTCCTTATACCAGTGGTATATTCCAGTAAGGCTTTTATTATAACTTTAGGAAATGTTTAAAAAGCTAAAGGAAATCTGAACTTTCAGACAATCGTTAGGAAAATGGTGCAGACATTCTCAACCTTGTCTGCACATTAGAATCACTGGGGGAGCTTCTAAAAATCTTGATCCTCAAACCACACTCCAGAACAATTAGATTAGAAAGAGGGAGGAGACGAGAGTTAGATATCTATTACTATACTTTTGAAATTTCTTCATGAGATTCCAATGTGCTGTCAAGATTGAAAACTACTGGATTAGAGAGACCCATCAGCAATTTAAAGGAGTTTACTTTCAGATGATGGTTAAATTACAACCAGGTATATGTGTTTTCAGAAGTAGAGAGCTAGGTATACCTTTAGAGTGATTTCTCTAGGCAAATAGCCTACAATTCCCTTGGATTATCACTGTTTGAAGATGCTGACAGTAGAATATGATGTATTGGCTTCCATGTGGATTTAGATTGCTGTTTTTTTCCACAAGCAATAGCATCAACCATGATAATAACTTGGCTGTCAAATATGCACATTTCAAACCCGGGAATGATTCCCATTATCAGTTAAATTTTATCATGTAGGGGTAATTAAGACATTTTACAATAAGTATAATTTAAAGTAAGGAAATCGTATTAAATTTCCCATGGCTAAGATTATTAGACAACTAGTAAAGCTTTTAGAAGCAATGACATGAAGGAAATGCAAGAACAATTAAATAACTTTACAGATATTCTAAATTCTCAGCTAGTATATAGCTCTATGTGGTATTAATAAATTAACATTAATTTTCTGTGCCCAGGATTATCTTCCCAAAATAATGAAAATTGTCTGAATTCCACCTTTTCTACAATTAAATAGCTGTTTACGAAGTATATTAGCCCATTTTCATACTGCTATGAAGAAATACCCAAGACTGGGTAATTTATAAAGAAAAAGAGGTTTAATGGACTCACAGTTTCACATGGCTGGGGAGGCCTCACAATCATGGCAGAAGGTGAAGGAGGAGCAAAGCACATCTTACATGGCGTCAGGCAAGAGAGCATGTGCAGGGGAGCTGATCTTTGTAAAACCATCAGATCTTATTCGCTAACCATGAGACTTATTCACTAACATTGAGAACAGTATGGGAAAACCTGCCCCCATGATTCAATTACCTCCCACCAGGTCCCTACTATAACATGTGGCGATTATAGGAGCTACAATTCAAGATGAGATTTGGGTGGGGACACAGCTAAACCATATCACAAAGGAATTGGAGAATTTTGTATGTATATATTCTATGTATTGCTTTCAAGATTTTTATTCATTTATTTTTTTAAGATGGGGCCTCACTCTGTTGCCCAGGCACTATAGTCTCCAACTCCTAGGTTCAAGCAATTCTCCCACCTTAGTGTCTGTTTGGGCTCCTGACTAGCTGGGACTACAGGCAAGTGCCACCATGGCTAGCTACAAGATGTCTTCCTTACCCTAAAAGTACATTCAACTCTTACTTATCAGGGACTGATTAAATGGCTGCCTTGCTTCTGTTGTTCCCATTCTTATCATTCCACTTCTGTCTGGGATATCAATACATTTTAGTCTTCCAAATCAGAAACTTTCAAGTCATCTTTGACTTTTTATTCTGCTCCCTTCCCAAACTCCAGGGCCATTAAAATAAATTATTTCTCCCTTTGGAATATCTTTCAGATGTTGTGCATCATCTACATTTCAGCTGCCCCTTTGGAGAATAGGCTTTTATTACTGAGCTTCCTAGCTGGTCTCCCAGTCTTCATCAGTCTCTCTCTTTTGAATTAACCCTGCTTTTCTATGAATTTTACCTTCATAGTGATCCCTTTCAGCAAAGCCACAAATTCTAAATCCCTTAGCCTGCTTCTTAAGGCCTTTCATAAGGAGATTTTTCCCTGAGTCTCCAACCTATTTCCTGCTATTCCAACACCCATCTGGGCTGACAATGTAGATTTTCCATAGGAAAGTCTAAAAGATTTTTTTAAAGGGGAGATGATGCTTACAGATAATTATTAGGTAGTTTAAAAGTTGTTTTCAATGCTGCACAATTCCCTGAAGATGCAGTCTAGTTGATATACAAAATACAATTTATTTATTTCCTCTAGAACCAATTGCTCTGTTCCTTGGGTAAATCACTTGGCCACTTGCCTTGATTATAAGGAAATGATAGTTAACCCCTGATCCCCATTTATTTCTTTAACAATGAGCAATCAAAGGAGATGGTAGGCAAATAGATGTGGGACTCATGAGAAGTTTATGAGTCAAAAAGATGTTATTGTTGGTTTTGAAATGCATGCGAAGCTCATCCATTAAAGAATCAGCTCCTCCCACTCTCAGGAAGATAGCACTAGAGGTACTGATTAGTGTGCCTGCTCCCCTCTGCTTCTTTAACTCTATGGAATTGCCCTAGTCTTCAATCCTTGCTGAAGAAACAGGCTCAGGGGATCAAGTTTTTTACTTTGTAACCTACTTTTCCCAGTTTTTTGGACCCGGGGTGAGTGGGCAATGTATGTTGGGCTCCTATAACAAAGTACCATAGACCGAGTAGCTTATAAACAACAGAAATTTATTTCTTACATTTCTGGAGGCTGGAGGTTCAAGATCAAGGTGCTGGTAGATTCAGTGTCTAGAGAGGGTCGGCTTCCTGGTTTGTAGACCTTCTAGCTGTGTCCTCACATGGTAGAAGAGGATAACTGTGGTCTCTGTAGCCCCTAATACGGGTACTAATCCCATTTTTCTTCAGGGTTCCACCCTTATGCTCTAATTACCTGCCAAAGGCCCTAACGCCTAATACCATTACATTAGGGATTAGATTTCAACATGCGAATTTCGGAGGATGCAAACATTCAGTCCATAGCTGACAGTAAACCTAAAGATAGCTCAATCACAGACCCCAGCCAGTGGCCTATGGCTTAGCTGACTTAATTATATTTACTCTTCAGGGAGTTTGAACTAAGTAACATCAAGAGGCTTGGAAAGTTAATGGTGGTAGCTGAAGGATGCAAAAAAATTAGTATTTTTAACAACAATTTCCTCAACATTTTGCTCATTTTATTTCATTTACCACCTCCACTTTCTTCTCTTAGATTTTAAAAGCAAATCCCAGATACCATGTTATTTCATCTCTAAATACTAAAAGTTTTTTAAAAAAATGTTTTTATAGAATAGTAATTTTTAAACATTGTCTGATACCCAGTCCACATTCAGATTTCTCCAGTTGTCTCAATTATGTCTTTTTACAGTTAGTTTGAGTTAAAATCCAAATCAAACGTTCATATTACATTTGGTTATTCCGTGACAGCTCCCTCTGGTTGTTTGGTCCTATAGAATTTCTCACATTCTGAATTTGGCTGATTGCTTCTTTAACCTTTTAAAAGTTAAATGTTTCCTTCTATCCCTTATATTGCCTAGAAACTGAGAGTTGGAGGCTTGATTAGACATTCAGGTGAAATTTTTAAGGCAAAATCACTTTATAGCTACTGTTGTATAACTTTTTAGTAAGCCCCGTTATGAAGCACATCATGTCTGGTTGTCCTCTTTTAGAAAAGCTGGCCACATATATTGTTTGTCACACTTCCCATAGAGAGTTGGAGTCTCTTTCTCCTCCCTTCAGTCTGGGCTAAATCTTGTGGCCTGCTTGGCCTGCAGAATGCTCACAGCCAGTTACAGGCCCAGACTCCAGGAAAGCCGGCCAAATGCACATCTAGGGAAGCTTCTCTCCTTGGCTCCTTCATCTTACTTTCTCCCTCCCACTATAGTGAAGCATTTTTTAAAAGTTAGTTTTTGGTTCATCCTTTCATTATTTCTTTATGAAAATATAAATAAATATGTTTATTTATATATTTTTATTCTTTTTTTACACAAAAAGTAAAATACTGGAAGTAGGATACTATACATGGCTTTTTTCCCTTTACAATATAACCTAAAGATCATTACATATCAGTATATATTGTTCTCATTACTTTTTATAGTTACACAGTTTTCCATCATTGCATGTATAATAGTCTACTTAATCCGTCACCTTTTGATGGAAGTTGGGTTGTTTTCAGCTTTATGCTTATGCAAATGATGTTACAATGAATAGCTTTGTGTAGATATCATTTGGATTTTTTTGCCAACATGTCAGAGCTAGATTTCCAGGAGTGAGGTTGATGGGTGAAAGGGCCCATGTATAACTTTGCTGGGTGAGGTCAGCTGAAATTGAAGATAGCAAAGGGAATCTATTGGGAGAGGTGAGAAGGCAGTAGAAGCACTGAGGAAAGTGGAGACCCAGAGAGAGCAATGAGGTGGTCCCTTAGCCGGCCACTGGGAGAGCAGGCAGTTCCTAGAGCCACCTGAATGTCCTTTGAGTGTGGGATTCCAATTTTAGGTCTGATTCACCTGTATCTTTAAAAAATATTTTCTTAAGGTAACCTGAGTGGGACTCTGATCTTTGGAAACAAAAGAGTTTAACTAGAATAGTGAGTGAAACTATATTGAAAAGTTTCTATCATTACTATTTTTATAAATTTCATTTAATCTCTGATATTTTATTATGAAAATCTTCAAGCACACAGAAAAGTTGAAAGAATAGTACAATGATCATCTCTATAGCCACCATCCAAATATGACAATTATTAATATTTTTCATGTATACTTTTATTCTGTAGGATAATTTAGACTAAGTTTCAGATATCATCACACTTCAGTTCCTAAATACTTCAGTATGGATTTCCTAAGAATAAGGACATTCTCCTAAATAACTACAACACTGTTATCAAAACTAAGAAAATTAGCAATGTTTTCCTAGCGTCATCTAATATTTCACACATATTTAAATTTCCACGTAATTTCTAGAATGATTTTATAAATTCCTTTTTTTCAAGGCATATCCAACCAGGATACATGTACTACATTTGAAATATATATGTAAACATAAATTCATGTTAAGGAAATATGCTTTATTTTATAGTTTATTAAGTTTTATTAGAAGAATTTTATACTTGTGTTGAATAAATTTTAGCATCTATGGGGAAGATCAAGTAATTTTTTCCCCTGACCTCTTAATATGATGAATTTTATATTAATGGATTTTTCAATATTAATTTTCTCTTTAATTTCTTCAGTAAACCCCACTTGGTCATGATATATTTTTAGAAGGCTGCTGTTGGATTTTGCTTGCTAATATTCTATTTAAGATTTTTGCATTGCTGTAAGTGCCAGTGGTCCATGATTTTCTTCTGTGTGTGTGCAAAGCAATAATGTTTATTAGGTTTGGTTGTCAGTGTTATGCTCACTTCAAACTCTTGGAGTTTTCTTTTTCTTCTTTATGCTTTAGAACATTTAAAATAGATTGGTATGATCCATTCTTTGAAGGTTGGTATAGTTCCCTTAGTATAGTTTGTAGGCCTTGTGCTTTCATGGGGCTAGGGATAGGTTTTCTATTTTTTCTATTTCTTCTGTAAAATGTGATATATTTAAACAACTTGAAAATAATATTTGTTGGGTTAGTTTTGGTATATTAAGTTTTCTTAGAAAATTATTTGTGACATAGAGGTTTTCAATGTGTTTGTTAGTTTTTTGGTATACATGCAAGTAACCTGTTATAATTTTTAATATTCTGTATTTGATGGTTACTTCCTCATTGCAACTTTTTATCTTGGGTATATGTGCTTGGAGTCTTTTTTCCGATGAGAAGAGCTAATGCTTTTCTATTTTTTTTTTTATCCTTACACATAACCTTCTTTCACTGAAAAGTATTTATACTAATATTGTTATGCTTTTAACAATTTATTCCTTCTGGTTTTTTGAGGTAGTTGCTTTCTTGTTTTCTTTCTAACTTTTTGAGTCGGATATCTAATTAATTTTTATTTCATTTAATTGACTTAATTTATATTTAATGTTATTAATTTTCCTTTGATTACAGTTTTAATTATATTCCATAGATTCTGAGATGTAGTATTTGTATAAATATTTTTAGAAATTTTGAAATTTCAGTTTGTTTCTACTTTGACCCAAGAATTATGTAATACTAAGTTTTAAAATTTCTAGATAGAGGGGTGTTTTAAAATTTTATTGTGAATTTCTGGTTTATTACATTGTGATTAGATAACATTTTTGATTATCCTTACTTTGATGAGACTTATGAAACTTTTATTTGTTTGTTTGTTTGTTTTGAGATGGCATCTCACTCTGTCCCACAGGCTGGAGTGCAGTGGCATAATCTCGGCTCACTGGAACGTCTGCCTCCTGGGTTCGGGTGATTCTCCTGCCTCAGCCTCTCGAGTAGCTGGGATTACAGGCGCATGCCACCATGCCCAGCTAATTTTTTTCATTTTTTTAATAGAGACAGGGTTTCACCATGTTGGCCAGGGTGGTCTAGAACTCCTGACCTCAGGTGATCCACCTGCCTCGGCCTCCCAAAGTGCTGGAATTACAGGCATGAGACACCATGCCTGGCCTCAGGTTTTCTTTATGAGTTAATACATGGTTAATTTTTATTAGTGTGCCATGTTTACTTGGAGAATAAAATGATATTACCTAAGTTTTTGTCTATTCTTGCTTCTCCTGTAGCTTCTGAGTTTTGAATTTATTTCTGTGTCATTTGGGTGCATAAGATATTATGGCTTTTTGTAAATTGTAGCCTTTAGCATTAAAACTAGTCCTTTTTTATCTTATTTAATGTTTTCTGGTCTAAATTCTACATTACCAGATATCCCAATCTCCAGTTTTTGTTTGCATTTTCCTAGTATACCTTTGCTGTCTCTTTATGTTCAGCCTTTCTGAATAACTTTAAGTATGTCTTGATTCTGCAATTATGTTTTGATTTTTTGTGAGTCAGTCTGATCATTTAAAAAAATCTTTTTGATTATAAAAGTAATATGTGCCTACTGTAAAATAACTGGGAACTGTAGAGATATAGAAAAAGAAAAAAACAAGCACTTCTAACCTTCTACTCCAAGGACAATTACCAGCATTAGGTCACATTTCATTTAGTTGTTTTTATCTTCTTTATAAAATATTTGTTATAAAATATTTCTACTATATTTGTTGCCTCTTTTGAAAGGAACATTATTCTTCAGGACATGAATTTCATTTTTATGTGCTCCCATTTCAAGTTTTCAGAATAACCCCTCGTGTATATATACTAAAGTTCATGTAGTTTTTTTTTTTTTAAAGAACTGTCATCAGATTTCTTGTAAAAATTTTGAGTGTCTTACATTTTGTGATTATGTAGAATATACACTCTACTCTCTGGTCTGGCAACATCTTCAAGAGTGGATCAATGAGAGTTGAATGACCATGTAATTTGTTCTCTGAACTGGGATTTTTTCAAACTGAAGGGGGTGCTATTGATATTTAGCTCAAAATAACTGGCATAGGAAGTTGATGCTTTGATTATCAATGTTGCCTTATGGTTGAAGGATGTGAAGCACAGAGAGGTTAAATAACTTGTTCAAGGTCACACAGCTCATATATTAAAAAAATTATTTTAAAGATAGAGTCTTGCTCTGTCATGTGGGCTGAGAATACAGTGGTATGATGATAAGTCACTGAAACCTCTAACTCCTGGCCTCAAGCAGTCCTCCTTCCTTAGCTTCCCAAAGGGCTGAGATTACAAGCATGAGCCACTGTGCCCAGCCTCACACAGCTCATAAATGGCAGAACTGGGATTTGAACCTAGGCAGTGTGGGTCAAGCATCTGCATCACTAACTGCTATGTGACCTAGTCTCCTGTAATCATTTTTTAAGTTTACAATTCAGTGGCATTTATTATATTCATAATGTGCAACCATCACTACTATCTGGTTCCGCACCTATTTTCCCCACAGTGTAATTTTTTACTTTATTTCTTACTGTTAAATAATATATGCACATATTTATAAGGTATATGTGATATTTTGATACATACATACAATGTGTAATGATCAAATCAGGGTATTTAGGATATTTGTCACCTTAAACATTTATCATTTCTTTGTGTTGGGAATGTTTCAAATATTCTCTTTTAGCTATTTTGAAATATACAATATATTATCGTTAACTACAGTCACCCTGCTGTGCTATTGAACACTAGAACTTATTCCTTCTATCTAACTGTTGATTTTTTAATTTTTTTTCATTTTTAGGGAGATTTATTCAACAATTAATATAACAAGACCTTCCCCTAGAAAGCTTCTTAGGGATACACAGCACTTTTCAGACCCATAAAATAGTTGTGTAAAAGTGATCAAATTTCACATTGTGAAACGAGACACAATGCAGCTTTTTAAAATGCTGACGAGGCATGAGCAACCTGGTGGCTTTCTTTTGCTTTTTGACTACCGTATGATCTGAGCATGTTTTGAAGTGGAGGAGAAAAGTGAACAGAAATCAGTGAACTCCATCAGAGAACCATGGTAGGTTTATTCATGAGCTGCTAAGAGCCACCACGTCCTGGGTTTCTTTGTTTTGCAGCAACAGTAGCTGGAACACAAACATTGAGCTCATGATCCACCGACATTTCCTCATTGGCTTCTGCCATTTAGCATTGCAGGCCCAGCCCAGTTTGATATTTTTATTCCTTTACAATTAAAATGTTTTGGTTTTTGATGTTGTTGTTGTTGTTTCTGCTTGAATACTTCTGGAATTTTGTCTCTATCCCTGCAATTTAAATATTCCCTGGAATATGGCTAAATATAGATCTGATGTTATTAATCTTGCCTAAAGTGAAGTGAGCCTTTCAGTCTATACACTGAAGTGTTCTGCTTTGTGGCTTTTCCAGTGGTTCCATTTATTTGTTTGTTTTCCAGGAATATTGTTAGGAACATTCCCAAGCTGAGGAGCTGGTACCCACTGATAATCTGGAACTTTGAGTTCAAGCTGTTCCCTTCTACTGCCCAGCTGCCCCGTCATTGCTGTCCTCGGTCTAAGGGCCAGCAACGGAAAAGAGTAGAGTGGCCTCCTAAGTATGCATAGACTATGGGCTCAGTTTACTCTAGGTTGCAGTGAACACTAGCAATGGACATGTCTCGAGTTAATGCTTTGACCTCGGGATTTTAGGACCTAAGACTCAACATTTGCCTTTTATAACGTCCATGCAACCCACCCCTGCCTGTTATGTGACACATTCCCCCTCTCAGGCCTAAGTTTATAGCTCTCTGGCTATAAATTTCTAAGCATGGGGTCTACGCCAAATGCTGGCACCAATAAAAACAAGTGAGACAAGAAAACCCACCCTTTACTTCCACCTCCTGAGGCTCCTCAGTAAGGAGATATTGAAGCTTCTAGAGTAAACGCACAGGCAGCATGGAGGAAGAGTCATGCAGGTCCCCATGAAAAGATATCTGACTTGAGATCACTCCCATTTGATAGGAGTAGCATTTGCTATTGAGAAAGCATTCAAAAGTATTCCCATCCCCCAAACTAACTATAACTTTATTGTTGAATCTCTGTTTCTCTGTTCTGTATCTTACACACCTATAACTTTCCCTTTCAACATTTTTATCTCTTTCTGGTAAAACGGCTTAAATTCACCTTTGTCATTACCAGTCCATGTCTGCATTGTGAATTCTGCTCTTTGCTGCTTTCAAACCAGATTTAATTTGGCTTTTGTGCTTGGCATCCTCTTCTTGTCTCTATGATTCTTCAATTTTCCTTTTGTTCCTTTTTACCTCTTGTATCTTTTGTTTAAAAAGGTAAAAATTCTTCAATTTTACCGCTTATCTTGATGTGTTTTTTTCCTGTCTTTCGGATTTGGGCTCCTATTTCATTAAATTCTTGATGTACATCCTAATTAATACACCAAGGAAATTTCTTCTGGTTCTTATGCTAGTTATTTTGCAGTGCAGTGCTTTTCCCTGAGTCTTCAGCAGGATGTTCCCCTCCCCTATTCCTAGCATTTTTCATTCCAACTCTCCTATGTGGGTTTCTTTTTTCTGGCTTACTTATTATTATTATTATTTTTTTTTTCTTTTTTTTTTTTTTTTTTTGATACGGAGTCCCGCTCTTTAGCCCAGGCCGGATTGCAGTGGCACAATCTTGGCTCACTGCAAGCTCCGCCTCCCAGGTTCACGCCATTCTCCTGCCTCAGCCTCCCGAGTAGCTGGGACTACAGGCGCCCGCCACCGCGCCCGGCTAATTTTTTGTATTTTTAGTAGAGACGGGTTTTCACCGTGTTAGCCAAGATGGTCTCGATCTCCTGACCTTGTGATCCACCCGCCTCGGCCTAAAGTGCTGGGATTACAGGCGTGAGCCACCGAGCCCAGCCTATTTTTTTTTTATTATACTTTGAGTTCTAGGGTACGTGTGTAAAACGTGCAGGTTTGTTACATATGCATACATGTGCCATGTTGGTTTGCTGCACGCATTAATTCATCATTTACATTAAGTATTTCTCCCAATGCTATCCCCCCCATCCCTCCATCCCATGACAGGCCCTGGTGTGTGATGTTCCCCATCCTGTGTCCAAGTGTTCTCATTGCTCAATTCCCACCTATGTGTGAGAACATGCAGTGTTTGGTTTTCTGTCCTTGCTATAGTTTGCTCAGAATGATGGTTTCTAGCTTCATCCATGTCCCTACAAAGGACATGAATTCATCCTTTTTATGGCTACATAGTATTCCATGGTGTATATGTGCCATATTTTCTTAATCCAATCTATTACTGATGGACATTTGGGTTGGTTCCAAGTCTTTGCTATTGTGAATAGTGCCGCAAGAAACATACGTGTGCATGTGTCTTTATAGTAGCATGATTTATAATCATTTGGGTATATACCCAGTAATGGGATGGCTGGGTCAAATGGTATTTCTAGTTGTAGATCCTTGAGGAATCACCATACTGTCTTCCGCAATGGTTGAACTAGTTTACAGTCCCACCAACTGTGTAAAAGTGTTCCTATTTCTCCACATCCTCTCCAGCACCTGTTGTTTCCTGACTTTTTAATAATTGCCATTCTAACTGGTGTGCGATGGTATCTCATTGTGGTTTTGATTTGCATTTCTCTGATGGCCAGTGATGATGAGTATTTTTTGATGTGTCTGTTGGCTGCATAAATGTCTTCCTTTGAGAAGTGTCTGTTCATATCCTTTGCCCACTTTTTGATGGGGTTGTTTGATTTTTTCTTGTAAATTTGTTTAAGTTCTTTGTAGATTCTGGATATTAGCCCTTTGTCAGATGGGTAGATTGCAAACATTTTCTCCCATTCTGTAGGTTGCCTGTTCACTCTGATGGTAGTTTCTTTTGCTGTGCAGAAGCTCTTTGGTTTAATTAGATCCCATTTGTCAATTTTGGCTTTTGTTGCCATTGCTTTTGGTGTTTTAGACATAAAGTCCTTGCCCATGCCTATGTCCTGAATGGTATTGCCTAGGTTTTCTTCTAGGGATTTTATGGTTTCAGGTCTAACATTTAAGTCTTTAATCCATCTTGAATTAATTTTTGTATAAGGTGTAAGGAAGGGATCCAGTTTCAGCTTTCTACATATGGCTAGCCAGTTTTCCCAGCACCATTTATTAAATAGAGAATCCTTTCCCCATTTCTTGTTTTTGTCAGGTTTTTCAAAGATCAGATGGTTGTAGATGTGTGGTGTTATTTCTGAGGGCTCTGTTCTGTTCCATTGGTGTATATCTCTGTTTTGGTACGAGTACCATGCTGTTTTGGTTACTGTAGGCTTGTAGTATAGTTTGAAGTCAGGTAGTGTGATGCCTCCAGCTTTGTTCTTTTGGCTTAGGATTGTCTTGGCAATGCTGGCTCTTTTTTGGTTCCATATGAACTTTAAAGTAGTTTTTTCCAATTCTGTGAAGAAAGTCATTGGTAGCTTGTTGGGGATGGCATTGAATCTATAAATTACCTTGGGCAGTATGGCCATTTTCACAATACTGATTTTTCCTATCCATGAGCATGGAATATTCTTCCATTTGTTTCTGTCCTCTTTTATTTCGTTGAGTAGTGGTTTGCAGTTCTCCTTGAAGAGGTCCTTCACATCCCTTGTAAGTTGGACTCCTAGGTATTTTATTGTCTTTGTAGCAATTGTGAATGGGAGTTCACTCATGATTTGATTCTCTGTTTGTCTGTTATCGGTGTATAGGAATGCTTGTGATTTTTGCACGTTGGTTTTGAATCCTGAGACTTTGCTGAAGTTGCTTATCTGCTTAAGGAGATTTTGGGCTGAGATGATGGGGTTTTCTAAATATACAATCATGTCATCTGCAAACAGAGACAATTTGACTTCCTCTTTTCCTAATTGAATACCCTTTATTTCCTTCTCCTGCCTGATTGCCCTTGCCAGAACTTCCAACACTATGTTGAATAGGAGTAGTGAGAGAGGGCATCCCTGTCTTGTGCCAGTTTTCAAAGGGAATGCTTCCAGTTTTTGCCCATTCAGTATGATATTGGCTGTGGGTTTGTCATAGATAGCTCTTATTATTTTGAGATATGTCCCATCAATACCTAATTTATTGAGAGTTTTTAGCATGAAGCGCTGTTGAATTTTATCAAAGGCCTTTTCTGCATCTATTGAGATAATCATGTGGTTTTTGTCTTGGTTCTGTTTATGTGATGGATTACGTTTATTGATTTTCATATGTTGAACCAGCCTTGCATCCCAGGGATGAAGCCAACTTGATCTTGGTGGACAAGCTTTTTGATATGCTGCTGGATTCATTTGCCAGTATTTTATTGAGGATTTTCGCATCGATGTTCATCAGGGATATTAGTCTAAAATTCTCTTTTTTTGTTGTGTGTCTGCCATGCTTTGGTATCAGGATGATGCTGGCCTCATAAAATGAGTTAGGGAGGATTTCCTCTTTTTCTATTGATTGGAATAGTTTCAGAAGGAATGGTAGCAGCTCCTCTTTGTACCTCTGGTAGAATTCGGCTGTGAATCCATCTGGTCCTGGACTTTTTTTGGTTGGTAAGCTATTAATTATTGCCTCAATTTCAGAGCCTGTTATTGGTCTTTTCAGGGATTCAACATCTTCCTGGTTTAGTCTTGGGAGGGTGTATGTGTCCAGGAATTTATCCATTTCTTCTAGATTTTCTAGTTTATTTGCATAGAGGTGTTTATAGTATTCTCTGATAGTAGGTTATATTTCTGTGGGATTGATGGTGATATCCCCTTTATCATTTTTTATTGCTTCTATTTGATTCTTCTCTCTTTTCTTCTTTATTAGTCTTGTTAGTGCTCTATCTATTTTGTTGATGTTTCCAAAAAACCAGATCCTGGATTCATTGATTTTTTGAAGGGGTTTTTGTGTCTCTATCTCCTTCTGTTCTGCTCTAATCTTAGTTATTTCTTGCCTTCTGTTAGCTTTTGAATTAGTTTACTCTTGCTTCTCTAGTTCTTTTAATTGTGATGTTAGTGTGTTGATTTTAGATCTTTCCTCCTTTCTCTTGTGGGCATTTACTGCTATAAATTTCCCTCTACACACTGCTTTAAATGTGTCCCAGAGATTCTGGTACATTGTGTCTTTGTTCTCATTGGTTTCAAAGAACATCTTTATTTCTGCCTTCATTTCGTTATTTACCCAGTAGTCACTTCAGGAGCAGGTTTTTCAGTTTCCATGTAATTGTGCGGTTTTGAGTGAGTTTCTTAATCCTGAGGTCTAATTTGATTTCACGGTGGTCTGAGAGACAGTTTGTTGTGATTTCTGTTCTTTTACATTTTCTGAGGAGTGCTGTACTTCCAACTATGTGGTCAGTTTTGGAGTATGTGAGATGTGGTGCCAAGAAGAATGTATATTCTGTTGATTTGGGGTGGAGAGTTCTGTAGATGTCTATTAGTTCTGCTTGGTGCAGAGCTGAGTTCAAGTCCTGGATATCTTTGTTAACCTTCTGTCTCATTGATCTGTCTAATATTGACAGTGGGGTGTTAAAGTCTCCCATTATTATTGTGTGGGAGTCTAAGTCTCTTTGTAGGTCTCTAAGGACTTGCTTTATGAATCTGGGTGCTCCTGTATTGGGTGCATAAGTATTTAGGATAGTTAGGTCTTCTTGTTGAATTGATCCATTTACTATTATGCAATGGCCTTCTTTGTCTCTTTTGATCTTTGTTAGTTTAAAGTCTGTTTTATCAGAGACTAGGATTGCAACCCCTGCTTTTTTTTTGCTTTCCACTTGTTTGTTAGATCTTCCTCCATCCCTTTATTTTGAGCCTATGGGTGTATCTGCCCATGAGATGGGTTTCCTGAATACAGCATGCTGATGGGTCTTGACTCTCTATCCAATTTGCCAGTCTGTGTATTTTAATTGGGGCATTTAGCCCATTTACATTTAAGGTTAATATTGTTATGTGTGAATTTGATCCTGTCATTATGATGTTAGCTGGTTATTTTGCCTGTTAGTTGATGCAGTTTCTTCCTAGCCTCGATGGTCTTTACAATTTGGTATGTTTTTGCAGTGGCTGGTACCGGTTGTTTCTTTCCATGCTTAGTGCTTCCTTCAGAAGCTCTTGTAAGGCAGGCCTGGTGGTACAAAATCTCTCAGCATTTGCTTGTCTGTAGAGGATTTTATTTCTCCTTCACTTATGAGGCTTAGTTTGGCTGGATATGAAATCCTGGGTTGAAAATTCTTTTCTTTAAGAATGTTGAATATTGGCCCCCACTGTCTTCTGGCTTGTAGAGTTTCTGCTGAGTGATCTGCTGTTAGTCTGATGGGCTTCCCTTTGTAGGTAACCCGACCTTTCTCTCTGGCTGCCCTTAACTTTTTTCCTACATCTCAACCTTGGTGAATGTGACAATTATGTGTCTTGGGGTTGCCCTTCTCTAGAGGTATTTTTGTGGTGGTCTCTGTGTTTCTTGAATTTGAATGTTGGCCTGTCTTGCTAGGTTGGGGAGGTTTTCCTGGATAATATACTGAAGAGTGTTTTCCAGCTTGGTTCCATTCTCCCCATCACTTTCAGGTACACCAATCAAATGTAGATTTGGTCTTTTCAAGTAGTCCCATATTTCTTGGAGGCTTTGTTTCTTTTTACTCTTTTTTCTCTAAACTTCTCTTCTTACTTCATTTTATTAATTTGATCTTCAATCACTGATACCCTTTCTTCCACTTGATCGAATCGGCTACTGAAGCTTGTGCATGCGTCATGTAGTTCTTGTGCCATGGTTTTCAGCTCCATCAGGTCATTTAAGGTCTTCTCTATGCTGTTTATTCTAGTTAGCCATTTGTCTAATCTTTTTTCAAGGTTTTTAGTTCCTTGTGATGGATTTGAACATCCTCCTTTAGCTTGGAGAAGTTTGTTACTACTGACCTTCTGAAGCCTACTTCTGTCAAGTCGTTGAAGTCATTCTCCATCCAGCTTTGTTCCATTGCTGGTGAGGAGCTGCGATCCTTTGGAGGAGAAGAGGCACTCTGGTTTTTAGAATTTTCAGCTTTTCTGCTCTGTTTTCTCCCCATCTTTGTGGTTTTATCTACCTTTGGTCTTTGATGATGGTGACCTACAGATGGGGTTTTGGTGTGGATGTCCTTTTTGTTGATGTTGATGCTATTCCTTTCTGTTAGTTTTCCTTCTAACAGTCAGGTCCCTCAGTTGTAGGTGTGTTGGAGTTCGCTGGAGGTCCAGTCCAGACCCTGTTTGCTGGGTATTACCAGCAGAGGCTGCAGAGCAGCACATATTGCAGAACAGCAAATACTGCTCCCTGATCCTTCCTCTGGAAGCTTCATCTCAGAGGGTCACCCAGCTGTATGAGGTGTCAGTCGGCCTCTACTGGGAGGTGTCTCCCAGGTAGGCTACATGGGATTCAGGGACCCACTTGAGGATGCAGTCTGTCCATTCTCAGAGCTCAAACACCATGCTGGGAGAAGCACTGCTCTCTTCAGAGCTTTCAGACAGGGGAGTTTAGGTCTGCAGAAGTTTCTGCTGCCTTTGGAGTATACAGAGGCAGGCAGGCCTCGTTGAGTTGTGGTGGGCTCCACCCAGTTCAAGCTTCCTGGCCGCTTTGTTTTCCTACTCAAGCCTCAGCAATGGCGGATGCCCCTCCCCCAGCCAGGCTGCCGCCTGGCAGTTCCATCTTGGACTGCTGCGCTAGCAGTGAGCAAGGCTCCGTGGACATGGGACCTGCTGAGCCAGGTATGGGATATAATCTCCTGGTGTACCATTTGCTAAGAGCATTGGAAAAGTGCAGTATTAAGGCGGGAGTCCTGATTTTCCTGGTATAGTCTTTCACAGCTTCCCTTGACTAGGAAAGGGAAAACCCCTGACCCCTTGCGCTTCCTGGGTGAGGCGATGCCCCACCCTGCTTTGGCTCACCCTCAGTGGGCTGCACCCACTGTCCAACCAGTCCCAATGAGATGCACCAGGTACCTTGGAAATGCAGAAATCACCCGTCTTCTACGTCAATCACGCTGGGAACTGCAGACTGGAGCTGTTCCTATTTGGCCATCTTGGACAGAAGCTGTTTATTTTTATCCATTAACTAACTTCTCTCCCTATTCTCCTCCCCCATACACCCTTCTCAGCTCCTGTTAGCTATCATTCTATTCTTTACCTTCATGAGATCAACTTTTTTTAGTTCCCACGTGTCATTGAGAACATGTGATATTTTTGTCTTTCTGTGCCTGGCTTACTTCTCTTAACATGGTGACCTCCAGTTCCACCCACGTTGCTGCAAATGACAGGATTTTATTCTTTTTTGTGGCTAAATAGCATTCTATTGTGAACATATTGTGCTACATTTTCTTTATCCATTTATTCATTGATGGATACTTAAGTTTAGTTCATATCTTGGTTATTGTGAGTTGTGTTGATATATTAATTTCTTTTCCTTTGGATAAATAATCAGCAGTGAAATTGCTGGATTATATGGTAATTTTATTTTATTTATTCATTTTTTTTTGAGGTGGAGTCTCACTCTGTCGCCGGGCTGGAGTGCAATGGCACAATCTCGGCTCACTGCAACCTCTGCCACCCAGGTTCAAGCGATTCTCCTGCCTCAGCCTCCCAAGTAACTGGGATTACAGGCGCATGCCACCATGCCCAGCTAATTTTTTGCATTTTTAGTAGAGATGGGGTTTCACCATGTTGGCCACGATGGTCTCTATCTCTTGATCTTGTGATCCACCCACCTTGGCTTCCCAAAGTGCTGGGATTACAGGCATGAGCCACTGCGTCCAGATGGTAATTCTATTTTTAACTTTTTGAGGAACCTCTATACTATTTTTCATAATGGCTATAGTAATTTACATCTCCACCAGCAGTGTATAAGAGTTTCCTTTTCTCTGCATCCTCCACAGCATTTTTTTTTTTTTTTTTTTTTTTTTTTTTTTTTTTTGGTAATAGCTATTCCAACTGGGGTAAGAAAATATCTCACTGTGATTTTGATTTGTGTTAGCGCTGTTAAGTATTTTTTCATTACCAGTTGGCTTTTTGTATGTCTTCTTTGGAAAATATCTTTTTACTCTGTTGATTGTTTCCTTTGCTGTGCAGAATCTTTTTAGTTTAATATCATCTCATTCATCTATTTTTGTTTTAGTTGCCTGTGTTTTTGAGGTCTTACCATAAAATTTTTGCCTAAATGAATGTCCTGAAGTGTTTTCCCCTATGGTTTCTTCTAGAAGTTTTATAGTCTTGAGTCTCTTGTTTAAGTCCTTAATCCATTTGAGTTGATTTTTGTATTTTGTATATGGGAAGAAACAGGGATCCAGTTTTATTCTTCTGCATATGAATATCCAGTTTACCCAGCACCATTTATTGAGGAGACTGTTCTTTTCCCAATATATGTTTTTGACACCTTTGTCAAAAATCTGTTGGCTGTAATGATTTTCTGTTAGATCTAATACCGTATGATTTATATATCTGGTTCCTTTGGTGTTGGGTGTACATATATTCAAAATTATTATATCTTCTTGCTGAATCGACCCCTTTATCATTATATAATGACCTTATTTGTCTCTTCTTACTATTTTTGACTAAAAAGCCTGTTTTATCTGATATACGTTAGATACTTCTGCATGATTTTGATTTCCATTTGCATGGAATATCTTGTTCCATCCCTTCACTTTCAGTTTACATGTGTCTTTACAGGTGAAGCAACTTTCTTGTAGGCAGCAGCATATAGTTGGTTTATTTTATTTTTATTTTTTTGAGATGGAGTCTTGCTCAGCCACCCAGGCTGGAGTGCAGTGGCATGATCTTGGCTCATGCAGCCTCCGCCTCCCAGGTTCAAGTGATTCTCCTGCCTCAGCCTCCCAGGTAGCTGGGACTACAGGCATGTGCCACCAAGTGCGGCTAATTTTTGTATTTTTAGTAGAGACAGGGTTTCACTATGTTGGTCAGGCTGATCTTGAACTCCTGGCCTCAAGTGATCTTCCCATCTTGGCCTCCCAAAGTGCTGGGATTCCAGACATGAGCCATCATGTCTGGCCTCAGTTGGGCTATATTAAATTTATTTAGCCAGTATATATCTTTTAATTGGGTAATTTAATCCACTTACATTCAAATTTATTATTGATGTATGAAGTTTTGTTTTCATCATATTGTTCATTGTTTTCTGGTTGCTTTGTATATCCTTTATTCCATTCTTTCTGTCTTATTGTTTGTCATAGCAGTTTGCTGGTTTTCTGTAGTGGTAAAATTTTAGTCCCATCTCTTTCTCATTTGTGTGTCTGCTCTACCAGTGAGTTTTATACTTTTTTGTGTTTTCATGATGTTAGATATCATCCATTCACTTTCAAATGTAGGACTCACATAAACATTTCTCGTAGGGCTGCTTTACCGGTAATAAATTTCCTCAGTTTTTGCTTGTCTGGAAAGATTTTATTTCTCCATTTTGAAGGATGGATTTACTGGGTATAGTTTTCTTGGTTCTCAGTCTTTTTTTTCCTTCAGTACTTTGAATATATCATCTCATTTTCTTCTGGCCTGTAAGACTTCTGCTGAGAAATCCAATGTTAGTCTGGTAAGGTTCCCTTCTAAGTGACTATATGCTTTTCTCTCACTGTTTTAGAATTCTGTCTTTATTACTGACTTTTGACAGTTTGGCTATAATGTACCTCAGAGAAGGCCTTTTTGCTTGATTCTATTTGGGGTATATTTGAGCTTTCTGTATCTGGATATCTATTTCTCTTGTAAGACATGGAGACATGGGAAGTTTTCCGCTATTACTTCATTAAATAGCTTTTCTATGTCTTTGCTCATCTCTTCTCCTTCTGGAAAACCCAAAATTTGAATATTTGGTCACTTGATTGTATCCCACATGTTCATTCTTTTTTATTCTTTTTTTTTTGGTGGGGGAGGGTGCGGTTATTTAAAAGACCTGCCTTTAAGTTTAGAAATTATTTCTTCTGCTACATCTAGTCTATTGTTAAAGTTCTTGATTGCATTCATTGATTTCTTCAGTTCCAGGATTTCAGTGTGGTTCTTTCTTAATGATATTTATCTCTTTACTGAATTTCTCATTCAGATCATGAATTTCTAATTTCTAATTTTATGTTTTTCTAACTTATTTGTATTGTTTATCTGTGTTTCCTTGTATCTCACTGAGCTTCTTTAATGCCATTATTTTGAATTATTTTTCTGGCATTTTACAGGTTTTATCCCTCCCATTAGAATCTATTGCTGAAGAATTATTGTGATCCTTTGGAGATATCATGTTCCTTGCTTTTTCATATTTCTTGTGTCTTTATGTTGATATCTGCACTTCTGGTGTAACAGTCACTTCTTCCATTTTTTTTGGATTGGTTTTTATGGGGAAGGACTTTTTCTGTACATATATCTATAGTGTTAGTTGTATAGGTGCTTTAGCTTTGATTCTGGGTATGTGTTGCAGTATAGTCTTTGAATGATTTCTTTGGCTACAGTCAGCATCAGTGGTGCCTGTGATTTTCTCAGTGGCTTAGGTTGCCCTTGTTAGTGGAGGCTGTGGTTAGGCTTTGCTGGGAATGGCTAGGCAAGGCAGGCTAGTCTTCAGGCCCCCATGGTGGTAACGGTGGGCTAAGCATACCTATCCTTGGGTCCCTGGGCAACATATGCAGGCACTGGTGTTAGTGAGTCCAAATAGGCCAATTCTTGGGTTTCCAGGCAGCTTGTTCAGGTGTCAACTGTGGCAGCAGTAGAATTTGTGGTTTGGTGGGGTGTCCTTGGGCGTCTAGGCAGCATTTGTGGCATCAGCCATGGTGGTAGCTATGGTGGGTCAACTCTTGTAACCCAAGGTTACGTGTGTTGGTGCCAGCAATGACGGTAATAGTTTGGTAAGGCCAGTCTCCAGGCCTCCAGGTGGTGTGGGCAGGTGGGTCTCACTGGTGTTGGTGGCAGCAGGCTGTGAGGATCCATCCTCAGGCTCCTGGGAGGAGTACATGGATACTGGCAGTAGTGGGTGTGGTGGTCTCCAGGCCCCTGAATGTCGTGCTCAGGAGCCAGGAGCAGGTGAGCTAGGCCTTCGTGTTAAGCCTCCTGATGGTGTGCATTTTTAACATAAGTGTCAGACAGGGCCGGTTGATCCTCAGGCCTCCAGACAGTACTCAGATAGATTTCTTGTTTTCATTAATGTCTTTATTAATTTGCTCTTGACTTTGACATTCATATGGTTGACATTTGGTTAAGGAAGTTTTGTTTGTTTTTGTTTTTGTTTTTGTTTGTTTTTTGAGATAGAGTCTTACTCTGTCACCCAGGCTGGAGTGCACTGGCATGATCTCAGCTCACTGCAAACCTCTGCCTCCCGGGTTCAAGGGATTCTCCTACCTCAGCCTCCCGAGTAGTTGAGATTACAGGTGCCCACCACCATGCTCAGCTAAAATTTGTATTTTTAGAAGAGACGGGGTTTCACCATGTTGGCCAAGCTTGTCTCAAACCCCTGACCTCAAGTGATCTGCCTGCCTCGGCCTCCCAAAGTGCTGGGATTACAGGCATGAGCTACCATGCCCAGCTGGGTTAAGGAAGTTTTATCCACCCAAAAAATGTCCTTAGTTGAAAACTAGACATCAAGGATACCATCTTCACAAGTGAGGATGGATACATAAAAAATGCTGCTTTCTGTGTCAAAGATCAACACATTTTGTTTGACAGCAACCATCCTGATCAAGCCTTAAGCAGTAGCAGTGGCATTTGGGTAACTGGCAATACAGAGACCAGTAACATTTATAGCATTGTTTGCACCTTGGCACTGAGAGTCATTAAAGCTCTGGTACTGTGGTGATGTCCCAGCTTGCCAAAGTGAGCTCCTATAATTTCGTTCATTTCGTTCAAACCAAAATTTTAATATATATATATATATTTTTTTTTTTTGAGACAGAATTTTGCTCTTTTTGCCCAGGTTGGAGGGCAATGGTGTGATCTCAGCTCACTGCAACCTCCGCCTCCCGGGTTCAAGCGATTCTCCTGTCTCAGCCTCCCAAGTAGTTGGAATTACAGGCATGGACCACCACACCAAGCTAATTTTGTACTTTTAATAGCAACAGGGTTTCACCATGTTGGCCAGGCTGGTCTCAAATTCCTGACCTCAAGTGATCTGCCCGCTTAAGTGCTGGGATTACAGGCATGAGCCACAACATCTGGCCAGAAATTTTTTTTTCTTTTCTTTTCTTTCTCTTTCTCTCTCTCTCTCTTTTTTTTTTTTTTTTGGAGTCTCGCTCTGTCACCCAGGCTGCAGTGCAGTGGTGCAATCTTAGCTCACTGCAACCTCCACCTCCCAGGTTCAAATGATTCTTGTGCCTCAGCCTCCCTAGTATCTGGGATTACAGGTGCGTTCCACCACACTCTGCTAATTTTTGTATTTTTAGTAGAGGCAGGGTTTCACCATGTTGGCTAGGCTGATCCCAAACTCCTGACCTCTAGTGATCCTCCTGCCTCAGTTTCCCAAAGTGCTGGGATTATAGGCATGAGCCACAGCACCCAGCTTAAGCCAGAAATTTTAAATCTCCTCTTTGTACTCTCCCTAGACTGCCTGTCTTACTGGAGAGTTGAGTAATCAAATCATTGCCCAAGCATACACTGGGCCCCAATAATCATATTGCGGAGTTCATTGTAACTTGACTAGTTGCAGTATCAGTGATCAGTCATGTTATGTCTGTAAAGGTGACATAATGTGGCTGAGTATTGGCAATGATCTCAATCTCCTCATCCTGAAAGACACCCTCTTAGGAATGGATGGTGAAGGATCAGTGCCAGTTGCAAGTTTCTTCAACATGGCTGCAGGGGAAGCCTGATCTAGCTCACTAGAGAAAGTGACACCAGAACTGCTGCTGCATTCAATAACTATTATTTCAACATGCAAAAATATGAAGACATTCAAAGAACTGTATGATAAACTTGACTTTGAAGTTTGTTTTCTCACATGTTTCTTTATACTTTAAGTTAAATTATTTTATTTTATTTTATTTTTTAGAGACAAGGTCTCACTCTGTCACCCAGGCTGGAGTAGAGTGGCACAATCATGGCTCACTGCAGCCTCGACCTCCCTGGGCTCAGGTGATCCTCCCACATCAGACTCCCAGGCAGCTGGGACTGGAGGCGTGTGCTACCACACCTGGCTAATTTTTGTATTTTTTGTGTATTTTTTTGTAGAGACAAGGTTTTGCCATGTTTCCCAGGATGGTCTCAAACACGTGGGCTCAAGCAATCTGCCTACCTCAGCCTCCCAAAGTGCTGGGATCATAGGTGTGAGCCACCCTGCCTGGCCCGTTAAATCATTTTAAAGGTTTTTTAAGGTTTAAGTATGTTAATATTGCATTTTGTCTTCTCCAACTTGCATTTTTCATTCAATGTTTTGTTTATGAGATTTATCTGTGCTTATATGTATAGCTCTAATTCACTGTTGCATAAAATTACATTGTTTGAGTATATCCAAATGTATTTATTTTTCCATTTTCCTCATGATATATTATTAGAATGCTTTCAGTTTTTTCATTTTTGTGAACAATACTGCTGTGATTGTGAATGAAAAGCTCATCAATTAAAATAAACACTGTATCAAAAATATCTTAATGAAATATAAAAGATAATCTACTGAATTTATTTTCAGTATGCATAACCAACAGAGGGTTGGTATTCAGGATGCATAAAGAACGCCTACAAATCAATAGGAAAAAGATAATAAAAACCTCAGTATAAAAATGAGGAAAAACTTGTGAGACAATTTATGGAGAGCAGAAGAGTAAACTTGAGTGACTAATAAAATATTAAAAGATGCTCCATCTCACTAGAAATAAAAATATGCAAATAAAACTACAATAACTGTGCCCATCATGCTATACAAATTTGAAAAAACATGGCCGGGCGAGGTGGCTCACGTCTATAATCCCAGCACTTTGGGAGGCTGAGGCAGGCAGATCACAAGGTCAGGAGTTCAAGACCAGCCTGACCAACGTGATGAAACCCCGTCTCTACTAGAAGTACAAAAATTAGCCAGACTTGGTGGTGTGCACCTGTAATCCCAACTACTTGGGAGGCTGAGGCAGGAGAATTGCTTGAACTTGGGAGGCGGAGGTTGCAGTGAGCCGAGATCAGGCCTCTGCACTCTAGCCTGGGTGACAGAGCAAGACTGTGTCTCAAAAAAAAAAAAAATTTGAAAAACATAATGAGCCCAAATGTTAGCAAAGATATGGCTTGATACATATCCTTTTTATTTGGCTTGTGGAAGTTTAAATTGGTACACCGATTTTGGTGCGTAAATTGGCAGTATCTAGAAAAGTTAAAGAGAAGAATACCCCTGACACAGTACCTCCACTGCTGAGAATATATCCTAGAGAAACTCTTATCCAGGTATCCAGGGAGATGTATACAGATGTTGTTTATAGTTATTTTTAATGAGCATTTTTCTGTTAGAGTAATTTAGAGCATGCCGCTCAGACTAATTTTAACAATAGAATGATTTAGCTATCTCCATCTTTAATTGATCAGTGTGTTAATATAAAATAATTTTGATGGCCAGCAAAATTATTTAATGATTCAAATTCACATGTTTATTTTCTTTTGCATTTATTATGTGCCTACTGCATACTAGGTGCTATGTTAGATGGTGGAGTGAATAAGGCATAGTAACTACTGGCTGTAATTTTTCAGTTTTAAAAAATTACTTAAATATTTCTATCTCTGTTCTTATAAACATCTCTATTCCAGAAGACAAGTTCCAGCTTTATAGGAAGTGTAATATTCTCTGGATTAACCCACTCTTGTTTCCCGTCATCTGTATCTTGTCATGACCATGGAGGATGCTCAGTAATCACTGGTTGGTGGTGATCAGTGATAAAGTTCTTGTCTACCTATCTCCTGGGCTCTCATCTGTAAAGAGACATTAAAGACATTCATTTAGTCACTAATAGGAAATGAATAAATGGATACAGAATGACTTGTGAAACTACAAAACAGACAAGAATAATTTTCTGAAGTTCCATCTTTCAGAGCTGTCCCATGCCCAGCTTCTGAGATGCAGAAAAAATAAGAATAATAAAATATGAAAAAGAAAAAAGAGAAAGAACTTCTGGTGTACTCTTAGTATACTTTCTAATGCATTGCTCCTAAAGCATTTCAAAGCGAAAATGAAATGCTTTTTGAAAGTTTTTTTTTCTTTAGAGGATGTTTGTTTTCTATTTACCAAATGCAGTATCCTATATATATGAGACAAACCAATTTTTCTATTCCACGTATTCATCAAATTGGTGAACATTTCCCTCTCAGTTGGCAAATTTGATTTTAATCTGATAAGCTTGATTTCAGAATCTGCAGTGTTCATCTCATCAAATCTGCCAATAGGATGGAAACATTGCAGCCAAGCAATGAATAATTATTAATCATTTTGTGTGAAGTTTTGGGAAAAGTAACCTAAGCTTATAGGCAACATGAAAAAGTCTCTCTCTTGTGACAAAATAATCTGTGCTTGTAGCATACGTATCCAAACTATGCACTTCTGGCTGAATTTTTCCTGCTTTGTGTGGAAGCAATGAAGAGCACAGATACATTTTGCTTCTCTTTGGTTTTCCTGCAAGGAAGCTGGTCAGACTCAGGGGATGGTCATCAGCATCCATAGCAAAAATGTGTTAATTTCATAGTAACAGTGCATGGCAGAGAGGGTAGATAAACTCTGAATAAACTACACCTTCACTAGTCCTACTCGAACACTTTGGGAGAATTTCTGCTACCTACCATGACCTCCTTTGCTTTATTTCTACTGAAGAATTCTACTCCTTGGGGTCCTGGGGCAAGAATGTGCCTCTTATATTCAAACATACCATATGTTGTTACCACCCCACAGAAGCAGAATTGGCCCTCACCAACAATTTAGTTTTGATGTCCAGATCAATAATGCTACATACACACAAGTTATGAAATGTTTATTACTTGTATAAGGAGGCTTTCTGGGGAGAGCGAGGCTTGAGAGAGCAAGGAAAGGAGAATGGCTTGGAGTTTTTGTGGTGGTTAGTGGGTGGGGTTGGGATTAGATTGGAATTGCACATAGGCAGAGGCTTGTCGATATGGTTTGACTGTGTCCCCACACAAACCTCATCTTCAATTGTAGTTCCCATAATCTCCACTTGTCGTGGGAGGGACCTGGTGGGAGGTAATTGAATCACAGGGGTGGTTCCCCCATGCTATTCTCATGATAGTGAGTAAGTTTTCACAAGATCTGATGGTTTTATAAGGGTCTTCCCCCTTCACTTGGCTCTCATTCTTCTCTTTCCTGCCTCCAGGTGAAGAAGGCTGTGTTCCTTCCCCTTCCACCATGATTGTAAGTTTCCCCAGGCCTCCCCAGCCATGCTGTGAGTCAATTAAACTTCTTTCTTATAAATTACCCAGTCTCGAGTATTTCTTCATAGCAGCATGAGAACGGACTAATACACTTGTGTAATTTGAATTTCCTGCTGTAATCAAAGGTGGAAGTATCCCGGGTTTCCTATCAGTTTGCCCATATATGGGGCAGACGATGAGGCATAAAAGTTCTCATCAACAAATAGTGTAAGACTTTATTATACCATCTGTATCCTCTGCTTCTATCAAGCAAATCTCTCACTCCTTAGACTGGGGAGAGGGGATAAGGAATAAATTGCTGTTTTTACCAAGACAGTGACACTTAGAAATTCCATTCACTTTCAATGCACTAAGTACGTTACATCATTACTTCTTTAATTTGGGCTTATTCTGTCTGCTTAGTTGTAACATCATGCATTGTATTAAACTTTCTCTAAATTTAACATTTATTTACATATTTTTGCTTGCTTAAACTCCTCAGTATTTAGAGTGTTCAAGTACAGTTTAAAAATACATATTTATTAACCTAATCTGATTAAGTAGTCTAAATATGTGCTCTCAATTTTAGGCTAAGTAATAAGTCTGGTTTCAAACAATGATATTCAAATAATACTTGAGGTAGAGGGTGGTATTAATAGGAAGAAACTAGAGAGAACACAGGGCTTTCTTCCTTCCATAGCTATGCAAGAGAATCTAAGATATGAAAAAAAAATTAGATAATTAGATGTGCAGAGAAGCACACCTTTCTCTCTTCCTCTGGTTAAAGAGGATGAAGGGTTTCTAAATAGGGTGGAGAAAATCATCAAAGAAGAAAGCCAAAGAGATAAATATTCTGGGGATTTGTGACCACTGTGGATGGAAAGTGGGTGAGCAGCAAGTACTCACAGAGGTGGGAAAACACCCAGGCTCACTTCAGGCAAGGCTTTGCCCTGGGGCTAGACCAGACTTGGGGAGAGGCTCTTCTGCCTGGGAAAATTGTGGAGCAGCTCCAACAGTGGGTGTAGCGAATGAGAGGCTTTTCTTGACCAGAGCTTCAACATAAAGATGACAGAAAACTGGCCAGGGCTTTCACGAATTTCATGAGGCTTGGGAAGAGAATGATGGGCAAGAGACAAACAAGTATGCTAAGTAGAAATGCAAGGAGATAGGTGAAAACTTCCTATGAAAAAATAGGAAATTGATACATTGGAGTCATCTTTGATATCAGATACCAGTAGATGTATACAAGTGGAGATGATACCTACTCTTAGGAGAAACACAGCAAAATAAGTTGGGATCGAAATTCCAGAATATATTCATTTATGTGTTCCCTCATTCAGTCTTCAACAAATCTTTTCAAGTGCTTTTTATGTACCAGGCTTAGTTTCGGATATGGGAATAAAAATGTAAGGAAGATGAAGACTCTATTTTCAAGAAGTCTGTGGTTTTGTTTAGTGCCTGGAAAAATGGAGGGATGAAGTCTTGACTAGGTTCAAGTCCCAGGAAAGTCAGGATGTAGAGAACAAAACTAAGCATATCTCACATTTATATCTACCAAGGCTTTAGTAACAGAGGACACATTATTTTTTGATTGATAGGGAGCTGACTATAGATATGTTTTTCTAGAACTAACATATACTTAAAAATATAGAAATGCAACTTAAATGTCAGTAAGGGGCTTCTCTACCCCTCAAGACTTAGGCAAAATGGATGTAGAACTTCAGTTTTCTGCGAATTCCTTAAGGCCGGAGTGTGAATGGGGCTAATTGATCATCTTAAGGTCACTTCACCTATGGAGTTATGGATTGCCACCGTTGCAACCCTTGCACAAACTTTGCCTTTTCTTCAGTTTCCACCCCTGCAACACCTGAACTATTCACTGGCAAGGAGAAAGATCACCATGATTGAATGGCCTTAGAGCAGAGTTTCTCAACCCCAGCCCTATTGACATTTAAGGCTGGGTAATTCTTTGTTGTGGGGGTTATTCTTTGCATTGTCAGGACAGTGTTTAGCGACACTTCTGGGCTGTATTCATGAGATGACATTAGCATGATAGTAGTAACCTCCCCTCAACTTGTGACCAACAAATGTTCCCCTGGTGTTAAAATCACTCTCAGTTGAGAACCACTGGCTTAGATTATTCATTCTTCACTTTGGAGTGGGTTTTGGCAATGGTGTGGAGCTAGAGGGGTGATTGTGGGATGGATGTCAAGGAGTGTTGTGAATATTTGCTAGTTCAGGGCCAACCTGTCACACAACTCCAGAAGGCACCCTTCACCTTGTGTTTTATGTATTGGCACTCCTACTACACATATCTCTCGTGAATCGTGTTCCTGGAGTAGTTTAACACAGAAGTACCATAATAGTTATCTACCCAACATACAATCTCCCCTTTCATTCTCAGTAACAGATTCAGGCCCCAACCTGTCAGGAGCATCAGCTCTGACACACTGTGGATTAGACAAAGTTCATCTTTAATATTCTCAGCCTTCTCTGTCTGTTCCTCTTTGCTTTCTTCAACTTTTCCCACCCACTTCCATCCTCAAGTTTCCTGGCAGTTACAGTCCTCTTGTCAAGGACAAAGTCCACTGTGAATTAGTGTCATGGGCCTGAGGAGGGGCTGATAAAGGAGTGAATCTCTCACAGTGGAAGCACAGGCCCTAGAACACTTGGTGATCATAATAATAATAGTATTAGCTAATATGTCGACCACTACTAGATGTCAGTTACTTTGCTAGACACAGTATTTGTATGTCTCATTTAATCTTAACTACTATTTTCTGAGGCAAGTGCAATTGTCATTCCCACAAAACAAGGAAGTTTCCCAGTGTTAAACAGCTAATAGGTAACAGACTTGGACATTGAACCCTGGCGGTCCAACTCCAGGGTTGGGGCTCCTAACCACTTTTCTGTAAAATGGCATCTCAAATTAGACCATACAAATAATCACTGTGGAGATAACCACTTCCTGCACTCATGTCAAAGTCTGTCCTTGTCCGTTCCTATAACAGAGACAGAACTGAAGAACTGTGCTCTACCTTCAGGGATTAGGGTGGGGAATCGAGGAGGCCAGTGAGAAGCACCAGCCAAATAGTCTGGTTCTAGGGTTGTCTCAAGGTTAGGTTTGACTCAGCTGAGATGGATATCTGGGGGCAGCTAGACATTGTATAAGGATAAAGTATGAGGCCAGATCACATTTGAGCTGGAGAGAAGAACACCAAAACCAAAGCGCTAAAGTCTCAAACAGGAAGCCAACCATGCGCGGAGCTGGTAGACTGTGGAGGCCCATGTGGAAGGGAGATCCAGTGTGGCCTAAGGTGAGCACTCAGCAGCCAAGATGCCTGAGTGTTTTTAGCTGCCTATCCTGGGAGCTGGCTGTCCTGGGAGGTTAGACCTGAGTTAAAGGCAGAGAGTTGGGGATGGTCCATCGTGTCCCATGGGAGCACAGCATAATCCAGGTCTTCCTGGGTTGGTAACCACAAAAAATGAACATAGAAACAGGACTCTACCCACTCCTGCAAGACCGACATTCTACATGGCTTCAGGAGCAGATGGAGTTATCAGTTACTCAGCAGGTATGACTTAGAGAAACAGAAGCACCAAAGAAAGCACCTTTAGCCTCCAAAATCTCTCTCCTAGCTGCCTTTTATGGCATGTAAAATTTTGCCACCATAGATTCATTTATTTGGATTAGAGCTCATGTAAATGTCCATAAAAGGTAAGATGGCAAGCTTTCATCTTCCATTGGTTACTTAAGAGTGGATGAGTTTCCATTGTGAAAGCAAATGAGTGATACGGTTTGGCTCTGTGTCCCCACCCAAATCTCATGTCAAATTGTAATTCCCAGTGTTGGAGGAGGGTCCTGGTGGGAGCTGTTTGAATCGTGGGGGCAGACTTCCTCCTTGCTGTTCTTGTGATAGAGTTCTCCTGGGATCTGGTTGTTTAAAAGTGTATAGCACATCCCCACCCCTACTCTGGCCACTTGAAGACCATGCCTGTTTCCCCTTCTGCCGTGATTGTAAGTTTCCCAAGGCCTCCCCAGAAGCGGAAGCCTGTACAGCCAGCAGAACTGTAAGCTGATTAAACCTCTTTTCTCATTAAATTGCCCAGTCTCAGGTATGTCTTTATAGCAGTGTGAGAACAGACTAATACAACAAGCCCTTGTGGAAGGTACACAGAGCAGGTAAGTTTAGAGGGTGGCCTAGAAGGGAAGGACAGATTCTGGGTATTAAGAAATGTTCAGTAAGAGTAAGGCCAGGTAGGCACAGCCATGGTAACTCATTTTAGTCGGGGGCAGAATGAGGACACAGGGACACAGTGAGATGGGGAGTTACTGGGAATGAGAAGAGGAACAGAAAAGGTGGTGAATGTGTGGTCACAGGGGAAGGGTTGGTGATACATCAGAACTCGACTTGTTAGTTACCTCAAAATTTGAGGGTCCCAACACTTTGATTAGGGTCTTTTCTGTTGTCGAGCTTCATTTTGAATATTTGTCCCCACTAATCTTTTTTTTTAATACGTAAAATTTTTCTTTGTTGTCTTAGGTTAACCTCTTTTTCTTTCTCTGTGCATATTGGGTGTGGCAACATCACTTAGTTTGAGTAACTCGGACCAAAAATTTCCCTGTAAAATATCCTTGCCAATTTTCAGGGAATTCAAACGTATCCAAAACTCACAACGTCCTTTGGTAGTAATGCAGGAGTGTTGTGCAGCAAAACACTCTTAAAGATGATATATTACGGCATAATTTCACCAAATGCTAGTTCTGCTTTGAGTATTTTGCAGAGTATGGGAAAATAGTTGCAATGGTGGCAATAGAGAGTTGGAGCATTTTTACACTTAATCATTAAACATGGAGTTATAGATATTTAAGCAGAATATCAAATGGGAAAGCAAGCTGTGTACATGAACAAGGACTATTCAAGAAAATAAATAACTCTGCAGACACCATCAGAAGCTCAGGAATGTGAACATTCAGTAAATGCTCGTGCTGGGAGGGATGTTTTATTAACGCCATGTCATTAATAGTTTCAGAAATGTCTGTAAAATATGGCTCTTGAAGTTGAGTTTTATGAAATTGAGATGTACCCGAGAAAAGTGGGAATAGCTAGAGTTTCTTTTGGCAGGAGCCTGGCAGGACAAGGAGATGCTGTGGGGTGGGAATAGCTGAGTAGGGGGCAGAAGGAATAGCATACTAGGAGTAGTGTTACCTGAAGGCAAATATGAGGAAGGAGGAGCCAGGCTCTAGGTCAAGGGAATGATCCTGCAATGGAAGTCAGGAGCATGGTCATATCTGATGGAGTCAGTGTAACTGGGTGTAGAGTGTGCACCTGGAGGAGGGTGGAGTCTTGTCCAGGTCTTCGCAGAGGAGTCTTTTAGATGGCCTGCCCTGCTCACAGTATCCATTTTAGGCTCTCCTTTTTTTGTAAAAAATAGATTTTTAACCTTTAATTCAATTAAATATGAACTATTTCAGGCATAGAAACAAGGATTAAGAGCCTAATAAACTCCTATATACACATCACTCAGCTCAGAAAATAACATAGTACACATACTGTTGAGGCCCCTGTCCAGAGGTAAGCACTATCCTGAATTTCATGTTTACCATTGCTGCTAGCATCAGAGTTCTATGACATATGTAGGTGTCAATGTATATAGTATTGTTTTACATATTAAAAATTTATTGGTCGGGTGTGGTGGCTCACACCTGTAATCCTGGCACTCTGGGAGGCTGAGGCGGGCAAATCACCTGAGGTCAGGAGTTGGAGACCAGCCTGGCCAACATAGTGAAACCCTGCCTCTACTAAAAATACAAAAATTAGCTGGGCATGGCCATGTGCACCTGTAATCCCAGCTACTCAGGGGGCTGAGGAAGGAGATTTGCTTGAACCTGGGATGTGGAGGTTCCAGTGATCCAAGATCATGCCATTGTCCTTCAGCCTGGGTGACAGAGTGAGACTCCATCTCAAAAAAATTTTTTTTAATTAAGGATATATACTTTCTGCAAAGCTCACTTATTTCTGCTCAACATTATGTTTTTGAGATTTACCCATTTTAATTGTTGCATAGTATTCCATTGAATAAATATTCCACAATTCGTTATTTATCCTCCTACTGATTGATGTATATGAGTTTTTCTAGGGTAAATGCCTAAGAGTGGAAATTCTAGACCATAGAATTTGTGCATCTAAAACTTGTCCCAATAATTGTAAGGGGCAGTTATTAACTCGTAGGAGTTATTTATTTATTCTAGACTCCAGTTCTTTATCAGTTTATACGTAACAACCAGTGGCTTCTTTTTTATTTTATGGTGTCTCTCTATAAATAGGCATTGTTTAATTTAGTTGAATTTGCTGATCTTTTGTTTTAGATTGTGCTTTTCTACCTTAGGGTTATAAAGATGTTCTTCCAAATTTTCTTAAGTTTTAAAGTTTTGATTTTTAAATTTAGTCCTCAATCCATTGAAATTTGTTGTTGTATATAAAATGTGAACTACTAAATAACATTTTAAATATGGATGACCCATTGTCCTAACACAATTGTTGAAAAGTCCATCATTTTCCCACTGATCTGTGAAGGCAGCCTGTTTCTATATATCAGTAGGTACGTTACAGCATTGAGATTCTGCACTATTTACTTGTCTATTCTAATGCCAGAACTACTAGGTATTATTTACTATAGCTTTTATAATAAATCTTAATATTAGGGTTTTTTGAAATTTAAAAACGCTATTGCTAAAAAATGCTAACATTCATCTGAGCCTTTAGCAAATCATAATCATTTAGCTGGTGGAGGGTCTTGCCTCAATGTTTGATGGCTGCTGACTGATCACAGTGGTGGTTGCTGAAGAATAGGATGGCCGTGGCAATTTCTTAAAATAAGACAACAATGAAGTTTGCCACATCGACTGATGCTTCCTTTCACAAAAGGTTTTTTTATAGCATGCAATATTGTTTGATGGTATTATACTCACCATGGAAATTCCTTCAAAATTGGAGTTAAATCTTTTAAACTCAGGGATTTTTTCTGACATAAGTTTAGATGAAGCTGAGTTGGACAGCATTTAAGTAAACATAGGTGAAAAAGGCACCAAATTATACATAGATATTTTCCTCAGAGTTTATTCTTATTTTACATATTTATCTTGATTATTATCATTTGCCTTTTGCTTTTTCATATTAACTTATGAGAGGGTTTTAAAATTCCTTCAAACACTCTGATTAAGAGTCTAACAAAGCTTGTAGTTAGAGAAGTCAATTACTTCTTCAGAAACAAAAATGTTTTGGGGCTTAAATCAACAATGAGATACCACTATATACCTATTAGAATGGCTCAAATCCAAAATACTGACAACACTGAATGCTGGTGAAGATGTGGAGCAATGGGAGATCTAATTCATTGCTGGTGGGAATGCAAAATGGTATAGCCACTTTGGAAGACCATTTGCAGTTTCTTACAAAAATAAATACAGTATACTTTTACCACAGAATCCAGCAATTGTGCTCCTTGGAATTTCTCCAAATGTGTTAAAAACTTATTTCCACACCAATAACTGCACACAGATGTTTAGAGAAACTTTATTCATAATTGCCAAAACATGGAAGCAAACAAGACGTCTTTCACAAGGTGAATGGATAAACAAATTGTATATCCAGACAATGAAATACTATTCATTGATTTTAAAAAAATGAGCTATGAAGCCACACAAAGTCATGGAAGAACTTAAATGCATATTGCTACATGAAAGAAGTCAATCTGAAAAGCCTACCTACTGTATAATTTCAACTGCATGATAATCTGGAAAAGGCAAAAATGTGGAGACAATAAAAAAGATCAGTCTTTGCCAGGGTTTTGGGGGAGGTTTGGAGGAATGAATTTTTTCAAAAATGTTATTGGAGAACTAACTTTCAGAATGAGGCAATGAGATTGAACTAGATTGAGTTGGATATCCGTATTATTTGCTTTCATAGCACCTTGTTTTCACCCAGAATATGAGATATATCTCATTCCTGTAATTAGGGGGTGAGCTTCTTGAGGGGAGTGAACAGTTTTATTTATTGTTTTATTACCAGTGGTAGTGGACAACCCAGCACTTGTTTGGTGCTCAAAACGTTTGTGAATTAATGTATAGCTCTGATGATGCAATATAATAGGAACTTATAAAGGAGATGGGAGGAAGACTACAAGGAAAAAATACATAAGATGAACGAATGCTCATTTGTCATAAACAAACAGAATAAAAATGAAACAATAAAACCAGACCTTAAGCCCCACTATATTTTCCACAGTCACACTTTATGCTTAGATGTGAAGATTTCACTTTCCTTGGATTCACCTGCTTCTATAGAGATAAATCTGCAAGTAGAGGATGTTGCCATAAGTTTGTGAGTGTGCCTTCTGGAAGGTCTCTAGGGTGGAGGCAAGCATGCTTTTCTTCCTTACAAAAATCCCCCTAATATAGCTAACTTAAAAAATGTAAGTAAACATTACATTCAAAGGAAAATAATGTAGATCAGGTGTCTAGAGGAAAACACCTGGGTGTAATTTGGTGTCATCTTCACTTATACTTAAATGTTGCCCAGGCCAGCTTATTCTAACCTCATACCAGACACTGACTCTATTTGCCACTATGACTTCTTGTTCTAGTTCTTCCCACCCCAAGCTTTTTACTATTCCCTGTCAACCCTTTTTACCCAACCCTCAACCAACCAACCAACCAGCATTATCTCACTTACAGACATCAAAGGTGCCATCAAGAGGGGGGCAGCATATGCCATTAAATGGGAAAACCTATTTTCAGAACCCTGGTTAACTAACAAGGGGTTAGTGTCCAGAAGAGATAAAGAACCCTTATGAATAAATAAGGAAAAGGAAGTCAATCCAATAGAGGAAATGGGTAAGAAAAAAAAAAACAGAAGTGCGGGCTGGGTGCGGTGACTCACGCCTGTAATCCCAGCACTTTGGGAGGCCAAGGTGGGCAGATCACCTGAAGTCGGGAGTTTGAGACCAGCCTGACCAACACAGAGAAACCCCATCTCTACTAAATATACAAAATTAGCTGGGCGTGGTGGCTCATGCCTGTAATCCCAGCTACTCGGGAGGCTGAGGCAGGAGAATCACTTGAATCTGAGAGGCAGATGTTGTGATGAGCTCAGACCGCACCATTGCACTCCAGCCTGCAAGAGCAAAACTTCATCTCAAAAAAAAAAAAAAAAAAATGAAAGAACAGAAGTGCTACTGAATACTGCCAAATGAGCCAATTAAATTGGCAGAAGCTAGAAAGACTGATAATACTAACTGCTGCCAAAGATGCAGAGCTGTGGCAACTCTCATTCAGTGCTGGTGAGCATGCATATTGGTACAACTACTCTTTTTTTATGTATTTTTATTATAGTTTAAGTTCTAGGGTGCATGTACACAACGTGCAGGTTTGTTACATATGTATACATGTGCCATGTTGGTGTGCTGCATCCATTAACTTGTCATTTACATTAGGTATATCTCCTAATGCTATCCCTCCCCACTCACCCCGCCTCACAACAGGCCCCGGTGTGTGATGTTCCCCTTCCTGTGTCCATGTGTTCTCATTGTTCAATTCCCACCTGTGAGTGAGAACATGCGGTGTTTGGTTTTTTGTCCTTGCGATAGTTTACTGAGAATGATGACTTCCAATTTCATCCATGTCCCTACAAAGGACATGAACTCATCCTTTTTTATGGCTGCATAGTATTCCATGGTGAATATGTGCCACATTTTCTTAATCCTGTCTATTGTTGTTGGACATTGGGGTTGGTTCCAAGTCTTTGCTATTGTGAATAGTGCCGCAATAAACATACGTGTGCATGTGTCTTTATAGTAGCATGATTTATAATCCTTTGGGTATATACCCAGTAATGGGATCACTGGGTCAAATGGTATTTCTAGTTCTAGATCCTTGAGGAATCACCACACTGTCTTCCACAATGGTTGAACTAGTTTACAGTACCACCAACAGTGTAAAAGCATTCCTATTTCTCCACATCCTCTCCAGCACCTGTTGTTTCCTGACTTTTTAATGATTGCCATTCTAACTGGTATGAGATGGTATCTCATTGTGGTTTTGATTTGCATTTCCTTGATGGTCAGTGATGATGAGCATTTTTTGATGTGTCTGTTGGCTGCATAAATGTCTTCTTTTGAGAAGTGTCTGTTCATATCCTTCGCCCACTCATTGATAGGGTTGTTTGTTTTCTTCTTATAAATTTGTTTGTGTTCTTTGTATATTCTGGATATTAGCCCGTTGTCAGATGAGTAGGTTGTGAAAATTTTCTCCCATTCTGTAGGTTGCCTGTTCACTCTGATGGTAGTTTTTTTTGCTCTGCAGAAGCTCTTTAGTTGAATTAGATCCCATTTATCAATTTTGGCTTTTGTTGCCATTGCTTTTGGTGTTTTAGACATGAAGTCCTTGCCCATGCCTATGTCCTGAATGGTATTGCCTAGGTTTTCTTCTAGGGTTTTTATGGTTTTAGATCCAACATTTAAGTCTTTAATCCATCTTGAATTAATTTTTGTATAAGGTGTAAGGAAGGGATGCAGTTTCAGCTTTCTACATATGGCTAGCCAGTTTTCCCAGCACCATTTATTAAATAGGGAATCCTTTCCTCATTTCTTGTTTTTGTCACATTTGTCAAAAAGATCAGATGGTTGTAGATGTGTGGTATTATCTCTGAGTGCTCTGTTCTGTTCCATTGGTGTATATCTCTGTTTTGGTACCAGTACCATGCTGTTTTGGTTACTGTAGCCTTGTATTATAGTTTGAAGTCAGGTAGTGTGATGCCTCCAGCTTTGTTGTTTTGGCTTAGGATTGACTTGGCAATGCAGGCCCTTTTTTGGTTCCATAGGAACTTTAAAGTAGTTTTTTCCAATTCTGTGAAGAAAGTCATTGGTAGCTTGATAGGGATGGCATTGAATCTATAAATTACCTTGGGCAGTATGGCCATTTTCACAATATTAATTCTTCCTACCCATGACCATGGAATGTTCTTCCATTTGTTTGTATCCTCTTTTATTTTGTTGAGCAGTGGTTTGTAGTTCTCCTTGAAGAGGTCCTTCACGTCCCTTGTAAGTTGGATTCCTAGGTATTTTATTCTCTTTGAAGCAATTGTGAATGGGAGTTCACTCATGATTTGGCTCTCTGTTTGTCTGTTATTGGTGTATAAGATTGCTTGTGATTTTTGCACATTGATTTTGTATCCTGCAACTTTGCTGAATTTGCTTTTCAGCTTAAGGGGATTTTGGGCTGAGACAATGGGGTTTTCTAGATATACAATCATGTCATCTGCAAACAGAGACAATTTGACTTCCTCTTTTCCTAATTGAATACCCTTTATTTCTTTCTCCTGCCTAATTGCCCTTGCCAGAACTTCCAACACTATGTTGAATAGGAGTGGTGAGAGAGGGCATCCCTGTCTTGTGCCAGTTTTCAAAGGGAATGCTTCCAGTTTTTGCCCATTCAGTATGATATTGGCTGTGGGTTTGTCATAAATAGCTCTTATTATTTTGAGATATGTCCCATCAATACCTAATTTATTGAGAGTTTTTAGCATGAAGGGTTGTTGAATTTTGTCAAAGGCCTTTTCTGCATCTATTGAGATAATCACGTGGTTTCTGTCTTTGGTTCTGTTTATATGCTGGATTACGTTTATTGATTTTCGTATGTGGAACCATCCTTGCATCCCAGGGATGAAGTCCACTTGATCATGGTGGATAAGCTTTTTGATGTGCTGCTGGATTCGGTTTGCCAGTATTTTATTGAGGATTTTGGCATCGATGTTCATCAGGGATATTGGTCTAAAATTCTCTTTTTTTTGTTGTGTCTCTGCCAGGCTTTGGTATCAGGATGATGCTGACCTCATAAAATGAGTTAGGGAGGATTCCCTCTTTTTCTATTGATTGGAGTAGTTTCAGAAGGAATGATACCAGCTCCTCCTTGTACCTCTGGTAGAATTCGGCTGTGAATCCATCTGGTCCTGGACTTTTTTTGGTTGGTAAGCTCTTAATTATTGCCTCAATTTCAGAGCCTGTTATTGGTCTATTCAGAGATTCAACTTCTTCCTGGTTTAGTCTTGGGAGGGTGTATGTGTCCAGGAATTTATCCATTTCTTCTAGATTTTCTAGTTTATTTGCATAGAGGTGTTTATAGTATTCTCTGATGGTAGTTTGTATTTCTGTGGGATCAGTGGTGATATCCCCTTTATCATTTTTTATTGCGTCTATTTGATTCTTCTCTCTTCTCTTCTTTATTAGTCTTGCTAGCGGTCTATCAATTTTGTTGATCTTTTCAAAAAACCAGCTCCTGGATTCATTGATTTTTTGAAAGTTTTTTTTGTGTCTCTATTTCCTTCAGTTCTGCTCTGATCTTAGTTATTTCTTGCCTTCTGCTAGCTTTTGAATGTGTTTGCTCTTGCTTTTCTAGTTCTTTTAATTGTGATGTTAGGGTGTCAGTTTTGGATCTTTCCTGCTTTCTCTTGTGGGCATTTAGTGCTATAAATTTCCCTCTACACACTGCTTTGAATGTCTCCCAGAGATTCTGGCATGTTGTGTCTTTGTTCTCATTGGTTTCAAAGAACATCTTTATTTCTGCCTTAATTTCATTATGTACCCAGTATTCATTCAGGAGCAGGTTGTTCAGTTTCCATGTACTTGAGCAATTTTGAGTGAGTTTCTTAATCCTGAGTTCTAGTTTGATTGCACTGTGGTCTGAGACACAGTTTGTTATAATTTCTGTTCTTTTACATTTGCTGAGGAGAGCTTTACTTCCAACTAGGTGGTCAGTTTTGGACTAGGTGTGGTGTGGTGCTGAAAAGAATGTATATTCTGTTGATTTGGGGTGGAAAGTTCTGTAGATTTCTATTAGGTCCACTTGGTGCAGAGCTGAGTTCAATTCCTGGATATCCTTGTTAATTTTCTGTCTTGTTGATCTGTCTAATGTTGACAGTGGAGTGTTAAAGTCTCCCATTATTATTGTGTGGGAGTCTAAGTCTCTTTGTAGGTCACTCAGGACTTGCTTTATGAATCTGGGTCCTCCTGTATTGGGTGCATATATATTTAGGATAGTTAGCTCTTCTTGTTGAATTGATCCCTTTACCATTATGTAATGGCCTTCTTTGTCTCTTCTGATCTTTGTTGGTTTAAAGTCTGTTTTATCAGAGACTAGGATTGCAACCCCTGCCTTTTTTTGTTTTCCATTTGCTTGTTAGATCTTCCTCCATCCTTTTATTTTGAGCCTATGTGTGTCTCCGCATGTGAGATGGGTCTCCTGAATACAGCACACTGATGGGTCTTGACTCTTTATCCAATTTGCCAGTCTGTGTCTTTTAATTGGAGCATTTAGCCCATTTACATTTAAGGTTAATATTGTTATGTGTGAATTTGATCCTGTCATTATGATGTTAGCTGGTTATTTTGCTCGTTAGTTGATGCAGTTTCTTCCTAGCCTCGATGGTCTTTACTTTTTGGCATGATTTTGGAGTGGCTGGTACCGGTTGTTCCTTTCCATGTTTAGTGCTTCCTTTAGCTCTTTTACGGCAGGCCTGGCGATGACAAAATCTCTCAGCATTTGCTTGTCTGTAAGGTATTTTATTTCTCCTTCACTTATGAAGTTAGTTTGGCTGGATATGAAATTCTGGGTTGAAAATTCTTTTCTTTAAGAATGTTGAATATTGGCCCCCACTCTCTTCTGGCTTGTAGAGTTTCTTCCGAGAGATCAGCTGTTAGTCTGATCGGCTTCCCTTTCTCTCTGGCTGCCCTTAACATTTTTTCCTTCATTTCAACTTTGGTGAATCTGACAATTATGTGTCTTGGAGTTGCTCTTCTCAAGGAGTATCTGTGGCCTTCTCTGTATTTCCTGAATTTGAATGTTGGCCTGCCTTGTAGATTGGGGAAGCTCTCCTGGATAATATCCTGCAGAGTGTTTTCCAACTTGGTTGCATTCTCCCCATCACTTTCAGGTACACCAATCAGACGTAGATTTGGTCTTTTCACATAGTTCCATATTTCTTGGAGGCTTTGTTCATTTCTTTTTATTCTTTTTTCTCTAAACTTCTCTTCTGGCTTCATTTCATTCATTTCATCTTCCATCACTGATACCCTTTATTCCAGTTGATCGAATCGGGTACTGAGGCTTGTGCATTTGTCACTTAGTTCTCATGCTGTGGTTTTCAGCTCCATCAGGTCCTTTAAGGACTTCTCTGCATTTGTTACTGTATTTAGCCATATGTGTAATTTTTTTTCAAGGTTTTTAACTTCTTTTCCATGGGTTCGAACTTCCTCCTTTAGCTCAGAGTAGTTTGATCATCTGAAGGCTTCTCTCAACTCATCGAAGTCATTCTCCATCCAGCTTTATTCTGTTGCTGGTGAGGAGCTGCATTCCTTTGGAGGAGGAGAGGCGCTCTGATTTTTAGAGTTTCCAGTTTTTCTGCTCTGTTTTTTCCCTATCTTTGTGGTTTTATCTACCTTTGGTCTTTGATGATGACGACATACAGATGGGGTTTTGGTGTGGATGTCCTTTCTGTTTGTTAGTTTTCCTTGTAACAGTCAGGACCCTCAGCTGCGTGTCTGTTGGAATTTGCTAGAGGTCCACTCCAGTCCCTGTTTGCCTGGGTATCACCAGCGGAGGCTGCAGAACAGCGGATATTGGGGAACAGCAAATGATGCTGCCTGATCGTTCCTCTGGAAGTTTTGTCTCAGAGGAGTTCCCGGCCGTGTGAGGTGTCAGTCTGCCCCTACTGCAGGTTGTCTCCCAGTTAGGCTACTTGGGGGTCAGGAACCCACTTGAGGAGGCAGTCTGTCCATTCTCAGATCTCCAGCTGTGTGCTAGGGAATCACTACTCTCTTCAATGCTGTCAGACAGTGATGTTTAAATCTGCAGAGGATTCTGCTGCCTTTTGTTTGGCTATGCCCTGCCCCCAGAGGTGGAGTCTACAGAGGCAGGCAGGCCTCCTTAAGCTGAGGTGGACTCCACCCAGTACGAGCTTCCCAGCGGCTTTGTTTACCTACTCAAGCCTCGGCAATGGTGGGCGCCCATCCCCCAGCCTTGCTGCCACCTTGCAGTTTGATCTCAGACTGCTGTGCTACCAGTGAGCAAGGCTCCGTGGGCGTAGGACCCTCTGAGCCAGGCGTGGGATATAATCTCCTGGTGTGCCGTTTGCTAAGACCATTGGAAAAGTGCAGTATTAGGGTGGGAGTGACCTGATTTTCCAGGTGCCGTCTCTCACTGCTTTCCTTGACTAGGAAAGGGAATTCCCTGACCCTTGCACTTTCCGGATGAGGTGATGCCTCGCCCTGCTTCGGCTCATGCTCGGTGCGCTGCACCCACTGTCCTGCACCCACTTTCTGACACTCCCCAGTGAGATGAATGCAGTACCTCAGTTGGAAATGCAGAAATCACCTGTCTTCTGCATCGCTCATGCTGGGAGCTGTAGACTGGAGCTGTTCCTATTTGACCATCTTGGCTCCACCCTCCAATAATGAGAAATCATTTGATATCATTGTATAACGGGCAGAGTTGGTATAAGAATTTTCCTTAACACTGGTTAAACATTGAGAAATTTGAAAATAAAACTTGAACTTTTTGTGGTAGACAGAAAAATAACCTCAGCTTTATTAGGCTTATGGAAAGCCAGTTTGAGAATTTATATTCCAGACAAAATCCACTGGTTGGGTCAAGTGCAGTTTAACTGTATGTCATGAACAGATCTTTTCCTTGGTTATTTACTTTAGATTTTGAGAGAAATTTCTCAATATGACATGAGGAATGGTTTGGCTACAGGAATAAAAGGAAATAGTATTAAATTTCCTGCAGAGGAGAATTACAGTTAGACAGCAGTGACATCCTCAGAATTAGGATTTGAGGAAAGTGCACGAGTCAAAATATCCTGAGTACTCAGATTTAGAAATGGCTGAATGAAAGCAGTGAGTAGAAGAATGACCTGGGAGCATCCCCTTAGTGTTTCAGTGATCCTTGAAGCTGGGCTAAATCTGGGGAAGCAGCAGGGGCCTTGAATTACTCAAAGAATTTGGCTTTGGCTTTGACTTTTGTCCTGAATGTACAGGTTAAAAGGACACACAGTCATACCACTCTCCAAGATAATATTATTATCAAAATGTGTAATATAATTTTTGTTTCAGAAGCAAGTAAATGGGGAGGTCAATGTGGGTTAGTGTTTTTAGGAGAAGCTTCTAGTTAGGATAATAGACTGAAAATAAGTTACAAAATCATCCATCTCTAATACTTCACACAATTAGCAAAAATAAATACCAAATAGCAGGAAGAAAATCATCCACAACAACCAAACAAAAAGAGGCATAAGGTAATACAATCAACCACAGCCACCACCATCAACAAGCTTGGCACCTGAGGAAGAAGCAAAAGGCTCTTGTATTCTTATGCAGACAGAACAGCAGAGCAACGTAAGTTCTTAACCTCCATGCTCCAGAAAGCATACAAGTGAGTCTGCTAAACTCTGACAATACTGAACTGTCAGAAAAAATTGTGAAGTTCTTTGAAATAGATTTTAAAAAAAGAAAAACCATTAAAGATTTTACTTACTGTCCTGTCTAGTGCTGTCTTCCAGGTTATCTCTGCCTTTCACTGTTTTTGAATTACATTACAAGTCTATAATTTGTAGGGAAGTGATAGTAATGCAAATGCTTTTTTTCTGTAAAAGTATTTTTCCAGAAATGTCCAGTGCCATGCAATTGATTATTGCCTTGTGGATTCTGACCAGTTTCACTAGGTTTTGTATCTATGTATAAATTCATTTTAGCATTTCTTATCTGCCTGTATGTAGGTGATATTTTGAATTCTAATTTGAACAGGTATATATATATATATATATATATATATATATATATATAGAACATAGAAGACATTATTTATATTTGGGGAAACAAATTATAATCTATTGTGCTAAGAATATGGAGTGGGTAGGTTATCCAATGTGTTGGCACACAAATTCATAGTACTTTAGGTCATAGTACATTTTTATAATTCTTTTTGTTTCTGTAAATTCAGTAGTAATATTCCCTCTTGCATTTATTTTATTTTATTTTATTATTATTATACTTTAAGTTTTAGGGTACATGTGCACAGTGTGCCTGTTAGTTACATATGTATACATGTGCCATGCTGGTGTGCTGCACCCATTAACTCATCATTAAGCATTAGGTATATCTCCTAAAGCTATCCCTCCCCCCTCCTCCCACCCCACAACTGTCCCCAGAGTGTGATGCTCCCCTTCCTGTGTCCATGTGTTCTCACTGTTCAATTCCCACCAATGAGTGAGAACGTGCGGTGTTTGGTTTTTTGTCCTTGCGATAGTTTACTGAGAATGATGACTTCCAATTTCATCCATGTCCCTACAAAGGACATGAACTCATCATTTTTTATGGCTGCATAGTATTCCATGGTGTATATGTGCCACATTTTCTTAATCCAGTCTATCATTGTTGGACATTTGGGTTGGTTCCAATTCTTTGCTATTGTGAATAGTGCCGCAGTAAACATACGTGTGCATGTGTCTTTATAGCAGCATGATTTATAGTCCTTTGGGTATATACCCAGTAATGGAATGGCTGGGTCAAATGGTATTTCTCATTCTAGATCCCTGAGGAATCACCACACTGACTTCCACAATGGTTGAACTGGTTTACAGTCCCACCAACAGTGTAAAAGTGTTCCTATTTCTCCACATCCTCTCCAGCACCTGTTGTTTCCTGACTTTTTAATGATTGCCATTCTAACTGGTGTGAGATGGTATCTCATTGTGGTTTTGATTTGCATTTCTCTGATGGCCATTTTTTCATGTGTCTTTTGGCTGCATAAATGTCTTCTTTTGAGAAGTGTCTGTTCATATCCTTCACCCACTCGTTGATGGGGTTGTTTGTTTTTTTCTTGTAAATTTGTTTGACTTCATTGTAGATTCTGGATACTAGCCCTTTGTCAGATGAGTAGGTTGTGAAAATTTTCTCCCATTCTGTAGGTTGCCTGTTCACTCTGATGGTAGTTTCTTTTGCTGTGCAGAAGCTCTTTAGTTTAATTAGATCCCATTTGTCAATTTTGGCTTTTGTTGCCATTGCTTTTGGTGTTTTAGACATGAAGTCCTTGCCCATGCCTATGTCCTGAATGGTATTGCCTAGGTTTTCTTCTAGGGCTTTTATGGTTTTAGGTCTAACGTTTAAGTCTTTAATCCATCTTGAATTGATTTTTGTATAAGGTGTAAGGAAGGGATCCAGTTTCAGCTTTCTACATATGGCTAGCCAGTTTTCCCAGCACCATTTATTAAATAGGGAACCCTTTCCCCATTGCTTGTTTTTCTCAGGTTTGTCAAAGATCAGATAGTTGTAGATATGTGGCGTTATTTCTGAGGACTCTGTTCTGTTCCGTTGATATATATCTTTGTATTGGTAGCAGTACCATGCTGTTTTGGTTACTGTAGCCTTGTAGTATAGTTTGAAGTCAGGTAGCGTGATGCCTCCAGCTTTGTTCTTTTGGCTTAGGATTGACTTGGCGATGCGGGCTCTTTTTTGGTTCCATATGAACTTTAAAGTTTTTTCCAATTCTGTGAAGAAAGTCATTGGTAGCTTGATAGGGATGGCATTGAATCTATAAATTACCTTGGGCGTATGGCCATTTTCACGATATTGATTCTTCCTACCCATGAGCATGGAATGTTCTTCCATTTGTTTGTGTCCTCTTTTATTTCATTGAGCAGTGGTTTGTAGTTCTCCTTGAAGAGGTCCTTCACGTCCCTTGTAAGTTGGATTCCTAGGTATTTTATTCTCTTTGAAGCAGTTGTGAATGGGAGTTCACTCATGATTTGGCTCTCTGTTTGTTTGTTATTGGTGTATAAGAATGCTTGTGATTTTTATACATTGATTTTGTATCCTGAGACTTTGCTGAAGTTGCTTATCAGCTTAAGGAGATTTTGGGCTGAGACAATGGGGTTTTCTAGATATACAATCATGTCATCTGCAAAAAGGGACAACTTGACTTCCTCTTTTCCTAATTGAATACCCTTTATTTCTTTCTCCTGCCTAATTGCCCTTGCCAGAACTTCCAACACTATGTTGAATAGGAGTGGTGAGAGAGGGCATCCCTGTCTTGTGCCAGTTTTCAAAGGGATTGCTTCCAGTTTTTGCCCATTCAGTATGATATTGGCTGTGGGTTTGTCATAGATAGCTCTTATTATTTTGAGATACGTCCCATCAATACCTAATTTATTGAGAGTTTTTAGCATGAAGGGTTGTTGAATTTTGTCAAAGGCCTTTTCTGCATCTATTGAGATAATCATGTGGTTTTGTCTTTGGTTCTGTTTATATGCTGGATTACATTTATTGATTTGCATATATTGAACTTGCCTTGCATCCCAGGGATGAAGCCCTCTTGATCATGGTGGATAAGCTTTTTGATATGCTGCTGGATTCGGTTTGCTAGTATTTTATTGAGGATTTTTGCATCAATGTTCATCAAGGATATTGGTCTAAAATTCTCTTTTTCGGTTGTGTCTCTGCCCAGCTTTGGTATCAGGATGATGCTGGCCTCATTAAACGAGTTAGGGAGGATTCCCTCTTTTTCTATTGATTGGAATAGTTTCAGAAGGAATGATACCAGTTCCTCCTTGTACCTCTGGTAGAATTCGGCTGTGAATCCATCTGGTCCTGGACTCTTTTTGGTTGGTAAGCTATTGATTATTGCCCCAATTTCAGAGCCTGTTATTGGTCTATTCAGAGATTCAACTTCTTCCTGGTTTAGTCTTGGGAGGGTGTATGTGTCCAGGAATTTATCCATTTCTTCTAGATTTTCTAGTTTATTTGCGTAGAGGTGTTTGTAGTATTCTCTGATGGTAGTTTGTATTTCTGTAGGATCAGTGGTGATATCCCCTTTATCATTTTTTATTGCATCTATTTGATTCTTCTCTCTTTTCTTCTTTATTAGTCTTGCTAGTGGTCTATCACTTTTGTTGATCCTTTCAAAAAACCAGCTCCTGGATTCATTAATTTTTTGAAGGTTTTTTTGTGTCTCTATTTCCTTCAGTTCTGTTCTGATTTTAGTTATTTCTTGCCTTCTGCTAGCTTTTGAATGTGTTTGCTCTTGCATTTCTAGTGCTTTTAACTGTGATATTAGGGTGTCAATTTTGGATCTTTCCTGCTTTCTCTTGTGGGCATTTAGTGCTATAAATTTCCCTCTACACACTCCTTTGAATGTGTCCCAGAGATTCTGGTATGTTGTGTCTTTGTTCTCGTTGATTTCAAAGAACATCTTTATTTCTGCCTTCATTTTGTTATGTACCCAGTATTCATTCAGGAGCAGGTTGTTCAGTTTCCATGTACTTGAGCACTTTTGAGTGAGTTTCCTAATCCTGAGTTCTAGTTTGATTGCACTGTGGTCTGAGACACAGTTTGTTCTAATTTCTGTTCTTTTACATTTGCTGAGGAGAGCTTTACTTCCAACAATGTGGTCAACTTTGGAATAGGTGTTGTGTGATGCTGAGAAGAATGTATATTCTGTTGATTTGGGGTGGAGAGTTCTGTAGATTTCTATTTGGTCCACTTGGTGCAGAGCTGAGTTCAATTGCTGGGTATCCTTGTTAACTTTCTGTCTTGTTGATCTGTCTAATGTTGACAGTGGGGTGTTAAAGTCTCCCATTATTATTGTGTGGGAGTCTAAGTCTCTTTGTAGGTCACTCAGGACTTGCTTTATGAATCTGGGTGCTCCTGTATTGGGTGCATATATATTTAGGATAGTTAGCTCTTCTTGTTGAATTGATCCCTTTACCATTATGTAATGGCCTTCTTTGTCTCTTTTGATCTTTGTTGGTTTAAAGTCTGTTTTATCAGAGACTAGGATTGCAACCCCTGCTTTTTTTTGTTTTCCATTTGCTTGGTAGATCTTCCTCCATCCTTTTATTTTGAGCCTATGTGTGTCTCTGCACGTGAGATGGGTTTCCTGAATACAGCACACTGATGGGTCTTGACTCTTTATCCAATTTGCCAGTCTGTGTATTTTAATTGGAGCATTTAGTCCATTTACATTTAAAGTTAATATTGTTATGTGTGAATTTGATCCTGTCATTATGATGTTAGCTGGTTATTTTGCTCGTTAGTTGATGCAGTTTCTTCCTAGCCTTGATGATCTTTATAATTTGGCATGTTTTTGCAGTGGCTGGTACCGGTTTTTCCTTTCCATGTTTAGTGCTTCCTTCAGGAGCTCTCTTAGGGCAGGCCTGGTGGTGCCAAAATCTCTCAGCATTTGCTTGTCTGTAAAGTATTTTATTTCTCCTTCACTTATGAAGCTTAGTTTGGCCGGATATGAAATTCTGGGTTGAAAATTCTTTGCTTTAAGAATGTTGAAAATTGGCCCCCACTCTCTTCTGGCTTGTAGAGTTTCTGCCAAGAGGTCCGTTGTTAGTCTGATGGGCTTCCCTTTGTGGGTAACCCGACCTTTTTCTCTGGCTGCCCTTAACATTTTTTCCTTCATTTCAACTTTGGTGAATCTGACAATTATGTGTCTTGGAGTTGCTCTTCTCGAGGAGTATCTGTGGCATTCTCTGTATTTCCTGAATCTGAATGTTGGCCTGCCTTGCTAGTTTGGGGCAGCCAAGATGGCCGAATAGGAACAGCTCTGGTCTACAGCTCCCAGCGTGAGCGACGCAGAAGACGGGTGATATCTGCATTTCCATCTGAGGTACCAGGTTCATCTCACTAGGGAGTGCCAGACAGTGGGTGCAGGACAGTGGGTGCAGCGCACCGTGCGTGAGACGAAGCAGGGCGAGGCATTGCCTCACTCGGGAAGTGCAAGGGGTCAGGGAGTTCCCTTTCCTAGTCAAAGAAAAGGGTGACAGAACGCACCTGGAAAATCAGGTCACTCCCACCCTAATATTGCGCTCTTCTGACGGGCTTAAAAAACAGCGCACCACGAGATTATGTCTCTCACCTGGCTCGGAGGGTCCTATGCCCACGGAGTCTCCCTGATTGCTAGCACAGCAGTCTGAGATCAAACTGCAAGGCGGCAGCGAGGCTGGGGAAGGGTGCCCGCCATTGCCCGGGCCTGCTTAGGTAAACAAAGCAGCCGGGAAGCTCGAACTGGGTGGAGCCTACCACAGCTCAAGGAGCCTGCCTGCCTCTGTAGGCTCCACCTCTGGGGGCAGGGCACAGACAAACAAAAAGACAGCAGTAACCTCTGCAGACTTAAATGTCCCTGTCTGACAGCTTTGCAGACAGCAGTGGTTCTCCCAGCACGCAGCTGGAGATCTGAGAACGGGCAGACTGCCTCCTCAAGTGGGTCCCTGACCCCTGACCCCCGAGCAGCCTAACTGGGAAGCACCCTCCAGTAGGGGCAGACTGACACCTCTCACAGCTGGGTACTCCTCTGCGACAAAACTTCCAGAGGAACGATCAGACAGCAGCATTCGTGGCTCACGAAAATCCGCTGTTCTACAGCCACTGCTGCTGACACCCAGGCAAACAGGTTCTGGAGTGGACCTCTAGCAAACTCCAACAGACCTGCAGCTGAGGGTCCTGTCGTTAGAAGGAAAACTAACAAACAGAAAGGACATCCACACCAAAAACCCATCTGTACATCACCATCATCAAAGACCAAAAGTAGATAAAACCACAAAGATGGGGAAAAAACAGAGCAGAAAAACTGGAAACTCTAAAAAGCAGAGCGCCTCTCCTCCTCCAAAGGAGCGCAGTTCCTCACCAGCAACGGAACAAAGCTGGACGGAGAATGACTTTGACGAGTTGAGAGAAGGAGGCTTCAGACGATCAAACTACTCCGAGCTGCAGGAGGAAATTCAAACCAAAGGCAAAGAAGTTAAAAACTTTGAAAAACATTTAGACGAATGTATAACTAGAATAACCAAGACAGAGAAGTGCTTAAAGGAGCTGATGGAGCTGAAAGCCAAGGCTCGAGAACTACGTGAAGAATGCAGAAGCCTCAGGAGCCGATGCGATCAACTGGAAGAAAGGGTATCAGTGATGGAAGATGAAATGAATGAAATGACGCAAGAAGGGAAGTTTAGAGAAAAAAGAATAAAAAGAAACGAACAAAGCCTCCAAGATATATGGGACTATGTGAAAAGACCAAATCTACATCTGATTGGTGTACCTGAAAGTGACGGGGAGAATGGAACCAAGTTGGAAAACACTGTGCAGGATATTATCCAGGTGAACAGGTTTTAACACCTTATAGGTTCCTTCATTAATTAATGATTTAAATAAAATCTTTGGCATGCATTTATTTTATATCTATGTGAGTCCTGATTGTACCCTCTTTTAATAAGTATCCTTTAATATTACCAATGGTTTAGGTCTAAAAAAGATCACTGGGCATCTTTATGTTTTTTTCCCTCTGACTGGTGAGTAGTGAAAACATCTGGGAAGAAATAGATGCAATATGTAAAGTGTACTATGGAACTGATTCTTGGTGATAAAAATCAATGCTCTAAGGTCACATGTTGAACAGGGAACATGCTGGAGCCACCTCTGCAATCCTCCTTCCCCACCTCTAATTCCTCCCAGCCCCATCCCACTGCCTGCTGTCAACCTTCACACATGGAAGTAAGTGGAGTGAAACCTGGTAAAAAGCCCTTATGAAAACTCAGAAGAGAGAATGGAGCCAGGATATTGCAATAAATAAAGAACATTGCCTAAGTCATATTCTTCTCCTTCCTACCTACCATTTAATCACTGCCATTCCTTCAAATTACAGACAAGTGGATAGACTTAAAATACTCAGCTCTTAGACTGTATCCCTAAGAGTAAAGAAAAACTGGTTTCATATTTGGGGAAAAATCATAGCAGACAATCATAGCTTTTCTAGCTATGGTATTTTGCCCACATCCTTCAGAGCACTACCAGTCTACCTTTTGCCAGTATCTTTAACTCTTTTCCTTAAGGCCTCCTCTGAATTTACAGGAGGCTTCCTGACTGTGGGGTCGGGGCGGGGCAGGGGAGAGTTAGCGCTCCTCTGAGAGCCGGCCTTGACCAAATGACTGATAGCAGTTGATGTATGAGCACGTGAGCAACTTTGCTCCTTGGGTTGGATAACTTTGAGGAGCATATTTTGAGTTATTTCTCAGAATCTACCCGAGGAATTAAGCTCCAGTTGCCTCCAGTAGTGGCTAGCCTTATAGACACACCCTTTATTCAGTGACTTCCCTTCTAGCTCATTTCTCTACTCCCTGCTGGACTTTTACACTTCCCAAATAAATTACTTGCTATGGAATATTTGCCGTAGGATATGCTTCTGATTACCCAAATTAAGACAGGATTCAAAAAGCCATTCATAATATACCAAAGCACGTACAATGCCTGGCCAAAGCTGTCTAAGTGTATCAGCTAGGGTCCTAGCAAAAATGATGGCAAACTCAAAGGTTTTAACTGAAAAGCATTTAAGGAAGAAACTACTTACCAAAATTTGAATGATGTTAAGGAAACCAATAGGAGATGGAGAAGCACTGGAGACTAGCAGAGCCAGAAAGATATTTCCTAAAGAGAAGAGGAGAAAGAATTGTGCTAGTGGAGTCATGTCAGTGATGGAGCCGTGGAAGAGAGGCCACCAGGCAGAAGCTGCAACAGTAGAGGGATGTGGTCATCGTAAGACCATGGCAAGGCAGGAAAGGAGTGGGGATAAGTGCCTAGACTTTTCCCTCTTTCCATCTTCCAACCTCCTGCCAATTCTTCCTGTTGGCAGAACCCAATAAAAAGCCAGAGGGCACAGGAGTCTGCTGTGGTAATGAAATCAATGTAAGTCAGCCTCCTTGGTCACAGAGCATGTCAGAGGAGGGTATAAATGGATCTGGGCATGGTAAGAAGAAGGAAAATTATCAGCAAACTAAGTGAGTAATATCTAAATAAATGGAATGGAAACTATACAAACATTTGACAGCAAAATAAAAAAGGAAATAAGCAAGTATGCAAAAGATAGCCAATTCATTCTAAAAGAAAATATCAAGCAAGGAGCATTTGCTTTACACTATAGAACAACCTAATAAAAATTTGAATCTGATATAGAGCTCAAAAATAAGATGCTAATACAACAAAATGAGATTAAAAGAAAATTTCCAAACCCAAGGAAACAATTTGAGGATCAAATCTCAAAATAACAGAACTAATAAATGTACAGAAATGTCAAGAAACAGAATTAATATAGCTGATACTGAAAATAATGACAAGGAGAAATGAATAATCACAGATAAAGTTAATAAAAAGACAAAAAGATTAAAACAATTAGAGAAACTAATAAGTATTGAGGACAGAAAAGATCCAACATAAGAATGGCAGACATCTTTTAAGTAGAGAACACATGAAAGTAAAATAAGTATTAAAAATATGAGAAAATATCCCTACGATAAAGAATAAAAATTCTGATTGAAAATACTAATGAATTACAAGTAAATTTCATCCATAACACTCAACATGAACATATTCTAGTTGTAATGTTGTACCTTAAGGATGAAGAACACTCTAAGCATCCAGGCACAACAATCAAATCATCTACAAAGAGAAAAAAAAGTTGATTATCAGATTTCTCAATTGAATATTGCAAATTTTAGAGGCACTGGAGAAATCTCTATTCTGAGGGAAGTAAGGTGTAACTCAAGGATATTATACCAGCCAACATGTTTTTCAAGCAGAAATGCAATACCCAGATATTCTCAAGCATTGTTAGTAAAGGATCCTGAAGGAGCTGGGATTTGCGAACATCCTGATGATGGGCAATCGACAGGCTTGGAGGAGAGTAAGGAGTCTTTCTAAGGAAGAAAAGAGATCATTGGCAAAGATGTGGAGGGTGATTCTTGAAGATAGCAGGAAGACAATGATGGCTAGAATTGAGAGCATGTCTTGGTAAGTGAGGGAGACATAGTTACACAGGTAAGGTAGGCCCAAATCATGGAAGGCCTTTAAAGGCAGGATGAAAAATTATTTGTTTCAGTGGGTTAAGTGGGTTAAGAATGGGTCAGTGGAGATTCTTGGAAGGTAGATGACATATCAGTCATGTATCTCTGGTAGATAGTTATACCTATAGTTGCCATTTCCTGCAGAGCTTAGGACTATGATCAATTACTGCTTAGATTATCGCAATACTATACTACTACTACTCTGGGTGCCCAGTATATTATTTCCCTCAGTGCCTATGTAAACCAATGCAATTACAGTCTTGCTTGTAAACTTGGTGTTTAGACATGTTTGTGGACTCTTTCAAGTCATTGGATGAATTATTGTTCTGTCTTTTGTGTGCTCTCTTAAATGTGTCACCATTTCATATGTACTTTACTTACTGCTGCAGAATTCTACATGACCCCTCAGTAACCAGAATATTAATTCATCTTCCTAAGTGCTGACTTACTACCAAAGAGACGATTAAGCACTTGACTGTATGGATAAGTTAATTCTCAGTTGGCCAACAATAATAAAGTCTTTTGTATGAGTGGATTTCAGAACTTATTTTTTTCCCATTCTCAACAAGAATAAGTCAGTATCAAAACAGAAGAATGAAAAATGTATCCCTTTAATCAACAAATGTATCGTAGAGAACTCATTCTGTAGAAAGCTCTGCAAATGAGAAAGACAAGATTCCTGCTTTCAAGGGACTTGCTACCTAGTGTATCCGCAGTACAAAGAACAGGTAGTGAGGTGAAAGTGGAACAAAGGGTTATTTTAGATAGAGGAGAGGCTAGGTACTTCCAAGAGGTTGGAGGTTACTGGACTGGGAAAAACAGGTGGGATTTTTACAGGCTCAGATAAGGCTGAGGAGCAGAGTAACAGGAATCAAATTTGGTGACTGAGTGCAAGTTGAGTAAAAAATGAAAAAAGGGACCCTAAATCCCTGGTGAGGGGCCAATGCAGAGTCCAGGAGAAAGACAGAGAATAACTGAAATAGAGTTGTAGCTGTGGAAATGGACAGATGGGACAGCTACCAGCAGCAGGCGACACATTTTGGTCTGTGTAATAAATACATTTTTTACTGAGTTCAAAAAAGAGGCTTAAGATCCTCATAGATGGAGCATTGTCTTTGCAATATGCAAAGCCATCATTTGCCATTTCTTTTATTTTCATGATGAAGGGAAGAATCAGCTCTTTTATAGGAAGAACATAATTTTGAATAGTTGATATATATAATCTCAAACTAGAAATTATAAAGTGATCCTGTTTCCTTCAATAATCTTATGAAATTTAGTTTTGGTATCTCTCCCTTACATAAGGCTTTGTAAGCCTCTAAGTTTTGTTTAAAATCTGGTGAGTGAGCAAGAACTTCTGTAGCTCATTAATCTCCATGCCCATAATCTTCATAGCACAGCCTCAGAAATGTGCTGAATCCTGATATGTCTTTTGTTTCAGCTCAATGGAGCTCACAGCTGGGCCAGTGCTGTGGCAAGCTGCTGAATTGCCTGGTTTCTGTGGTAGGCAAAATCCTAAGATGATCTCCAACCTTCGAGTGTGGAAGGGACCTGTAAATATGATGGGTTATCACTCCCATGATTAGGTAATACAATATGGCACAGGTGGCCTTAAAAGAGGGCGATTACTCTGGATAAACCTGACCTAGCTAATCAGGTGAGCCTTAAAAGAGACTGGGCTCTTCCTGGAGAGCGATTGGAAGTCTGGGAAATTTGAAGCATGAGAAGATTGAATTCGAGACAGATTTGGCTCCGTTGTTGGCTGTGGACCACATGGCTAGGAGTAAGGGCAGCCTCTAGGAGTTCAGAGCATCTCCCAGGTGACAGCCAGCAAGGAAACAGACTTCAGTCCTAAAACCACAAGGAACTGAACTCTGCCACAACCACATGAGCTTGGAAGAAGCCCCGAGCTCCAGGTGCAAGTGCAGCTGACCAAGACCTTGATTGCAGCCTAGAGAAAACCTGAGCTGAGTACCCTCCATGGCATGCTTGGACTTCCAAACTACAGAATTGTGAGCTAAGAAATGAGAATTGTTTTCAGCTTCCAAGTTGGTGGTAATTGGTTCTGCTGCAGTAGAAATGAAATCAAATTCTAAATCTGAATTTTCCTGGGTTTAAGGAAATCCAGTAAATGATATTCCCACAACTACAACCAAATAATTATCTTGGAAACTAAGTAGAAGGTCTTGTCCTTGCTGCTCCAGTGTCACTGAGGGGTGGCATGACTTCTCTGTATGTCAGCTTCCTGGGTCATAAATGAAGAAGCTAGGTAAGATGGTATCTAGTTTCTCTAGCCTCAATATTCTATGATTCTCTTCTGGCCACTTCACCTATAACTGATAAAAAGAAAGCTGTTGCTACAAGAGTAATTCCATTTTCTGCTTGCAACATTGAGCGGGGAGGAGGAAGTGCACTTGCTGGAAATAATTCTGCAGTGCTTGCTGAAGATACGGTTTTATTTTTCTATCCCTACTTCCTGGTTCACTCACCTGTGCCACACTCATGAGATAGACATTGAAACCTATAGGGCCAGTACTCTGAGCAAACATTAGTACCTGTACAAATGGTTTGGTCCATCTTGGGAGATTTATGAATAGAAATAGTTTGAAAGATAAATGTGTCATGTTACAGGTCTGTTATCTCAAGCAGTTTCATCTTCATTATTTTATTTAAAACAAAACAAAGCCAAACTGCACAAAACAAGAAAATAAAAACATGTCAGTTGATCCAATAAGGATATGTTGTCTCTGCTTCATTGGCAGATGGAATATGCAATTTATTTCCAGCATATGACTCTTTCCCTGTTGCTATGGGCATAAAAATGTGTGGCATGCTTCACACACCAACTAAGTGCTGAGAAAGAAGAATGATGAGATGGTCATTGTATTGCTTCTGAAGCCAGGCGTCCTGACCTTCAATAAACTGGTTTTGTGCTGCAACTTAATAGATGGTAATGATTAAACACACTCAGTGATTCAAGTTTTCCTGTGAAGCCTGGATGAAATTCTAACTTGTAAAATCTCTATACCCGCCTCACTGTGATTGGGGACTCCTATTAACACAACAATCTGAGTCTTAGGATTTGTTTTGTTTTGTTTATTCCTCTTGTTGTATTTGAAGACTAAGAGGATATTTTTCTCTTTTGTAAACTACAGAACTTATTAAGGTTCATCATAGAGATATTAATAATGCAGACAAGCAAAAAAATTCTACAGTCCGAATTAGAGAAAAATCATTGTTCAATTCTGGATATGCCTCCTTCCGTATTTAAAAAATAAAGACATTTATTTGAATGTTGTGAAGTTGGGCACATCCAGGGTCTGTCTGTGCCACGGTACTAAATTGCCACTCTTCCACCTTTCACTTTCCCTGGCCTGTTTCCAGCGGCTTGTGACCCAGAGCTCAGAATAAACTCGTTCACCTTTCCCAGCCCACTTTTATTCAGCCATGCTCCCAGCAACCACTTTCCTCTTAAGCCAAGGGCTGACCTTCTTATCTAGTCCTTCCTCCCGCCTTTCAGTCCCTCAAAGCCTTTCCTTCCCTGCTTTCCCCTCCCAGGGCTTTTCTCTATTCACTGTATATTAAGGACATCAGTCCATGTCTGTGAATGTTGACTTGAATCATTATTTTAAGTGGTGGCATATCATTTCTTCAGATGCCTGTAATGTAACTTGTTGAGCCAATCCTACATTGTTAAACAATTTTTAGTTTTCACCGTAAAAAAAACCACTGTGATAAATGCCTTATTTGCAAATATTTGCCTTTTTTTTTGAGACAGGGTCTTGCTATGTTGCCCAGGCTGGCCTCGAACTCCTAGGCCCAAACATCCTCCTGCCTTAGCCTCCCCAGTAGCTGATGTAACCCAGAGTCCCTGGTTTTTCAGGTACCGCTGTGAAAAACTACTTCCTTGTAACTGTTGCACCGGGAGTTCTTGTTGTTTTAAATAGCTCCAAGAAGAAGTTCAGGCTCTGTTAAAAACAAACAAACAAACAAACAAAAAAAACTCCAGCTGTATCCAGAGTGGCCCGAGTCTAAGATGAACTTTTGCAAATGCTCCTCATCACTGTACTAAAAACCCCGCCCAGGAAGGAGCTCATTTGCTACGTTCTATTCATGAGACTGTGCCAGTGCTACATACAATGACTCAGCTAACCAGCCTATTAAAAATCCTGTTTTCACCTCTGTTCAGGGAGGAATTGCTTTGGGGAATTATCCCTGGTGTCCTTCTTACTTGTTGCAAATGGTAAAATCTCCTTGTTAATTAAATCTTCCTTGGTTGTGGTCATCTGACTGTCACCCGCTGAACCCTCCCCTTGTCTGGGTAACTCTGGGACTACTGGCACACACCACGGCACCTGGTTATATTTGTATCTTTGTCCAGTTATTTTCTTGGGATAAGGTACTACACATAGAGTTGCTGAGTAAACTGCTGTAATGGGTATTTGTCTTTTTTGACCATTCAGCATCTACTCACTCTCTTGTTTGGCAACAAAACTAAGCACTCTAATTCTTCGGGGGTGCCATCATCCCCTTTGTGTGTAGAATTGGTAGAATTATAACATAAATTGTCCTGCTCTCACCAGTCAAGCTAGGCCAATCAGATTATCTATTTTCTCTTGGTAGTAGTTCTTGAGGGCAATAATATAAGAAATTAAAAATATTGGGGGCTCGTTTGTTTATTCATTCTTTTATTCCATGAGGATGGTCTGATGATTTGTCCAGTTCCATTTTTTTTCCTGGACTTGGTTTTCCAACTTTCCCTTTGAGTCTGTGAACTATCCAAAATCCTTCCAACGAATTTATTTTTCACATAAGTTAGTCAAAGATAGTGTGTGTTAATTGCAACCCTAATGAAAACAAAGGAAACTAAAATTTTAAGATTTTAAAATATAAATCATCAAGCTGACTTTCCAAAATGTATCACTTTATATTCCTATCAACAATGTATTAAACCGTCCCTTCTCTCATTCCTTCCTTAAAACAGAATATTATAAAATATTTTAATGTTTTGCTGAACTGGTGAACAGTCTTTTACTTTACTGTCAGTTTTTTACTTTATGTATAGATGCTCCTAGACTTAACGATGGGTCTATGTTGTGATACTCCATTATAAGTACAGGGGCATCCTAAATGTATGTCACTTTCACACCATGGTAAAGTCAAAAAAATTTAAGACAAATCATTTGTATATCAAGGACCATTTGTATTTATCTCTACCTTTAGAAGACTTTTTGTACCCTGGGATTAAAAAATTCGAAATTCTTTTACAAAATAAGTTTTAAAAAATATTTAGATCATGAATCTCTTTGAAATGTTCTGGAATTTTGTTAGATGTAAGGCAAGGCTCTAATTCTTTCGGTGGTATTGTTGGCTATGGTGAGCCAATACTGATTCAAAGTGACTCTTTACTACCTTGACCAGCATTGGAATAGCTCGTCGTTTTCCTTTTGCCAACAAGCTGAGTCCAAAGACATCTGTTACTTTACCTTACTTTCTATTATGCAGATTTTTTCATATTCCCTTTTTCCTACCAAACTTATTTAAGATTTAGGAACACATATTTTAAAACCACTATTATATTTTAGTTAATTTTATCTTTACCTTTTAGAAGTTTCCACTTTGTGTATTTCAACACCATGTGATTTTTAAAGTAAATATTCATAAGTTATTTTCATTGTGGATTATATACTCCTTGTCCCATTTAATTTTTTTCTTTGAATATTGATATTAATTTTATAATACCGTGTTTCTTTTTTTAATCTTAATTGTTTTTGACCCGCCAGGTTTTTACATTGTTTTAATTTGTTTGATTTCCCTTGTCTTAGATAAATCTCCATATATAACATATAGTTTCAGCGATTTCACTTTTTATAGGCAAGTTTATCCTACTTGCATTTATTGTTATATTATGTGTGTTTGGCTTTGCATGTGCTATCTTTACTTATATTTCCAGTTTTACTATTCCTTCTCTTTTGATATGTAGTCTCTGATTTCTTCACGTTTTTACCCTCTTCCCTTCTCTTCCTTTCCCAGTTAGAAGATAAAAGCATATGCTTTTTATTCTCCTCGAAATTTTCTATGTATCTTTCAAATAAATTTATAAGTCTTTATAAGTCTGTGTTTCCTCATCTGCCAACTTTTGAAGTAAAGTTATATTTTCTGTCAGCCCTCAAGACAAATAATAAATAGATACTTTTTGTTTTTTCTTTTTGAGATGGAGTCTCCCTCTGTCACCCAGGCTGGAGTGCGGTGGCGCAATCTCGGCTCACTGCAACCTCTGCCTCCTGGGTTCCAGTGATTCTCCAGCCTCAGCCTCCCGAGTAGCTGGGACTACAAGCACGCACCACCACACCCAGCTAGTTTTTGTATTTTTTTTTTTTTTTTTTTTTTTTTGAGACGGAGTCTCGCTCTGTCGCCCAGGCCGGACTGCGGACTGCAGTGGCGCAATCTTGGCTCACTGCAAGCTCCGCCTCCCGGGTTCACGCCATTCTCCTGCCTCAGCCTCCCCAGTAGCTGGGACTACAGGCGCCCGCCACTGCGCCCGGCTAATTTTTTGTATTTTTAGTAGAGACGGGGTTTCACCTTGTTAGCCAGGATGGTCTCGATCTCCTGACCTCATGATCCACCCGCCTCGGCCTCCCAAAGTGCTGGGATTACAGGCGTGAGCCATAAATAGGTACTTTATATTATTACCCCTGCCTTTTCCCTTCATTGTGTTGGCATTTAAAAAAATTTTTGATCTAGTCCATTATCCTCAAACTGTTCTTATTTTTACATTATGTAGCGGTTTTTTAAAGAACTATAGCAATTACATTTTGTTCTATAACTCTTGTTAGCATGGTGATTTAGACTCAACTGAGTGGTCATCAACAGTCTTTTTACATTATGCCTCTTCCAATTGTGAGTTTTAAATTTCGTTTTATTTTTCAATTGGCTTTTTTTCCCCTTGATATATGAATGACCTAGGAATACCACATTTTGGATAAATTCTTTTTCTCCACAACACTTAGTGGACAGTTCTTCAGTTAGCATAATTAATTGCTAATTAATTAATTCTGCTCTCCAGCTACCACCTCCTCTGCCTGGAAGGTGTCCTTGCTTTTCTATCACAAAGCTTGTGGAATTGCTTTTTATCTTTTAGTTTCTGTAACTTCTTGAACTTTATGGTTCCTTACCGATTTTTTAATAGGGAACTCTCTCTTTTGGGTTGTATCCATTTCTTGTCATTATGAACAGTGTTTTTATATACATTTTTATACATGCTTCCTGAATATATTTATATAAAATTTTCTCTAGGATATATTTTTTGGAGTAGGATTCCTGAGTTTTATGGTATGCACATGTTCCACTTCACCAGGTAATGCGAAATTATTTTCCAGAGTGTTTAGCCAATTTCCATATAATACCAGCTGCATGAAAGGATTCCTATTGATGGGTCCAGATTCAGGGCAGGAGCAAGTATTATTCAAGCAGAGAATCAGTACAGGTACTTGTGCTCATAAAATCACTGGAATAACTAGGGAAACAAAAGTTAAGCCTGCCAGTGGAATAGTGAATTCAAGAGCACAGTACCATAGCTGAAATGCAAGGGACAGAAGCTGCTGTTGCTGTATATTGCAACCCTGAGTCTGGCTGCCACATCTGTCTTTAAGTGCTCACACTTCTATGGGCTGGCTTGCAAGCAATAACAGCAGAAGGAAGATGGCCTCTGCTTCATTTTACCTTCCAAAACTTGTTCAATACACCTATTAAACAACTGTACTTTTCTCTCTTGTTATTTTTTCCTCTCAGAAGAGGTTTTGCTCTTCCTTTCTTTTCTATATATATATATATATATTTCCCAATTCTTGGTTTTAATTAGGATTATTTCTGGCCCATCTCCCTGTCCTACCACGGAGGCCCAATGTTTAGTCCACCACTTTCTACCCTCCAAAATGTACAAAATATCTAGGCTAAAAAAATTTTTAATCAAAACAATTTATAAACCAATTAACGGTTTATAAAGTTAATTTAGTACAGTTTGACCAGCATTAAAAATGAAATAAAGGCTGGGCATGGTGACTCACCCCTGTAATTCCAGCACTTTGGGAGGCTGAGGCGGGAGGATTGCCTGAGCTCAGGAGCTCGTGACCAGCCTGGGCAACATGGTGAAACCCCGTCTCTACTAAAATACAAAAAATCAGGCAGGCGTGGCGGCAGTGCCTGTAATCTCAGCTACTTGGCAGGCTGAGGCAGGAGAATTGTTTGAACCCGAGAGGCAGAGGTTGCAGTGAGCCGAGATCACGCCACTGCACTCCAGCCTGGGTGACAGAGCGAGACTCCATCTCAAAACAAACAAACAAACAAATAAATAAATAAAAGAAAAATGAAATAAAATCGTATAGGAGAATATAAAAATAACAGTTTATCACATATAGTATATTCTTACATAAGTGTATTTTTTGACACCAATTATATACATACATGCAGTAGGTATGGATTTATATGTATTAGTTTTCTATTGCTGCCATAACAAATTACAAATTTAGTGGCTTAACATAAAAAGGAATGAATTAATGGCATTCTCGGCAACCTGGATGGAATTGGAGACTAGTATTCTTTTTTTATTTTAATTTTTAAAATTATACTTCAAGTTCTAGGGTACATGTGCACAACGTGCAGGTTTGTTACATATGTATACATGTGCCATGTTGGTGTGCTGCACCCATTAACTAGTCATTTACATTAGGTATATCTCCTAATGCTATCCCTCCCCCCTCCCCCTACCCCACAACAGGCCCCGGTGTGTGGTGTTCCCCACCCTGTGTCCAAGTGTTCTCATTGTTCAATTCCCACCTATGAGTGAGAACATGTGGTGTTGGTTTTCTGTACTTGTGATAGTTTGCTCAGAATGATGGTTTCCAGCTTCATCCACGTCCCTACAAAGGACATGAACTCATCATTTTTTATGGCTGCATAGTATTTCATGGTGTGTATGTGTCACATTTTCTTAATCCAGTCTAACATCGATGGACATTTTGTTGGTTCCAAGTCTTTGCTATTGTGAATAGTGCCACAATAAACATACGTGTGCATGTGTCTTTATAGCAGCATGATTTATAGTCCTTTGGGTATATACCCAGTAATGGGATGGCTGGGTCAAATGGTATTTCTAGTTCTAGATCCCTGAGGAATCGCCACACTGACTTCCACAATGGTTGAACTAGTTTACAGTCCCACCAACAGTGTAAAAGTGTTCCTATTTCTCCACATCCTCTCCAGCACCTGTTGTTTCCTGACTTTTTAATGATTGCCATTCTAACTGGTGTGAGATGGTATCTCATTGTGGTTTTGATTTGCATTTCTCTGATGGCCAGTGATGATGAGCATTTTTTCATGTGTCTGTTGGCTGCATAAATGTCTTCTTTTGAGAAGTGTCTGTTCATATCCTTTGCCCACTTTTTGATGGGGTTGTTTGATTTTTTCTTGTAAATTTGTTTAAGTTCTTTGTAGATTCTGGATATTAGCCCTTTGTCAGATGAGTAGATTGCAAAAATTTTCTCCCATTCTGTAGGTTGCCTGTTCACTTTGATGGTAGTTTCTTTCGCTGTGCAGAAGCTCTTTAGTTTAATTAGATCCTATTTGTCAATTTTGTCTTTTGTTGCCATTGCTTTTGGTGTTTTAGACATGAAGTCCTTGCCCATGCCTATGTCCTGAATGGTATTGCCTAGGTTTTCTTCTAGGGATTTTATGGTTTTAGGTCTGACATTTAAGTCTTTAATCCATCTTGAATTAATTTTTGTATAAGCTGTAAGGAAGGGATCCAGTTCCAGCTTTCTACATATGGCTAGCCAGTTTTCCCAACACCATTTATTAAATAGGGAATCCTTTCCCCATTTCTTGTTTTTGTCAGGTTTGTCAAAGATCAGATGGTTGTAGATGTCTGGTATTATTTCTGAGGGCTCTGTTCTCTTCCGTTGGTCTATATCTCTGTTTTGGTACCAGTACCATGCTGTTTTGGTTACTGTATCTTTGTAGTATAGTTTGAAGTCAGGTAGCGTGATGCCTCCAGCTTTGTTCTTTTGGCTTAGGATTGACTTGGCAATGCAGGCCCTTTTTTGGTTCCATATGAACTTTAAAGTAGTTTTTTCCAATTCTGTGAAGAAAACCATTGATAGCTTGATGGGGATGGCATTGAATCTATAAATTACCTTGGGCAGTATGGCCATTTTCACAATATTTATTGATTCTTCCTATCCATGAGCATGGAATGTTCTTCCATTTGTTTGTGTCCTCTTTTATTTCATTCAGCAGTAGTTTGTAATTCTTCTTGAAGAGGTCCTTCACATCCACATCCCTTGTAAGTTGGATTCCTAGGTAATTTATTCTCTTTGAAGCAGTTGTGAATGGGAGTTCACTCATGATTTGGCTCTCTGTTCATCTGTTAATGGTGTATAGGAATGCTTGTGATTTTTGGACATTGATTTTGTATCCTGAGACTTTGCTGAAGTTGCTTATCTGCTTAAGGAGATTTTGGGCTAAGACAATGGGGTTTACTAAATATACAATCATGTCATCTGCAAGCAGGGACAATTTGATTTCCTCTCTTCTTATTTGAATACGCTTTATTTCTTTCTCTTGCCTGATTGCCCTGGCCAGCACTTCCAATAGTATGTTCAATAGGAGTGGTGAGACACCCTTGCCTTGTGCCGGTTTTCAGAGGGAATGCTTCCAGTTTTTGCCCATTCAGTATGATATTGGCTGTGGGTTGGTCATAAATAGCTCTTATTATTTTGAGTTACGTCCCACCAACACCTAGTTTATTGAGAGTTTTTAGCATGAAGGGCTGTTGAATTTTGTCAAAGGCCTTTTCTGCATCTGTTGAGATGATCATATGGTTTTTGTCTTTGGTTCTGTTTATATGATGGTTTATGTTTATTGATTTGCGTATGTTGAACCAGCCTTGCATCCTAGGGATGAAGCCCACTTGATCATAGTGGATAAGCTTTTTGATGTGCTGCTGGATTAGGTTTGCCAATATTTTATTGAGGATTTTGGCATCGATGTTCATCAGGGATATTGGTCTAAAATTCTCTTTTTTTGTTGTGTGTCTGCCAGGCTTTGGTATCAGGATGATGCTAGCCTCATAAAATGAGTTAGAGAGGATTCCCTCTTTTTCTATTGATTGGAATAGTTTCAGAAGGAATGGTAGCAGCTCCTCTTTATACCTCTGGTAGAATTCGGCTGTGAATCTGTCTGGTCCTGGACTTTTTTTGGTTGGTAGGGTCTTAATTATTGCCTCAATTTCAGAGCCTGTTATTGGTCTATTCAGAGATTCAACTTCTTCCTGGTTTAGTCTTGGGAGGGTGTATGTGTCCAGGAATTTATCTATTTCTTCTAGATTTTTCTAGTTTATTTGTGTAGAGGTATTTATAGTATTCTGTGATGGTAGTTTGTATTTCTGTGGGATCGGTGGTGATATCCCCTTTATCATTTTTTATTGCGTCTATTCTTCTCTCTTTTCTTCTTTATTAGTCTTGCTAGCGGTCTATCCATTTTGTTGATCTTTTCAAAAAACCAGCTCCTGGATTCGCTGATTTTTTGAAGGGTTTTTTGTGTCTCTATCTCCTTCAGTTCTGCTCTGATCTTAGTTATTTCTTGCCTTCTGCTAGCTTTTGAATGTGTTTGCTCTTGCTTCTCTAGTTCTTTTAATTGTGATGTTAGGTTGTCAATTTTAGACCTTTCCTGCTTTCTCTTGTGGGCATTTAGTGCTATAAATTTCCCTCTACAGAATCCCAGAGATTCTGGCATGTTGTATCTTTGTTCTGGTTTCAAAGAACATCTTTATTTCTGCCTTCATTTCGTTATGTACCCAGTAGTCATTCAGGAGCAGGTTGTTCAGTTTCCATGCAGCTGAGCGGTTTTGAGTGAGTTTCTTAATCCTGAGTTCTAGTTTGATTGCACTGCGGTTTGATAGACAGTTTGTTGTAGTTTCTGGTCTTTTACATTTGCTGAGGAGTGTTTTACTTCCAACTACGTGGTCAATTTTGGAATAAGTGCGATGTGGTGCTGAGAAGAATGTATATTCTGTTGATTTGGGCTGGAGAGTTCTGTAGATGTCTATTAGGTCCACTTGGTGCAGAGCTGAGTTCAATTCCTGGATATCCTTGTTAATTTTCTGCCTCATAGATCTGTCTAATGTTGACAGTGGGGTGTTAAAGTCTCCCATTATTATTGTGTGGGAGTCTAAGTCTCTTTGTAGGTCACTCAGGACTTGCTTTATGAATCTGGGTCCTCCGGTATTGGGTGCATATATATTTAGGATAGTTAGCTCTTCTTGTTGAATTGATCCCTTTACCATTATGTAATGGCCTTCTTTGTCTCTTCTGATCTTTGTTGGTTTAAAGCCTGTTTTATCAGAGACTAGGATTGCAACCCCTGCCTTTTTTTGTTTTCCATTTGCTTGGTAGATCTTCCTCCATCCCTTTATTTTGATCCTATGTGTGTGTCTGCACATGAGATGGGTCTCCTGAATACAGCACACTGATGGGTCTTGACTCCTTATCCAATTTGCCAGTCTGTGTCTTTTAACTGGAGCATTTAGCCCATTTACATTTAAGGTTAATATTGTTATGTGTGAATTTGATCCTGTCATTATGATGTTAGCTGGTTATTTTGCTCGTTAGTTCATGCAGTTTCTTCCTAGCCTCAATGGTCTTTACAATTTGGCATGATTTTGGAGTGGCTGGTACCGGTTGTTCCTTTCCATGTTTAGTGCTTCCTTTAGCTCTTTTAGGGCAGGCCTGGTGGTGACAAAATCTTTCAACATTTGCTTGTCTGTAAAGTATTTTATTTCTCCTTCACTTATGAAGCTTAGTTTGGCTGGATATGAAATTCTGGCTTGAAAATTCTTTTCTTTAAGAATGTTGAATATTGGCCCCCACTCTCTTCTGGCTTGTAGAGTTTCTTTTGAGAGATCTGCTGTTAGTCTGATGGGCTTCCCTTTGTGGGTAACCTAACCTTTCTCTCTGACTGCCCTTAACATTTTTTCCTTCATATCAACCTTGGTGAATCTGACAATTATGTGTCTTGGAGTTGCTCTTCTCGGTGAGTATCTTTGTGGTGTTCTCTGTATTTCCTGTATTTCCTGAATTTGAATGTTGGCCTGCCTTGCTAGGTTGGGGAAGTTCTCCTGGATTATATCCTGAAGTGTATTTTCCAACTTGGTTCCATTCTCCCCGTCACTTTCAGGTACACCAATCAGACATAGATTTGGTCTTTTCCCATAGTCCCATATTTCTTGGAGGCTTTGTTCATTTCCTTTTATTCTTTTTTCTCTAAACTTCTCTTCTGGCTTCATTTCATTCATTTGATCTTCCATCACTGATACCCTTTCTTCCAGTTGATCGAATGGACTACTGAAGCTTGTGCATGCATGATGTAGTTCTCGTGCCATGGTTTTCAGCTCCATCAGGTCATTTAAGGTCTTTTCTATGCTGTTTATTCTAGTCAGCCATTGATCCAATCTTTTTTCAAGGTTTTTACCTTCCTTGGGATAGGTTTGAACATCCTCCTTTAGCTCGGAGAAGTTTGTTATTACCGATCTTCTGAAGCCTTCTTCTCTCAACTCGTCAAAGTCATTCTCCATCCAGCTTTGTTCCATTGCTGGCGAGGAGCTGTGTTCCTTAGAAGAACAGACACTCTGATTTTTAGAATTTTCAGCTTTTCTGCTCTGGTTTCTCCCCATCTTTGTGGTTTTATCTACCTTTGGTCTTTGATGATGGTGACATACAGATAGGGTTTTGGTGTGGGTGTCCTTTCTGTTCGTTAGTTTTCCTTCTAAGAGTCAGGACCCTCAGCTGCAGGTCTGTTGGAATTTGCTGGAGGTCCACTTCAGACCCTGTTTGCCTGGGTATCACCAGTGGAGGCTGCACAACCACACATATTGCACAATGGCAAATGTTGCTGCCTGATCATTCCTCTGGAATCTTTGTCTCAGAGGGGCACCCGGTCGTATGAGGTGTCAGTTGGCCCCTACTTGGAGGTGCCTCCCAATTAAGCTACTTGGGGGTCAGGGACCCACTTGAGGAGGCAGTCTGTCTGTTCTCAGATCTCAAACTCCATGCTGGGAGAACCACTACTCTCTTCAAAACTGTCAGACAGGGAAGTTTAAGTCTGCAGAAGTTTCTGCTGCCTTTTGTTCAGCTATGCCCTGCTCCCAGAGGTGGAGTCTACAGAGGCAGGCAGGCCTCCTTAAGGTGCGGTGGGCTCCACCAAGTTCGAGCTTCCCAGCTACTTTGTTTGCCTACTCAAGCCTCAGCAATGGCGGGCACCCCTCTCCCAGCCTCGCTGCCACCTTGCAGTTTGATCTCAGACTGCTGTGCTAGCAGTGAGCAAGGCTCCATGGGCATGGGGCCCTCCGAGTCTGGTGCCGGATATATTCTCCTGGTGTGCCATTTGCTAAGACCATTGGAAAAGTGCAGTATTAGGGTGGGAGTGACCCAATTTTCCAGGTGCCATCTGTCATGGCTTCCCTTGGCTAGGAAAGGGAATTCCCCGACCCCTTGTGTTTCCCGGGTGAGGCAGTGCCTCGCCCTGCTTCGACTCACGGTCTGTGGCCTGCACCCACTGTCCGACAAGCCCCAGTGAGATCAACCTGGTACCTCAGTTGGAAATGCAGAAATCACCCGTCTTCTGCGTCGCTCAGCTGGGAGCTGTAGACTGGAGCTGTTCCTATTCAGCCATCTTGGAACCTGGCTTTTTTTTTTTTTTTTTTTTTTTTTTTTTTTGAGATGGAGTCTCACTCTGTCGTCCAGGCTGGAGTGCAGTAGCACAATCTCAGCTCACTGCAAGCTCCGCGTCCCAGGTTCACGCCATTCTCCTGCCTCAGCCTCCTGAGTAGCTGGGACTACAGGCGCCTGCCACCACACCTGGCTAATTTTTTGTATTTTTTAGGAGAGATGGGGTTTCACCATGTTAGCCAGGATGGTCTTGATCTCCTGACCTCATGATCCGCCTGCCTCGGCCTCCCAAAGTGCTGGGATTACAGGCGTGAGCCACCGTGCCCGGCCGAGGAGTCTTGTATTCTAAGTGAACTAACTCAGGAATGGAAAACCAAACATCCTATGTTCTCATTCATAAGTGGGAGCTAAGCTATGAGAATGCAAAAGCATAAGAATGATACAATGGACTTTGGTGGCTCCAGGGAAAGGGTAGGAGGGGAGTGAGGGATAAAAGACTACAAATTGGGTTCAGTGTATACTGCTTGGGTGATAGGTGCACCAAAATCTCACCAATCACCACTAAAGAACTTACTCATGTAACCAAATACCCCTGTTCCCCAAAAACCTATGGAAATTAAAAATAAATTTAAAAAATAAAAAAATTTTAGTGGCTTAAAACAGCACCCATTTATTATCTCACAGCTGTGTAGGTCAAAATTTCCAATTCCCATAAATACCAGCTGCATAAAAGACTTCCTGTTTATGGGTACGGTGTGGTTCAGTGGAGTCCTCTGCTTAGAGTGCCACAGTATTGAAATAGAAGTGCCAGGCAGGCTGTATTCCTTTCTGGGAGTTCTAAGAATGAATCCACTTCCAATATCACTCTTGCTATTGGTAGAATTCAGTTCCATGTGGTTATTCTACTGAGGTCCTCATTTCCTTGCTGGCTGTCAGCTCAGGATATATAGCTTTCGGAGGCCACCCACAATCTTTGGCTCATGGCTCGTTTTCTCTGCCTTCAAAGCTAGCAGTGGACGAGAATGAGATGAAGTGAGTCAATTAGAGTACAAAATTAAAAGAGGCACTCACTTATGTAAGTGCATTTGCAGGACTCTGAAAGTGAATGCCTCTTTAAATTTCATATCCTGGGTATCTTATTCACCTCACTTACTCCTGACCCCACTGCAGAGTGTGTGTGTGTGTGTGTGTGTGTGTGTGTGTGTGTGTGTGTATGTGTGTGTGTGTGCGTATATTGTATCGCAAAGAATATTTTCTTTGAGTCAAAAACGTTTGGAAGACATTACTCTAGGCCAGTGGTTCTCAAATTTTAATGTGTATAAGTCACCTGGGAATCTTATTAAACTGCAGATTCTGATGTGGTAGGTCTGGGGTAGGGCCTAAGATTCTGCATTTCTAACAATGCTGCTGATTCCCAGAAAATACACTGAGGAAATTAACAAGCCCTCTAAATGATTCTGATATATGCTATAATTTCAGAACCACTCCAGTTCTCTTAAAACACTAATTACTGGACCCAGCTTCCAAAGTTATTGATTTAGTAGATTTAGGAAGACACTTAGGAAGTTGTTAGAAATACAGCCTTCTAGGTGATGCTGCTGCCACTGGTCCAGGGAACACACTTTGAGAACCACTATAGTGCTCTGGACCTCTGGGATCCAAACTTATCTTATCAGGCTGGAGTTCCTGCTTTGCTATCAGCTTCACATGGCTTATTGCAATTTCTCAACAGTGTCTTTCATTGATTTAAAAGCATATTTTAAAATATTCCTCCTTTTAAAATAGCTTAAATGATTTGAGGCTATATGACTTTGGGCTCTCTACTATTCCATATTGCTAAAAATTGAACAAAATTCACATTGCTTTTATTTGATGGTTCAGCATTTGTCTTAATTCAATTTATTTTATTGAGGTGCTGCAGGGTTCATTTAAAATTTTTCTTGGTTAGGAAGCTAAGTTGTTTTATTTTAGCTATACACAGAATGCCCTCTCTTCCCTCAAATTCAGTAAGTTTCAGGGAGGGTAAAATATAATATAGGCGTAAACTGCAGACAGAACTCAGAACATGATAGCCCAAAATATGGCATCTTGGAATACTGAGTCTTAAGCTGAAAAATTAAGAAAACTGCAGAAGCAGGAAGGTCTCTTTGACCTTCTCATGCCCCCCCTCTCTCCTCAAGCAGGCCATAGAAACTAGAATTCTTTTTTTCTTTTCTCCCCTGAAGTGGGCCATAAAACCAAGCTGACCTTCCCCTGAAGCAGGTTATAAGACCCTCATTCCAAAAGACCCTCACTCCAAACAGTCCTCCCTCTACCTGGATAAAAGGACCATCCTTATCTCTGAAGACACAGACACAGAAAAGAATATGAACAAACAGGCCTTGCTGAGTTCCCCCCAGTTTATTATCATTGCATCATCTTCCTTTTTGCCCAATCACGTTTCTTCACAACCATCTTTTTTTTTAAATCAGACTTAGCATAAAATACACAGAGATATTCCTGTTTTTTCAGATCTTCATTTCTGAGGCTTCTGTGTCACCTATAATTTATATTAAACTAACTCGTATGCTTTTATTAATCTGTTTTTTTGTTATAGGAGTCTCAGCCATGAACCTTGAGATGGTTAAGCAAAAGATGATACTTCTTCTCTCCTAGACTGCCATCTTTATCAGAAGCTCATGTCTTAATTTCTGATGGGTCTTCCTGAAAACTAAATTTTCCTTTTTAGCCTCTCTATCAAATAGATAGTAATCAGTAAATGAACATTAACTAAAATAGGGAAGGTGTTCAATAATTTTTAAAATTACAGGGGTTAAGATAAAGAATATTTTATAGCTCATCAATTATGAAACTCTAACATGAAAAACAATTCAATACACTGATCATTCTCAGGCATTCAATATATTGATCTTTAAGAGATGAAACTGAGTTCAAAGATTCCTTGTTCATCTCCATAATGCCAGTGCCTATCACAGAGCCTGATACCTAACAGACACTCAAAATGTGTGGCAAATGGATAGTGTTTGGATGAATGAACTATAGAATAGAGCAGCATTAGCAACTAGAATAAAATATTGGTTTGTCTGAATCAGACATGAGGTATATCATAACAAATTTGTTAATAATAGTAAAAATTATAAGGTTTTTGAAATTTGAAAAGAATAAAAGTTAAGGTAAAAAATAGCATCATTTTAATTCATTTACATTCTCTTTTGTTTTCTTAAGTTTAAGTATTTTGAGGGTCACCTCATTAGGAATTATTCACAATCTTCAGAATCTCTTGTCTCTTCTGCAGCTATCCATCTAGATATATATCTTGGGATTGCATCACACATGTTTTGTGAATATCATACATTGTGTTTCCATAGTAAAGCCCTTTTTAAGAAATACTGAAATATATCATCCAAATAATATATTTCATCATGTATAATAAAATAATTTTATCTAATTATTTATAATTAATGCCTATTACATTAAATAAAATGATATTTATATCAAACATTATTTTGGCCTAATAATTTATAATATAAATCACACAAGAAAACAACTACAGTTTATTTAAACATGAGTAGTAATTATTAATCATATATCATTACATAATTACAAATTCTTACATAAGTGATTAGCTCTTCAAAAGAACATTTTCCTTAAGTTTTAATAGTTTCTAAAATATTTGAACAGTTGTTTGCTTAGACATTTTTCTTTCTCAGTTTATTCTCCTTAAATCAAGACAATTACATCCACAAGCTTGTAAGAAATTTTTTATAAAGTTTTGGAAAAGGGAGGAGACGTGACATTCTCTTCTATATTATTACAGCAATTTTGAGGAAAACCTTGACAATCCAAAAAGCAAAGTGAAAAGAAAAATGAGATAGGCACATTGTTTAATATGCAACAAGCACTTTTTAATATTCTTTATACTATTGTTGGTTAATAGAACTTTTGAAGTTTTTTTTCCCCATTGAAAACCAGGATTTGAGGTGACCCACAAGATTGATTCATTTTCTGGGTCAACTGCAAAGAGGAGAGAGTATCTTACACTATTACTGAATAATAGAAGACATATGTAGTTAATGTAGAAAGTATACAAAAAATATAGTCTATCCTGGACATTGAGGAAAATACACTGGCATGTCTTCACTATGTATAACATTGACACCATCAATAATATATCACAATGATGATACGAGATAAAGTATGTTAGCCATCTAGGAGTATAGATAAGAACCCCTTCTAAGAGATCTTTCGCTATTAAAAAATAAGGTATTCTTTTGTTTGTTCTATGGAATATGTCACTGCAGGGTATTACATTAGAGATGCTTACCCACTCTGAACTTTTGTAAGGCTATTTTCTGTATTTCAGAACCACCTACATGTTTTCACTAATTTAAATAATTCTAGTCCTCTCTATATTCTTGTTTGCTACAAAATGACTCTTGAAAATGATAATTTCAGACTTTCAAGTTGTTGGTCTTATTTTATTCCAAGCTTTTATTGAATTGCTGGCAACTCAGAAGCTCCAGTATATGGTCACTTGGTACTTCAGCCCCATTGATCTTTCAAAAAATATTATATTACATCGCAGTGGGTAGTTGAAGATTTATTTAAATACAATTGTAAAGAAAGCCATCTAAACAAGCCTCCTTTCCACTTTATATACCTTGCCATTATGTAGAGCAAGTATTCTGAGAATGTAATTGGAGTACCTCTTTAAGATATCCAGTAATAATGTTACTCAACTGATTTATTTGTACATTGAAGTAGAGAAAATATCAGGACTCTCAAATATTATAGCCACCTTTAAAAGATAAAAATGTAGCCATTGTGGATATTTAGAGGAGCTGATGCAGATTCTGAAGGCAACTTCTGGAGTTCTATGCATATATTAAATAATGTTAGCATCATGGAACTAAGTGCATAACACCCCAAGGTCACTCTTTTGAAATGAACAGCACTCCTTGATGGATCAACCATAGTTCAACAAATTTCCCCTAGTTCCTGGGACTGCCTTTGTCTTTATGTTCATGGATGTTTTCTTAAGTTGTGGTGACAGGACAAGTGTGGAGAGGGAGGTTTAAGACCATGCTGAGGTAATTATTGCTGAAAAGAACTGAATTTGGTCAAAATAAGACTCACAAGCACGATCTTGATTTTTGAAATTGCCTTATGTATTTTCTGATGAACAGATTATTCCATTATCCAAGCCCAGGTCATGTGTCATCTTTTTTTCATTCATACATTTCTCCCTACCCCCATTCAATAAGCATGAGCGCCTGCTAGGGGCCAAGCACTATTCCAGGTGAAAGGGATCACCAGAGAGAAAGAAGAAAATGATATGTGCCATCACAGAGGTAATCGTACTTAAAAAATATTCTCTTATGGTAATTAACAGTTTTGTTATTTGGGCATATTTTAATCTCCTATTAGATATGAGGTGTTTTGATGTCAGCCTCATGGTCCAATTCATGAATATTTTCCCCATTGCACTTATCACAAGGTCTTACCACTATAAGACAATTAAGTGTGATGGATGAATGAATGATTACATAAACAGAGGAGTGAATGAATCAGTCTTTCTAGTCTATTATGTCTGAGCAATGCAACATAATTTTTACTCTTCTGAAATAGTATGAAATAAGCTCAACCTTTGAAATAGAGTCATATAAAATTTGGTGGCACCAAAAAGCTATTATAATAAAATTTTAAAAGTCTTCCAAATGTATTTGGAATTTCGGAATGCATTTTTGTAACCTAACATAACCAAATGAGGAAGGGAAAAAAGACTGCAAATATGTAATGATATATTTACCTAATAGACTTAACACCTATTTAGAAGAGGCCATTAATGTGTATTATAAGAGAATAATATTTTATGAAATTGCAGTAGGGAAGTTTTTTATAATTCCCTAAGTATTTCTTTTTGCATAATAATAACTCAATGAACAAAGCTTGGAAATTATCTCTGCACTTTGGTTTATTTAGAAAAGAGTTTCCTTTCATGTGTGTAAATGATCTTTGAAGAAATAAATTACACAGGTAAATATTTTTAGAAATTGAGATTAATATGAACAAAATTTAGGGAAGAGAGGAAAGAAAATGTCTATTGGAAATGTCTTCCACTGAGGCACCTTCCTTCTTTTGTGAGATGTCCATGTGGGTTTGGCATATTCCACTCTCTTCTTTAGCTTTTAATTTCTTCCTAGACTTCCTGTCCCAACATTGTCATTTTATCTTTACTTTTTTATATACCTAAATTATTTTGGTATACATTATTTTTGTTCATGAGCAGGCTCAATTACAACATTTTTTATGCAAGGTGTTTCACTTAACTGAACTTTGAAAAATGTTCTTCAGTTTCAAAAAGCATGGGGCAAGGGAAGGAGAATTTATTTCAAATTTATGGGTTTGTCCAGAAATTCAGAGGCAGAGTTACCCAATAGTAGTAAAATAGACCTATAGCTCCTCACATGTGCACACACACTTGCTTCACTCTTTCTTTCAAGAGGCAGGATAGTTAGCATAGGGGAAGGTGAATGTCGGTCACCACCACTTGCCATCAATTTGCAAGACTGATGTCTAGGGAAAAGTTTCAAATGATGGAGCTATGAAAGATGTTTGTCTTGAATCCCACAACTTTAAAAATTGTGTGTCTGTAATGTTACATACACACTGAAAAGTATATCATACATATACATATGGTTTGGAGAATGGTTATAATAAAATAAACAGCAATGTAACCCCCATGTTAAGAAATCAATAGAGTGAATAGACTCAATAGTTAAGAAATCTACCCAGTACTTCAGAAATGCCCTGTGTACTCCTCTTTTCTTTCCTCCAGCAAAGGAAACCACTGTCTGGTGTTTTGTGTTAATTACGTTCTTGGTTTTCTTTGTGGTTTTGCCACTTACTTATGTATCTCTAAACAATATATTGTTTAGTTTATTTTTGTTTTTAACTGAGTAAAAAGTGCAAACCTAGCTGCGTAAGGAAATGAGAATATTGCCACTCTTAGATGAAGGTTCCAGAGAAGGTAAGCCAAATAGAATTTCTGGGCCATGATCTGGTCTCACCTTCCTTTGGAGTTTACAAGTGCCCCTTCTGAGGAAACTGGAAAAGGCCATGAATTTGTCTTAGAAAGCATAAAGAAATTTGGCAGACAGTTGGGATAGACGTGGAACAAGATACCAAGAAGAAGCATGGCCCGAGGGAGTCGGCTGTTTTCTATTTTCTGTTTACAGCCCACAGAAGCCTAACTCCAGCTCTCAGGAGTATACTGAAGCCAAACCTTTCTACAGGATGAGATGAGAGTCCTCTGCTGATCCAGGCATACGGCTTAGAAGGGACAATGGGAACCTCATTAGCACATGGGCCAGTTCTCCTGAGTGTTCTGTTCCTTGGTTTAAAAGATAGCAGAATTTTAGCGGGAATCTTAGTGATGACAACCCACATCATATTGAATAACACTTTTGTAACCTATATTAGAAGCTTGAAGTACAGTGAAGTCTTCATCTCTAGAAAGAGATACCTGTTGGCCTGGCGCGGAGGCTCACGCCTGTAATCCCAGCACATTGGGAGGCTGAGGGGGGCGATCACGAGGTTAAGAGATCGAGACTGTCCTGGTTAACAGGGTGAAACCCCGTCTCTACTAAAATATACAAAAAATTAGCCAGGCGTGGTGGTGGGCGCCTGTAGTCCCAGCTACTGGGGAGGCTGAGGCAGGAGAATGGTGTGAACCCGGGAGGCGGAGCTTGCAGTGAGCTGAGATCGTGCCACTGCACTCCAGCCTGGAGGACAGAGCGAGACTCCGTCTCAAAAAAAAAAAAAAAAAAAAAAGAAAGAGAGAGAGAGAGAAACCTGTTATAACTCTTAAATGACATTTCTCCATCTCTGAAAATACTTAAACATCAAACAGGTAGTACATTGGCCTTCATACAGAATCGAGAAAGATCCAGTAAGATCTCATGCAAGCCTGTCTCTCCAACCTCATATCTCACCACCTTCTCTGTGCTGTAACCATGCTCAAATATTTGCACTGCTTGGAACACATCCTGTTTTTTTAATACCTCTTTGTTCTGTTCATATTGTTCTTGTTTCAGGGCTCCCTTCCTGCCTAATTTCCCTGGCAAACTTCTCATCCTTTAAGACTCTTATCTGTCTTATATGGGAATTATTCCTTCAGCCTCCTAGGTGGTACTCATCTCTGTGTTCCCACAATACTTTTCACTTATCACTGGCGTAACCTTATCAAGTTGTATTTTAATCGTTTTTCAACCTGCATATTCCCCCCACTTTCTGTGAGCTTCTTAAGATCAATGACTGCAACTCATACATTGTTTAACCATAACTGTATACCATTATCACATCTAAACATTAACAATAATTCCTTATTGTCATCGAATGTCTAGTGTTCAAGGTTCTCTGATTATCTCATACTTCATTTTTATTTGTTAATATAGGATTCAAATAATGTCCATATATTGTAATTGGTTGATATGTCTCTCAAGTCTCTTTTCATCTCTAAGCTACTCTTCCATTTCCTTTCCTTTTCTTTATCTTAAAATGTATTTGTTGAGGAGCTGGATATCTTTCTTTAGAATTTCCATTGTCTTTCCCATGAAGTCATTTATTATGCAACTCTAACTTTTTTATTTCCTCCAAACTGGTAGTTAGATCTAGAAACTTGATCAAGCGTGAACGTTTTTGGCAAGACTTCATACACAATGTTGTTTAATTCCATTAAGAAACACCTATAACCTGTTTATTTCTCATTTGTGATGTTAGTATTGATTGATGACTATTGCCTACATCTATTAGTTCATAGGGGCTGTAAAATAGTGATATTCTAATTCTTACATTTTTGTCTTCATTTGTTAGCTGGAATACTTCTATATAGAGAAATTTTTAACAGCTTATTTACTAAAGGCAGGATAAATGCTTGAATCCTTCCCTTTATTCACTACAATTAAAAATAACGAGTTGGTTCTCTGGCAAAAGACTAAGATTTGTTTTCTCTGGGCAGTTAATGCTTAGTACAATGACTAGCACATAAAAGGAATGTCCTAATAGTATGTTATATGAGTGAATAGAGTCAATAAATTAATACACAAGTTAAGTGAATGATTGAATCACACTGATTGTACACAACCCTATACATACAACACATAGCAGCCCTGTAAATGGCTGCTTCTTAAGACAGAGAGATCTGGAGGTCCTTAGCAGACTGATGTTCAGACATTCCAGGCCCCAGTCATGCCCACTGAGTGCTGCATGGTCCCAAGTAGGATGGGGGAACTGGCTTCTCGTAGCCCCACTGCAAGGTTCTGTAGCACTGGATTGCTGCCTAATTGGTTCTGCCTTCCATACTGATAATCAAACTCTGCACTGGCTTGTGCACATCTCCTACTAAGACATTTCTTAGGCATGCCATGGATATGTCAGTGTACAACTATTGATTTTTAGTACAGTTATAGAGTTGTGCACATCTCCACAATTTTAGAACATCATCTCAAAAGGAAACACTGTAGCTTTAGCAGTTACCCCCCATTTCCTTCCCACTGGCAACCACTAATATATTTCTGCCTCTATGGATTTGCCTATTCTGGACATTTTATATAAGTAGAATAATATGTACTCTTTCTTGACTGGCTTCTTTCACCTAGCAAAACATTTTCAAAGTTTATCTATGTTGCAGCATTTATCAGTATTTCATTTATTTTTATTGCAGGATAATATTATTATCATATGGATGTACTGAATTTTGCTTATTCATTCATCAGTTTATGGACATTTGGGTTGTTTTCACCTTTTCTCTATACGAATAATACTGCTATGAACATTCTTGTACAGGTTTTTGTGTAGACATATGTTCTCATTTCTCTTGGTTATATACCTAGAAAGGAAATTTCTGGGTCATATGGTAACTCTTACGTTTAACATTTTGAGGAACTGCAAACTGTTTTCCAAAATGACTGCACAATTATGTATTCCCAAATGCAATGTAGGCGGTTCCCAATTTTTCTACATTTTTACCAACACTTGTTACCTGTCTTTTTTATTATAGCCACCCTAGCATGGGTGAAGTGGCATCTCATTGTGAGTTTGGTTTACCTTTCCCTAAGGGTTAATGATGTTGCTTTTCATGTGCGTATTGGTCATTCTTTGGAGAAATGCCTGTTTAGATATTTGCCCATATTTGTCCCTTATCAGATATGTGATTTTCAAATACTTTCTCCTATTCTATGGGTTGTCTTTTCACCTTGTTGATAGTGACCTTTGACACAGAAAAGCTTTTAACTTTGGTAAGGTTTAGAAAAATTTATCTAATTTTTGCTTTTGGTGTCATATCTATGAATGCTTTGCTAACCCAAGCTGCAAAGATTTACTCCTGTGTTTTATAGTTTTAGGTCATACTGAAGGTCTGTAATCCATTGGAGTTAATTTTTGTGTATGGTGTGAGGAAGGAATCCTCCATCATTCCTTCACTTGTGGATATCTAGCTATCCCAGTACCATTAAAAAAGAAGACCATTCTTTCCCCCATTGATTGCTTGACCATGCTTGCTAAAAATCAGTTAACCATAAAATGCAGTTTTATTACTGATCCTCATTTTGATTGCAACAGTCTATATGATTGACCTTATACCAGAGCTGCACTGTCTTGATTATTGCAGCTTGGTATTAAGTTTTGACATTGGTAGGTATGAGTCCTCCAAGTTTGTTCATTTTCAAAATAGTTTTGGCTATTGTGGGTCACTTGGTTTATTACAAGAATTTTAGTATCAGCTCATCAATATCTCCAAAAGGTAGCTGGGAGAGAGCTTTGAGACCCACCTTCACCTTTAATATGTTATTGAGGTATATTATAATGATAAGCTTTCTAATGTTGCATCTCTGGGAAAGCCTTATTTAATCTTTTTTGTGTGTAATATTTTATAACATATAAAACATGTAAGTATATAATATGTACATATATTATAAAATTATTATATGTTATACATTGTTTACATAGCTTATATAATAGCATATACATAGATTTGTTATTTCTATTATTTGTTTCTATGGTCACAAGTGGGGATGGCCTACAATTTTCTGTTCTAGAGTCCTTCCTTTGGTTTTATATCAGGGTTAGGCTAGTCTTATTAAATGAGTTCAGTAGTTTCTTTTAGGTGTAGACTGACCTCATTAAATGTGTTGGAGAGTTAACTTGCCCTTATTTTCCTATTTCTGAAACAGTTATTAAAGATGGAAAAGTTCATTACTTTCATTCTTAGAGTTTTAGTTGGAATTATCTATTAAATGATCTGGGCTACTGCCTTTTAGATGTCAGTGTGGGTTAGGAGGTGTAGTTAATGAGTGTATAATGAGCTATAAATACTTTCATTTTCAGTGGGCTATTTTAATACTCTAATTTTGAAGAATAATAATTTCTAATAACCAAAAATTATACTTTCATACATTCATTGGTGTAGAATTTTGTATAGCAGTATCTTAAACATTTTTCCAACTCTTGTGTATATATAGCTATTTTTTGTCAATGTCAAGTTTTATCTTATCTTTTTTCAATAGCTTTCCAAAGTTTATCTCTTTAAAATTATTTCTTTCATTTTTTTTGTCCTATTGTTCAATTATCTGAAAATTCCACATATATATTTTAAAGTATGTCTATTTGGTAAAGATTTTTCCTTCTCAGTTTTATTAAGGTATAACTGACAAATAAAGATTGGATATATTTATGGTATGCAACTTGATGTTTTGATATATGCATACCTTGCAAAATCATGAAATCAGGCTAATTAACATATCTCTCACCTCACAAACTTTTGTTGTGTGTGAGATAAGAAAATTTAAGATCTATATTTTTAGCAATTTTCAATATGCAATAGGTTATTATTAACTGTAGCCACCATGCTCTGCAAGCTCAATGCTTCAGAACTTATTCACCCTGTCTAACTGAAACTTTTTTACCCTTTGACCAACATCTCCACATTCCTCTTCCCTTCCGCCAGCCCCTGGCAACCACCATTCTACTCTCTGCTTCTATGAGCTTGACTTTTCAAACTCCACATATAAGTGAGATCATGTAGTATTTGTGCCTGGCTTATTTTACTTAGCATAATGTCTTCTAGGTTTATCCATGTTGTTACAAATGATCAGATTTCCTTCTTTGAAAAGATTGAATAGTATTTCATTGTGTGGAGGTGTGTGTGTGTGTGTGTGTGTGTGTGTGTGTGTGTGTGTGTGTTGCATTTTTTTTATCCATTTACCTGTCAGTGGATGCTTAGTTTGATTCCATATCTTGGTAATTGTGAAGAATGCTGCAATAAACATAGGAATGCAGGTATATCCTCAATGTACTGATTTTATTTTTTAAAATATATATACCCAGAAGTGGGATTGCTGGATCATATAGTAGTTCTGTTTTTAAAGTTTTGAGGAATCTCCATACTGTTTTCCATAATAGTTATACTAATCTACATTCCCACCAATAGTGTACAAAGTTTTCCTTTTCTCCACATCCTTGCAACTTTTGTTGTATTTTGTCTTTTTGATAATAGCCATTCTAAGAAGTGTGAGGTGAGAGTTCACTGTGGTTTTTATTTGCATTTCCCTAATGATTAGGGATGTTAAGGATTTTTTCATATGTCTGTTGTCCATTTGTATGTTTTCTTTTAAGAAATGTCTGTTCTCATCTGTTGCTCATTTTAAAATTGGGTTATTCATTTTCTTGCTATAAGGTTGTTTGGGTTCCTTATATTTTTTGAATATTAACCCCTTATCAGATGTATGACTTGCAAATATTTTTCCCCTTTTGTTGGTTGTCTCTTCACTTTTGTTTTCTTTGCTGTGCAGAAGCTTTTCAGTTTGATACAATCCCATTTGCCCATTTTTTATTTTGTTGCCTGAGCTGTGGGAGTCATATCCAAAAAGTAATTTCCCAGACCTATGTAAAGAAGCTTTTCCCCTATGGTTTCTTTTAGTAGTTTTATAGTTTCAGGCCTTACAATTAAGTAAGTTATCTATTTTCAGTTGAGTTTTACAGATGGTGCAAGAAACCAGTCTAATTTCATTCTTTTGCATGTGTATATTCAGTTTTCCCAACACCACTTACTGAAGAGACTGTCCATTCCCCATTGTGTGTTCTTGCTGCCTTTGTTGAAGGTCATTTGACTGTAAATGTGTGGATTTCTTCTGGGCCTTCTATTCTGTTCCATTGGTCTATATATCTGTTTTTATGCCAGTACTGGGATGTTTTGATTATTATACCTTTGTAGTATATTTTGAAGTCAGGTAGTGTGATGTCTTCAGTTTTGTTCTTTTTGGTCAAGATGCTTTGGCTCTTCATGATTTTTGTGGTGCCATACAAATTTTAGAATTAAAAAAACTTTCTGTAAAAACCTCATTGGAATTTTAATAGGAATTTCATTAAATCTGTAGATCACTTTGAGTAGTACAGGCATTTTTATGATATTAATTCTTCTAATCCATGAAAATGATATTTTTCCATTTATTCTTTTCATCTTCAATTTATTTCATCAATATTTTGTAGTTTTCAATGTAGAAAACAATGTAGAAACTCCTTGGTCAAATTTATTTCTAAACATTTTATGTATTTTTAAAATGCTATGATATATAATATTATTTTCTTGATTTCTTTTTTGGATAGTTTGTGGTTAGTGTACAGAAATGCTGTTGATTTTATAGCTGATCTTGTATTATACAACTTTACAGAATTGATTGGCTCCAAGAGTTTTTTTGGTGGAATCTTTATAGTTTTCTATGTATAAGGTCATGTCATTGGCAAAAAGGGAAAAGTTTACTGCTTTCTTTTCAATTTGGTTGCTGGTTATTTCTTTTTCTTGCTTAATTGGTTTGGTTAGGGCTTCCAGTACTATACTGGATAGGAGTGGAAAGAGTAGGCATCCTTGCTTTGTTACTAATCTTGGAAAGCTTTCAACTTTTTACTGTGGAGTATAATGTTAACTGTAAGCTTGTCATGTGTGGCCTTTATCATGTTGAGAAACATAACAAAAAGAATATTAGTATATTCTTTATGTAGTTGTTGAAAGTTTTAATCATAAAAGGATGTTGAATTTCTCAAATGCTTTTTCTGCATCTACTGAAATAATCATATGATTTTTATCCTTCATTCTATTAAATCACATCAACTGATTTGCATATGTTTAGCCATCTTTGCAACCCAGAGATAAATGCCACTTAATCATGGTATATGATTTCTTTAATGTGCTGTGAAATTTGGCTTGCTAGTATTTTTTGAGGATTTTTGGGGTTCATTAGGGATGAAGATTCTTGATTGCATATGTCTATTTGTCTTAATTCTCTATATGTCTATTTAATTCCTCTTGCACTTGCTTACTTTTTGACTGAAAAAGTGTGACTTTTTCATAGCTATTATTTACACATTTTTAATACTTTAAAATATTTTGATTGGCATATATATACACCCTTCTTATAATAGAATGGCTATTATCTAAAAGACAAAATACAAGTGTTGCAAGGATGTGGAGAAAAGGGAAACTTTATACACTATTGGTGAGAATGTAGATTAGTACAACTTATGGAAAACAGTATGGAGATTCCTCAAAAATGTAAAAACAGAACTACTATATGATCCAGCAATCCCATTTCTGGGTATATATATATTTTAAAAAATGAAATCAGTACATTGAAAAGATACCTGCATTCCTATGTTCATTGCAGCATTCTTCACAATTCCCAGTAAAAAAATATATATATATATGTATATATACATATATATATATACACACAATTTTTAAAAATCTTTTTGGTAAAGTTGAGACCTTGCTATGTTTCCCGGGCTAGTCTCAAACTCCTGGACTCAGGCAGCCCTTTTTCCCTGGCTTCCCAAAGTGCAGGGTTTACAGGTGTGAGCCACTGTTCTCAGCCTGCTTTATATATTTTGACTCTACCTCATATTCATAAAGGTTCAGTGCTGTTACGTGTTCTTAGTAGATTATTCCTTTTATCAATATTAATAATCATTTTTTATTTCCTGGAATTTTTACCAGGAAAATTTTTTATTGACTTGTATGACAGTAAAATTGCCATATAATCATTATGTTAGTATTTGGCAGATTTTTAAAATATCCCTTTATTTTTTAACATTTTTCTATTTTTTTCAGGTTTGTCTTTTGGTAAATAATAAATAGCTACATTTTTTATCTTTTTAGCAACCTGACATCTCTGTCTTTTAATAGGTCTAATAAACCTACTCATATTTATGCAAATATAAATGTTTAGTTAGGTTTGTTTGTTTGTTTGGTTTTTTGAGACGGAGCTTTGCTCTTTTTGACCAGGCTGGAGTGCAATGGCACAATCTCGGCTCACTGCAACCTCTACCCGCCAGGTTCAAGCAATTCTCCTGCCTTAGCCTCCCAAGTAGCTGGAATTACAGGCATCCACCACCACACCCGGCTAATTTTGTATTTTTAGTAGAGACGGGGTTTCACCATGTTGGCCAGGCTGGTCTCGAACTCCTGACCTCTCAGGTGATCCGCCCACCTCGGCCTCCCAAAGTGCTGGGATTACAGGTGTGAGCCACCACGCCTGGCCTAGTTAGTTTTTTAACGAAGATTTTAAAAAAGCTTTCTTTCCTTCTGTTGATTAGATTGTGCTTTGCAACATTTTCCTTCTTCTGTTTTGATAGTTACTTATTCATCTATTCTTTTAGTTTTAGCCTGTGTATATTTTTAACTCACACACAGAAACTTACACATTCTTTGAGAAAAAGTCTGGATTATGTCCTAGCCTCCTCAATAACACAATAAATTTAGCATGTATTCATTTCCTTTTATACTGTCCTTCCTTCTCCCCCAGCTAACTCCCATGTTGACATCTTATCAGATTTTATTTCTAGATTGTTTATTTAACACACACATACATAACTCTTCAATTTGGCAATATTTTAAAAATGATTACTTTGCTCACCATATTTCTTATAATTATTTCCTCCCGGATTTAGTTTTCTTCTTGCTGAAATAAGTCCTTAGTAATTTTTTCAAAGAAGGTGGGTGTAAAGTTTCTGAGGTCTTATATGCGTGAAAATGCCCTCAATTAGTGAAAGAAGGTGAATGACTGAATTTATTTCACTGACCCTAGTAAGATCTGGGCCCACACCTCTTTCTCCTCACTTTTCCTTTCAGACCCAAATTGGGTAACAGCTGCTAGAACCTAAGCTTCAGTCTTTCAGGACCTGAATCCTGTCTCATTATTAATACAGCCCCATACCTTCTCTGAATTGGAACAGTGGACAATTTTCAGGATATAGTGAAATATTGACTGACCTTCATCAACCTAACATGTAAATTCTTATGTTTTGTTGTTGTTGTTGTTGTTGTTCATTTGTTTTCAGAAACAGGGTCTTTCTCTGTTGCCCAGGCTCAAATATGGTAGCACAACCATAGCTCACCTTAACCTCAGACTCCTGGGCCCAAATGATCCTCCCACCTCGCTCCCTGAATAGCTAGGACTACAGGCGTGTGCCACCATGCCCAGCTAATGTTTCATTTATATTTTTTGTAGAGATGAGGTCTTGCTTTTCTAAGACCAGGCTGGTCTTAAACTCTTGGCGTCAAGCAATCCTCCCATCTCAGCCTCTCAAAGCACTGGGATTATAGGCATGAGCTGCTGCACCCGGCTAATCTAACATATAAATTCCTTAGGCTTTCTGCTCTTCAGCAGAAATAGCTATTTTGAGCTATTCTCATGTTGCAATGGTTTTAATAAGGCTTAAGTTAACAGCTTTTAGTTGGCTTTTCTTCTTCCACAAATTCATCCTCACTGTTACATGATAGTTTGGTTAAATACTGTTTTCCTTAAGAATTTTGAATATTTTGTCCCCTTATCTCATGGCTGCAATACTCATCCAGTATTGCTAGCAAGTCTGTTGTCTGCAGTGGTCAATTCCTTATTCTGGGGTTGGCACCTTCCACTGTAGCCTCTGCAATTTCCTGCTAGGGCTATGGCTTACTATTGTGGCTTCCCTTCTGCTTCTTTTTTGGGGATTTACAAAATTTCTGATCTAATAAAAATCTTTCCTGTGTTTTGCACAAATCCCAACATATGTATTAACTTCCTTAAAAATATACCTTTAAAAATCATTCATAATGATTTCGTGTTAGAAGGAGAGATTTCAGCACGTGCTCAAATTGAGACAAGATGCTCTTATTTTTGTCTGTTTGGATGGATCCATGTGAAACTATATCCCTGGGGATGTAGAGAAGGACTTTTATTGTTACTGTATACTTTCCTTTATTTGGATTTCTGCTTATTAATTTCCCTTTGATTCAAGATAATAGAGCACACGTGTTGAATATCTTCCTTCTGCGTCCCCTGCCCCACCCCACCAATGCAGCTGCCGGCTTTCTCCACATGCTCAAGAGCCCTATATGTGCTGCTTACTTGTGTAGACAGCATTCAAGGGCTCCTACTCTTCTGTTTTCCAGTTGGGTTTGCCCAGTGGGAGGTACCGACAGGAGATCAGACAGCTGGGTGGCAATGAGGATGGGATATTTATTACCTGGTCACCCCACTCTCCTCCTCCCATCCATACTTGAACACCTTGTTTTGGCTCCACTCTTTTACTGAAGGCAACTGCCATCAAGCAGCCTTTTGCATACAGGGACCCTCATTTCTTCACGTTGATCCTTCTGGCATAGGGGTAGCTGTTGCTCCCAAGGACATAGCATGGAGAACCATATACCATTACTAGCTTCTCTACATGCTGCCCATAACTTTGTAACTAGTCCCTTTATTAACCCCTTCTCAAATTAGCTTGAAAATAATTTATTTTTGCCCTGGGCCCTGACCAATGCAGAAACAAAAACAAAACAAACAAAAACCAAAGCAATAATGTATACAGGTAAGTTTATATAGTTTGGTCTTTTTGCTGTTTCATAACAGAATACAATAAGAAAGAATATAGGTGAAGAAAACTTACTTTAAAGGAAATATAGCACAAAGAGAAAGTAATAATAAATTGTTTGAGCAGAAACTTAAACTGAAGTTTCTGTCCCTTTTCCTATTTGTGTTGCTACTGGGTTTCTGGGCCTAGAGGGAAAGCAGGCATGAGTGAAGTTCCGCCAATGCATGTCTTTATGTAGCACTGTGGGATCATACCACAGAGATTTATAGAATTTCAGAGTGGGAAGGAGCCACGGGGACTATTTAGTGCAGCAATGAACAGCACAAAGCACTGCAAATTTGTGATATAGCCTGGATTTAATTTGTGAAGCAAAGATTTAAATACCACCCCATGCTGTTGCTTGTTCAGTGTGTCTAGTGACTATAAACATTTTTTATGGCTAAAATATAGAACTAATTTTCACACTGGCATTTTGAACAGTAGCTTAAAATGGGAACAGGTAACATTCACTGAATGCTCGCTGTGTGTGAGAGAGTGTGTTCAAAGCTTTACAGGCATCATTTCACTCAACCCTCAGCTGAATGCCATGTAGTGAGTACTAGTGTTATTCTAATTTTACTGATGAGGAAAATAAGGCAAAGAAAAGTTAAGGGACTCGCCCATCTTTACAAGGCCATTCATAATGTGATAGAGCCAAGATTCAAACCTGAGTAGTATGACATTGAGTCCCATGTGCTTATCCACTAAAATTGTTCCTCTTGTTACAACAGCTATGCAGAAAAACTATATATATATGTGTAAATACATATGTAAATATATATATAACAAATACTGCTTTATGTCTAACAACATACCATATATGTTCCACATTATTAAATACACCATGATGCTGCTTTAAATGACTGTATAATATTCTGTTGTTTTAGTACGTTTGCTTAATCAATTTCATTGTTAGATATTTGCTCTATTTCCCCCTCAGTTTATTTCCAATCCTGACTCCTATTATAATCTCTGACCCCAGCATTTTGTTAAGCTTCATAACCCCATCTGTAAAATGATAATAATGACGATTATTTTTGTCATTGAGTGATTAAGTACATATATAATTTTAGCTAATGATTATTTATTATAATTATTATTCAATGGAATGTTAAACATTGCTGTTGGGGAGTGGGGCTCTAGGGGATGACTCTGGTTTTCTCCATTTTGCTTACCATTATATAATTTTTCATATTTAGATGTATTGTGTACTAAGGAATATGAGTTGGAGTTTTTTAAAAAAACATTTAATTGAAAATATGTATGTTAAAATATGCTTTAGCTCTTCTCTCCTACAAATGGTTTTATTGCTCACCAACAGTCACCAGTCCAGGCTAAATTCATTTTTTTTACTTCACTGAACAGTGCTTGTCTGCATTGTTTCACCACTGGTCAATACTTCACATGCTCTATGCAATCAGAAAATGATTCCAAGGACACTTATCAATCAAAATGCACAAGCCTCCCTCTCAATGCTTGGTATTTATTCCTGACGCATGTGCTTCTATCAGACAGAGAGAGTGTTATAGGTATTAGCAATTCACAGGCACTTCTTAGAAATGCTGGAAAGGAGTTCTTATTTTTGCTGTGAGGGTGTTGCCCTATTATCAACACCTCATCTTCCTGTATCATCTTCCGACAATCTTTGTGAGAATTTGATTTGCTATCTTAATGCTAGTGAGACTCAGGCACTGATGCATTTATACCTGGGCTCTGAGCAGGGCTGAAATGGTAGTGAGCTGATGTTTTACTCAACAAGAAAATAATCAGTGAAATATATCTTTGAAATAGATTATTATCCTATTTGTAAAAAGGAATTAAAAGCATATAAAACCAGAACTTAGCCTTTACTCTTTGGAATGCAAAATGCAATTGTGTTCTTCATAAATGATCTCATGACAAGTGATTTAGCAAAAAAAGTGCATGACAGAGAAACTGCATTTTAGACAAAACCGCTTTGAACCTATTTCACCTATTAAAGGAAAGATTGCTAATTGGACATAAATGTTAATAAAAGACATGTGACAAAAATCTTCAAGATATTTTTTCTTTTATTTAAAATGTTAGCTATCACAACACATCATACAATGAAATGAAGACATTAGAATCACATTGAAACTTTTAAAAACATCTCTATATAGTCACAAAACATGAAACATGCTTCAGAGATACAAATACAGTGTAATACCAAAATCTCAGTACATTTTCACCATGAAAACAAATAGGAAAAGCACAAGACTGTCAGGAGTTTCCTTCCTTTTCCGCAGTAGCTGACACAACTGCTTCAAAGCAATGATTTTTTTTCTTTAGGGACTGTATCATTGACAGGTTTTACAATTTCATTTAACACTGTGCTTTGTTGAGAAATAACCACTTATTTCTATTTTAAGGGAGTCATCATATTGGAATTAAAACACATGTTTACAATACATATTGGCACAATATGAAAAATAAACACTTTTTGAATTTTCAACCCCAAACAATTGTTATTAAATAAATAATTATTCCTCATAGTGCATGTCTTAATTTACCTGTCATTGCCCATTGACACAAATGAAGCTGAATAAATAATGTTAGGTAGTTTATTAACGTCTTCTTTCATAATTCTGCATTGCACTCCTTTCATAAGCCACTGAAAACAAAGAAGAGATAAAGTGTTTTTTAAGTGAATTCACTGAGGGAGTTACACAACTAAAGTTCAGGGCATATAGTAATTTATTTTAAACTCATAATGACATTTTCCCTCTACAGAAGTATTTCTAAGAATGTTATCTGCACATCTTCCAATCCTGCCTCAGTCTCTATTCTGATTGGAAATGATCTAACCACAGAACTCGGTTTCATTCATCATTCATCATATACTTGGTGCCCCCAAAGCATATTTCCACAATATATTGCAGTGTTGATTCTCAGCAGCTTTCTCAAGCAGTGGCAGATACCCATAGTGAATTCTAGAAAGGACAATGCCTAAAATAACCAGGAATACTAGTAGGATAAAAACCAAATGTGGGACTTTTATTCTAGCAGAGACCATGGGCCAAATCTAGAATACCATTTGTTCTTGTAAAGAGGTTTATAGGAATACAGACACACTCATTCATTTACATATTGTCTATGGCTGCTTTGGCCTAAAATAACAGATTTGGGTAGTTGCAACAGAGATTACATGGCTCACAAAGCCTAAAATATTTATAATCTGTTTCTTTTCAGGAAAAGTTTGCTGATCTTTGTTCAAGGGGCATCTAATTGTGTAGGGGTCTCTTCCTACCTTGTGGATACCTCCCAGTGATGGACTGCCCTCAAGACTAAAAACAGCCCATTTACCATAGGTAAGTCAGTTGAGCCATCTAAATACCATACTGTTTAACTTTTCACTAGCACCTTAATGGCCTGTGAAGCATTAATTATTGCTTCCAAAGGTATTTAACATATAGCTAGCAAGTAATTTAAATACATTGATTATCTGGACAAAAAAATGCCAAAATTGTATATTATATTATATTATATTTATTATATATAATTTCAAAGGGATCTGTAACCACAAAGGGGTAAAAATCAGACTGTTGCAATAAAAGTATTTTGGGATATTTTTCATCCTTAACGAATACCTTATAGACTTAGACGTATGGTATAGTGGAACTACTATGCTTTTTGAAATTCAGTATGGCCTGTATAAAATACTGAATGTAAACAGAAAGAGTAGAAAGATCTGTGAAGGATCTGTAGGAATAATAAGTGCTACTCTAAACAGTTTCCTCAGTGAGAAGATTTGCTGACAGAGAAGACAGGTAAAGGCACCAGTATTATCACTTCCCTCTTTTAATACTGGTCTTAAACACCCAGCTATCCTTTAAGTGCGGTTAACAATAAGCTGCATATTTTACATCAATTAAGTATGCACTTGTGAGGCAGAACAGTCTGAGCCAACACTGGACAGGCGTGAGGGAAGGAAACAGTTTATTTCTCATTCTGGTTTGATTATATTAGGAACAGGATGAATGGCCCAAGTTCAGTCTCTGACAAGCTTTAGGTAACATGACTCTATTCCTCAGAGAAATTAGATGAAAGCTAATGTAAACCAACTAAAGACAGACAGTGATTTAGCTGGAACATAATGTCCTCTTACATGGAAGCAGAGTTTCTTACCTGGTCTTTGAACCCTCTGAAGCCTGATATAAATTTTTGAGTGTATGAGCTGATGAGGGTTTCTCTGGGAAAGGGCATCTATCTAGATTTATCAGATTGTCAAAGGGGTCCCTGACCATGAGTGGGTAAAGATCAGAGGGCTATAGATTAAGGCTATGATAACCTTGCCTCAATGAGGTACATAAAAAGATCCCTGATTGACTGTGGATCATATCACATTTTTTTCCACATTTCACCTATTTATATTTCCTTAACTAAAATGGAGGAACAAAGATTTAGTTATAAATTGATCCTGATTCACTACAGTGATTTTTATCACTACTTAAAATTATGTTATTATTTTAAGTACATTTAATTGTATTTAATCTGTTCTAACTTGTACAATATCTACATTTGTAAAGTTAAGCATGTTCTGAAACCTATATCAATTCTGGAAATGGAAAGTTGATGACTAATATGATTATCAAGAAAACTACAATTAAGTGAGGACTAGTATGTATTGGTACAAATAAAAGCCATTGTGGTTTAAATTTATATTTCATTTCCAAAAGTGGGAAGATAATACATATTAATAAAACAATTACAAGTTTTTCATTAAGGCACATTGATAATTTCTTACACTTTTACACTTCGGCAGCCCAAAATGACTGGTGAGAAGATGCAAAGGTAGTGTCTAAATAGAAAGTGGGGACCCAATAAGAACACTAGGAAGTCCTGTGGACTTCACCAAGAACTTCAAATTCCAGATTTATTGGAAATTTTGTATCAAAAGGTCAATTATGAAACACTTAGAACTTTTCAATTATATGAATATATTCTCTGGCTTCTGCCGTAGCCCAGATTGTGTTAACTTTTTTTTTCTATTGCGCGTTTTGATTTTTGCCCCACAGAAAGTGGTTTTATTTAATGTACCCAAGTCTTACATTTCACAATAAAGAAAAAAATCTCCATTAAAAAACACTAGGATAATTATTTTTCCTAGGATCCAGATAATTAAGGATTAAGCCAGCACATCTTATAGATTGTCTAGAAACTGGAAATATTCTAAATGGGTAAGACAGCTGCTGATTACTTTATAATTAATAACGTATTTAGTATTTTAATTCTATTTTCACTGAAGGCAAAATAGAATTTGAATAGCTTTTCCAAGAAGCCCTAGAGGTAAGAGCTATAAGGTCTTAACAAAAAGTGAGCTTCTATTAAAATGATCTAGGGGTTATTTACATTGAAATCAGTGTGATGAATGAGTTAACTAATAATGGTTTTCAGATATATGTACGTGGTATTTACAAAGAAGATGGAAATTGAAGAGAAGGAAACCTGCAGCCTTTATATCATACGAAAAAGTTGTTCAGAATTAAAATGAGAATTGTGGCATCCTTTCTCTCTAAGGAGTTTATAGCCAGAACCAATTTATAACACTCAAGGATATTTAATTGTGTTCCTTTTTGAAAGTACTGGAATAAACCGTATCACTTTTGTCCTCTCCAACATCCATCAGGATGTTTAGATTTTGAATTTCTACAACTTCATAAAAAGTGATTAATTTGCATAAAGAATTTGTTTTGTGAATTTATTTTTGTATTGGAAGATCGCCAAATGTAATGTCTTGTAAAACTTTCAAATTACTTTGATAACAAGTGAAAATCACCCTCATTCTTCCCTGCACTCCCCACTCCCCCTTAGTTCAGTAAGGTTAAACACGGCTTATTTAACAGATCTATAGGAAAGAATATAGCACTAACCCAAAGATTCAGGTTGGTAATGATTAAATGGGGCAGACACTGGTAAGAATGGTGATTGGAGAGAAATAGACAGATACTGTGGTAGTATTAGCTTAACCAGCTATAAATCCATTTGTGGTTACAAGTACAACAATTAAATTTTTCCACCATAATACTCATTTTTATATCTACCACTCCTTTTTAATATTTTAAAACTATGTCTTAGAAAAAATAGAAATAGATTTGAGATACTGTCTATTTTCAGTCATAATTTCATACATACCAGAATTTAAAGCTCTTTTGCCCATTAGTCCAACAAAGGAATCTGTTTTATGTCCTGGAAAAATACATTTAGGGGTATTTTAATATGTATATCTTTGAGGAAACAAACTATTATAACCAGAACAAAGCAAGCTTCTGAATATATGTCTGTATAATAAATATCTATCTACTTCAAGTTTTGGTGAGACTGAAGAAATAAAGATTCCTTAAAAGTTTTATAAATTACACTAAAACAATACAATGAAACCACTTTTCTTAATTCTATATTTAATATTAGCAAGCACTCTCTATTCATATATTTTATCTGTTATGTAAGGGTCTAAAATATTTTATATAAAATATTGTTATTTGAGCTAGGTTTGATTTTTTAGGAAGTCAATTTCACATTTGTGTGAGAGTGAAATATCCAAGCATAATTCCTTGTGTTATTAATAAGTTGTACTTCTCAGCAAGTAGACCTTAATTAAACCAGATTCCTTTCCTTGATGATTATAATCTTCTAAAAGGTCACTGTTTTTATTTTATTGGATATTAAAAGATACTCCTTTCAGAAAAGTTTATTAGTTTTCACATGAACAGAGTACATTTTTTATTACATAGAATTTTTATATATAATTCTCTTCAAAGTCAAATCCTTAGAAAGTAAATATGAATACTATTTATTTTTCAAAGATGAACTCTTTGGAAAGGTTACTATTTTAATGCTAGTGAGAGAATTTCTCTTGGTTTTTATTTTAATAGTTGAGAATAGAGCTGCTACGTTAATGTGGCCTGCTCTGCCACCCAATGAACCAAATCCATGACAGGGTACAATAGGTGAGTGGACAATACGATGAAGATAGACCCTTTCCACTTCTTGTCAACTCCGGTTCCATTAACTGAGAAACAAATTTAATGACCTTCACATACCACAATTTTGCCATCTTTGCTGCCCTAAGAAATGTTTTACTGATCGAGTTTTCCCATTCAATTAGGGGATTAAAAAACTGCATCTCTACCGTCTTCATTTTTAGTATGGATTCTCTACTCATGTTCACTCACTCATTCCATTTAATTGGCTGCTGGATGACCCTAATAAATGACATCATTATTGGACCAAGCATACTAAAATGAGTTAGGAGATGCCTATAAATGCTTGTGGGGGTTTCGTGTTTGTTTGTTTGTTTGTTTACAGTGAAAGTAAGCTTAGGGGGTGGGTGGCTGGGAAGAAATATGTATGGTAGATTTCTAATCCTAGGATTGAAATTCTTCTCTAAAACTAACAATTGAAGGGACTTAAAAGACATTTTTTTCTTTTTTAATATAATGCATCTCTTTGCTAAGTACAATATGTCTAAACAACCATATTCTGGATGTAATATGAATCTCCCCCATTCTTATATTGTCTTCATTAAACATATTAAGCCCTAGAGTCATGACAGAAAATAAGGTAAGATAAATAAAGTGAAATTCAATATAATTTTACATTTAAATTTGATAAATGTCAAAATAATTTTGAACTTACTTTTGTGAGAGATCTGGCCATGTCCTAGAAGAAAGATAAAATTAGCAAACACATATAGATTTGTTTTTAAAGATGCTACATTATATCTTTTATAAAATAATTTGATTCTCAAAATATGTAACATTTTCTATCTATATATTATCCTGAGGAATAAAGCAGAACCATAAATGCTAAACAAATTATTAATCATAAAAACTAAATATTTAAACAAACAAATGGAATTTTTATTAAGTGCCTTCTATGGGATTCAAACCTAGGACTATGAGACTTCTGAGGCCTCTTATTAACTATAAGACTGTAACACATCCCACCTTCAAGGCTGGCCACCCACTGAGAGAGAGAGAGAAAGAGAGAGAGAGAGACTGAGAGAGAGTGACAGAGAGAGAGAGACAGAGAGAGTGACAGAGAGAGAGAGAAACCGAGAGAGAGTGCGCAAATCCATCTCTTTATTAAACAGGCATGACCCAGATCTTGTATTTCAGCCCATAAAAGATTTTATTTCACTTTCCTACATGTGCTTTCACAATAGTAAAATAAAGATTTATAGGAATGTTTACCATAAAGAGCCTTTAACAGGGCCACTTGTTTTTCAATTGAGGAATCTGACAAGAGACGAATTGTCATTAACTACATGTTCCACTGACCGTGCGATGAATTCAAGGAAACGATATTTCTATCCCAAGACAAATGTACTCTCACCTCAGGGAATGCTATAAAATCCTCTTCCACATGCACTTGGATCATCCGCAGTACTACCCCTGGAGGCCCGTGCCTTCCCTTTGTCAGTTTGGATCTTTAGTCAAGGGAGCGCTTCACTCGAATACAGTGAGGCATGCGAACCAGATCTTTCCCTCCCCCCGCGGGCCCGTGCGTGCCTTAGTGCGGTGTGGGCCAATGTCGCGCCTGGGGAATTACACCCCTCTTGGAGTGGAAATCTCTATTCAGAGCGAGAGACCCTGGGGTACTCCAGGAAGGAGTGAGCAGACAGGGCGGGCTGCCCAAGACACCTAGGGACGGTCGCCTATCTCACCAGCATCCCGTTTGCCCATTAATCCAAAGAACTGCTGAGGCTTGGGTCTCCGGGCGATTCTCTGCAGAAGATGCTCAAAGGGCTCCGGCAGTTCCTCCTGGGAGACAAAAGCACGGACAAAGGGCGTGTAAGGCAACCAGAGCGAGGCACCCAGCAACCCGAGCCCTTCCCCCCGCTGTACTCCGGCCCCGAGGCGTGGGGAGGCGGCCTTCCCCACGCTCGGGCTGAGCGGGGTCCCTCCCGAGGCGCTGCCTCTCTGCGCCCCTCCCCGCCGAACTCGCGTCCCGCCCCCCGCAAGCCTGCCAGGGCGAGTTAGCAGCTGGCTCGGCGTCTTCAAGCTTCGAGCGCTTTCCGCTCTTTCCTCCCAGCCCGGGGACCTTCCCTCATCTGCTGCGCCGCCACCTGACTTTGTCTTGTCTCGGTGCCGGCTTTGTAGAGTCCTCACCGCCCTAAATGCACACAGGTGTGTGGGATCTGGGGCTGGGGCTCCGGTGGGGAAGGGTGACAACGCTTTACAGACGACTTTCACCGTTTTTCCGAGGCGCGCTCCCCAGCGCCTGTAGCCTACGAGTTTCTAAAGGGAGACTTCAAGCTACATCCTCAGGTCCGCAAAACAAACGTGAAGGCAGGAAATTAACTTCCCTCCAGCCTCCGGCCCTCCAATCCCCCTGCAGCTCGCGCGTGTGCCCGCTGCTGCCCGCGACCCAGGCGCCCTCCTCTGCCCGTGCCCAGACGCTAGGGCAGTGCAGCTGGACCGGAGCCCCCGAAATCCCAGGTCCTGGGGGATGAAATCTTACGAGATTTCCCGCCTTGTGAGGATCTCGGGCTCATCCGGGAGGGCATCCCTACTGCAGGGAGTTCCTGGGCCGGACGGTGCAGCCCTCGGGAAGAAACTTGAATCGTGGGCACAAAATCCCGTGGGGAACCCGGGAAATAGTGCCCCTTTCCATCCTCTCGCACGCAACCGCTGCCTCTTTCCGTGGTGGCGGTGCGTGCCACGTTAACTAGGGTGCTGTTGCGTGGGAAGGTGACAGCTCCCGAGCCCAGGAAGAAGGGTGCGGGCCGTCCTGGGAAGGGGCCTCACCTTGATCTGGTCGCTGTCGTACCAGTCGGACCAGTAATTCAGATCATCATTGGCTCCTATTTCTTCTGCAAACAGCTGAGTGGAGACAAGAAAAAAGACTGCCAAGGCCACGAGGATTTTCATGTTGGATTTCTGGGAAGGGGTAGGAGGAGAAGACACCAAAGAGAGAAATAATGTATCTATTAGGGGTGGTTATCCAAGAGTTAAAGCAACAGAATTTTCTGCCCCACAACGGATGAACCAAGATCAAAAACATAAGGACTGAAGTCTCACCTGTACCGGTTAGGCGAGAGAATCGCGTCCCAAAGATTCTCCAACCCTCTTCTCCCTGAATCCCAACTCCCCCAGCCCCCTAACCCACCAACCCACACCTTCAAACCAGGAAACTCTGCAGGTGGAAGACAAAGAGGGGCGTTGGCGTTTGGGAAGCCAGTCTCCCCACTGTCCCTCGCCGCAGCGGCGCCCCCAGCGCGGCCACCTCGGACAGATGCGGGGCGGGGTGACCCGGGCAGCCGCGGCCAGCACCGCGCGGGCACTTACTGCGACGGACAGTCCCGCGGGGTGCTGAGTTTCTCTGGTTCCTCCGAGCGCACGCTGGTCGCTCCGCACTCTCGGTAGCTGCCGCCGGGAAGGAGGTCCGAGCGCGCTCTTTCGCCTGCTCAGTGCCTTGCGGTATTTATCCCAGCCTCCTTGAGCCTCCAGACCCACGTGACATTCTCCCCACGCGACTTTCTGCTCAATATTTAATTAGCCGCCTCCTCTCCTTTCGCTTGCGTGATTGAGAGTTTCCGAGACGGTAACTCGTCGATGCCCATAACATCTGGACCCAATTGGGTTCTAAATGACGCAATTTTAGGAAAATCGAGGTCTCGCCATCCAATCCGGAGCGGCCTGCTTCCGTCTGCAGATCTGACGCCCCCTCCCCTCTCCTTCGAAACTGGGTTTCATGACACCTGATATTACTCATCAAATTTGAGCAAAGTGACTCATTCCTTGGACTTCGGTAACTTTTCCGTCCCTCGAGACGTCAGGATAAGTTGCACTTTTCAGGATGGCCAAATAACTGTAGGCATTCAGACATTTCGTCGGAAATCAGGCTAAAAAAAGAGGACTACACTTGAGGGGAGATGCGGGGAAGCATTATTTTCCCTTCTATTTCTAGCTTAATAGTATTTAAGTGTTTCTGAGACACAGCATCGTTCTATAACCAGAACATCCCTCTTCTAAATCAACGCGAATACTGGCTTTTCCTTAGCATAACAAAAGGATGTTTAGTCCCATAGTATTTTAGAAGATGGAAGCAGATTTATTTTACATTTTGGAGAAAGGGGAATTTAAACATGACATTGTGTGTCAGACTTAGGATTTCTTTTGTTTCAAGCCGGGTAACTCCTCTTCCTTGCCACATCCAGGAGCAGGGGTTGAACAGGACGTTTTTTGCTTCTCTCCTACACTTTCTTGCTGAAGACTAGGAAACCAGCAACATAGTGTGTAGGATCCTCACCCTTGTCACTAAAGGGCTCTATAAATCATGTTTCTCCTTTCTATGAAAGTAAGTGTAGTGAAGATGCTAATGGGACAGTCATTAACAGCACAAAATATTAGACAAATAGCATTTGTACAGAAACCACACCTTTCCATGAGCCCTTGGTTGCCTGGCAGACACATTTCTTTGATCTCCAAATGAATTAAAAGATGTGACATCTTTGGTGGAGTAGTTTTCTCCCCTTTACATATGAAGTATTATATTTTTCAATTAATTATGATTTTTTAGTATATTGCATAAAAGAAATAAATTTTTGCAACTCAAACCAGAAGTATTTTTTTCTCTATGTTGTTCTTAAATAATCCTGAATTTGGAAATTCTCATGCATCTCTGATTTCTTTTGGCCTTAGCCTCACAATGTGAGCATTTTATTTTCCGTTTTCAGAACTTTTATATGGAAAATTATAAGCATATCCAAAAGTAGAGAGAAACATCCACTTCCAAGTTTCATCTACAACCCTTCCAGTTTCCTCTGCACTGAGATTATTTTGAAAAAAATCCCAGACAGTTAATCATTTCAACTGTAAATATTTCAGCATGTCTGTATAAAGGTAGGAATTAAAAAAAATAAAAACATATCCACGCCATTATCCCACCTAAAACAACATAAAATAATTCCTTACATTAAATATCCAGTTAGCATTCAAATATTTCTCATTGCTTCCTAATTCCGGCCCACACAGTTTACTACTTGAAATCAGAATTATAATGAAGTCCATACATTACAATTGGTTTTGTTAGTTCAGGCTGCTGTAAGAAAGTACCATGGTCTGGGTGACGTAAACAACAGAAATTTATTTCTCACAGTTTCGAAGGTTGGAAGTCTGAGATCGTGGTGTCAGCATGGTCTGGTTGTGTTTAAGGCCCTCTTCCAGGTTACAGACTGTCATATTGTCTCCTTGTTATATCCTCACATGGCAGGAAAGAATGAGAGAGCTCTTCAAAGTCCCTTTTATCGGGGCACTGATCTCATTCATAAGAGCTGCACCATCATGATCTAATTATCTTCCAAAGACCCCACTTCCTAATACCATAACCTTAGGGGTTACGATTTCAACACATGCATTTTGGAGGGACACGAACATTCCTTCTACTGCATGTTTCTTAAATCTCCCTGAATCTGTAATTCGCTCTCTCTTTCTCTCTCTATTGTAGTTTATTGATAAGACAGGTCAGGAGAGTGTACCGCATTCTGGACTTTGCTGATTGCCTTTTAACTTGTTTCTCTGTTTCGATTATTTCCTGTTAATTGGTAGTTGTATCTAGAAGTTTGATCCTCTGTACATTTTTTTCTTTTTCCTTTTCTTTTTCTTTTTTTTTTTTTTTGATGAGACTACTTCACATGTGTTGTGTTGTTCTGGTAGGAAGCACATGATATGTGGTTGTTTCTCCTTTTGAGTTGTTAGCAGCCATTGACTATCATTTTCTAGATCTATTAATTCATTAGTATTTTCAAAACAGTGCTATGTTGATTTTATCATTCATTATTTGTCTGGTAGGCAGACTTGTTTCTTTCATGTTTCTCAGCAACTAGTTATTCTAAAGCATTATTAATATAGGAAAGATGGGATAAATGCTTGATTATGTCTCTCTACCAATTTTGAAAATAATGAATTGGTAAATTAACACCTTTTAATAAGACCCACTTTAAAAAATTAGGATTATTATGACTTCCTGGATTTAAACACATTTGACATACAGTCATCACTCAGTATGCATAGGGGATTGGCTGTAGGACCTCCTGTAGGTATCAAAACCTGTGGATGCTCAAGTCCCTGATGCAAAATGGTGTGGTATTTGAATATAACCTATGCACATCGTCTCATATATTTTAAATAATCTCTAGATTACTTATGATACTTAATATAATATAAAGGCAGTGTAAATAGTTGTTATACTGTATTATGTGGGGAATAACACAAAGGGAAAAAGTCTGTATGTGTTTAGCACGGATGCATTTTTTTCTAAATATTTATGACCTATGTTTGGTTAAATCTATAGATGCAGAACCCATGGATACAGGGGGCCAACTATATTTCAATCCATGGCAGGCATTCTTCTAATTGAAGTTCAGACCTATTCTTGGCCTGCAGGTGACTCTTCAAAGTGACTCCTGAGACTTTATGCCAATAGGCTTTGATGGCTTTTTCTTGTTTTTGGTATGACAAAATGTTTCGGGTCAAAGTTATATACGTTTTGCTTCTGACCCGAAATCTGCCTTTAAGGGGCCCTAATTTTAGAATTGAAAATGACCATTAGAGATCATAAACTGGGCTTTATTTTTACACGTTGTTAGTGAGTTCTTCATTGCTTCAAGACCTTTTCAGCAGACAGAGCTGAGAACAATGTGTGTGTGTGTGTCTCTCTGTGTGTGTGTGTGTGTGTGTATCTATAATCATGAATGTATACCGACTTTCTTTTCAAATCAGGATCTCATAGAGTTTTTAATTAACCTTTTGCATCTCTTTTTCCATACTCCAAATGACATCAACATGATTATTCATTAGCTTTATCCCAATACATGGTGCCAATATGATCAACAATATCATTACTGGAAACAGATTAAGAGTTTTTGTTTGCAGTTTTGTTCTTTTTTAATCTTTAGAGCATATCACACCAGGTATGTTCGGTCATATTACTGTGTTATAAAGTCTCTTTACAAGTTCTTTGTATGGTTATGCTACCAACTCTTACACAGGTAGATTCATTTTCTCATTCTGCTCAAGTTATAGGGATCATTTTTTAAAAGTAAGTTTAGAATTATGTAAAATACATGGTTCTAAACTCAAATATTAAAAACATTATGTGGCCGGGCGTGATGGCTCACGCTTGTAATCCCAGCACTTTGGGAGGCCGGGGTGGGTGGATCACAAGGTGATGAGTTTGAGACCAGCCTGGCCAATACAGTGAAACCCCGTGTCTACTAAAAATACAAAAATTAGCTGGGCGTGATGGCGGGCGCCTGTAATCCCAGCTACTTGGGAGGCTGAGGCAGGTTAATTGCTTGAACGCGAGAGGTGGAGTTTGCAGCGAGCCAAGATGCCACTGCACTCAGCCTGGGCAACAGAGCTAGAATCTGTCTCAAAAACAAACAAACAAACAAAAAACATTATGTATTGAAAGAAGTGTACCTTCAGTCCCTATCTCTCTGCTCTCTTATGTCTAGTAACCATTTCTTTTTAGGTTTTTGGTTTAGGCTTATATTGCTATTGTTGTTATTTTAATATAAGAAACGATGTGATAATTTCCCCCTAAATCTTGTAAAATTCTATACCTGAAGTGGGACATTTTAGAAATTTTTTTAATTTCTCAGATACTAATGTGGTTTATGGTTTATGAGGTAACAAGACAGCTACTTTATAATATCTAAACTGCTAGTTCTGTATAACCAGTTGTATAATTTTATTCAGATGCTGTATGTTGTAAATGTGCCATAGTACATAAAATAGAGGTTATTTCACAGAATTGAGTAGTAAACAATAATGAGATAAAAGGTATATCCAAGAATACATTTCCCACATTCCCCACATCATTCATTAATTGCTAACTTAGGGATCCTACTAAGACATGCACGTTTTGCACACTTTCCCTTTGAACATTGTAGAGGTTGAGATATTTGCATTCTTTATTACCTGTTTTATTTCCTAGGATAAGTTTATGAAAAAATACATATTAATAAAGTACATATGTTTAATGCATGCTAAATTCATGATTAGTAGACTGGTGAACAAGTAATTCATTAATACCTCATTTTTTATGTTGCAAATTAAATTTGCAACATAAATTAAAAACCCGGACAAAAGTAAAAAAAAAATTACTATTGTCCATTTTCTCATCACTCAAAAGGAACCACTGTTAACATCTTGGTATACTGCTTATAATATTTACTTATTTATGTATAATTATTATTGTTTTTTGAGACAGAGTCTTGCTCTGTCTTTCAGGTTGGAGTGCAGTGGCATGATCTCAGCTCACTGCAATCTGTGCCTCCAGGGTTCAAGCAATTCTCCTCAGCCTCCCGAGTAGCTGGGATTACAGGCATCCACCAACATGCCTGGCAAATTTTTGTATTTTTAGTAGAGATGGGGCTTCACCATGTTGGCCAGGCTGGTCTAGAACTCCTGACTTCAAGTGATCCGCCCCCCTTGGCCTCCCAAAATGCTGGGATTACAGATGTGAGCCACCACGCCCAGCCTGCTTACAATTTTTAAAGGGAAAAAGTCACCTGATTGTTTTTATAAAAATATTTTATGCATTTCGTACAATGTATGCATTGTACTTTGTATGCATTTTATACAATTAGAAGGATAGAGCAATAGACAAATAAAAGTTATGAAAATAGGATAAGACCCTAGTAACTATTTTTAACAAAAGATAGTTATTTATATTTTATTTGATATCAGTAGAAGAAAAACAAAACTAAAGTGAAGAATGTTTGTTCACCACAGGATTTTTTTTCATAAAAGAACTGACTAGTGCTAAAAAAGCAGGGTTTATTCATTTGGGTATATGCCAAGAGGTTCATTGCAGCACTGTTGACAATAGCAAAGATATGCAATCAACCTAAATGGACATCAATGACAGATCGGATAAAGAAAATGTAGTACATACACACCATGGAATACTATGTAGCCATAGAAAAGAACAAGATCATGTCTTTTGTGGGAATCTGGATGGAGCTGGAGGTCATTATCCTTAGCAAACTAATGCAGGAACAGAAAACCAAATACCACAGATTCTCATTTATAAGAGGGAGCTAAATGATACAAACTTATGAACACAAAGAAGGAAATAACAGACACTGGTGTCTGCTTGAGGGGGGAGGGTGGGAGGAGGGAGAGGAGCAGAAAACTACTGGGTACAGGGCTTAATATGTGGGTGATGAAATAATAGGTACAACAAACCACCGTGACACGTGTTTACCTATGTAACAAACCTCCACATGTACTCTCAAACCTAAATAAAGTTAAAAAAAGCAAGGTTTAGAGATAAACATGTAGAGGCTAGTATTAATTTGTAACATTAAAAATATATATTTATATAATATCAATTCCCTAATTTTGAAAGATGAGGATGTTAGCACTCTTAAATTTCTTCCCACTTTCCCTTTCCCCTATTTCCCAATTTTTGCAGTTACATAATTAGTTTACATTGTTCAAGTTTATAACATTCACATTCAGTATTGCTACCATACTTTTATTAGTTGTCTACTTTCACTGTATGTTTAAATACATTCCTTGTTCATTACCAGTTCTTTTAATCTCACTTTGCCATTCTTAAATTTATTTTTAATCATCTTTTATTTGACTGGATGTCATTGTCAAGAAAATTTTTCTTCTCCAAGAAGAAATAATGTGTATTGCATTTCCTGAGTTCTTTCATGCTAGTGAATGTCTGTTAGTGGTTTCTATGCTCAAATGACATCTTGATTAATTATAATATTTTTAGATTAAATTTTCACAGAACTTTATGGACATTGCTTTATTGTCTTGTGGAATTGAGTGTTATTGATAATTCTGAAGTGATACAGTTTTTCCCTGCTTTTCTGTTTCAATATCTGAAGAATTTTTTCTTTATCCTTGACATTCAATAGTTCAGCTAAGAAATATTATTGAGCATACTACCTCTAATTTTCTTGGAGTATCATGAACTTTTTTTGTTTTGTATAAGTAGGGACTTGCTCTTTAATATATTAAATTATTATCCTTCATTTTAGAGAAATTCTATTGTATAATGTCTTTGAATATATCTTGAAGTGGAATTTTTACTTCAATAATATTATGAAAATTTTCTTTGGATTCTCATATATATAATACTATAATATATATTATATTTCATGTCTATAATATTCTCCCAAATTTGCTTTAATTCTTTGTCTTTTTTATCTGCATTCATTCAGATTATCTCAGTTCTTTTCTGCCAGCAACGACTTTTGTCTATTCTGTGCCTTGCATTTTCTAATTTAGTTATCATTTCCATAATCGTGTTGCATAGTCCAAAATTTGTTCTCTAGACTGGTCATTTCCTTTATCATCTCATTTAATTTTTAAATTATTCTATTAGTATGCTCTTATTTTATTGAACTAATGTTCTTAAGGCCTTCTTAGAGTGAAGCGGGGGAATTGCATTCTATTTCCTGAGTTGCATTTTCTTCTAGTTCAGTGGTAAAATGCATGAGTTTTGAGCAAACTCTGCCAATCTTTACCGGCTTAGCCATTTGCTAGCATGTAGTCTTGCATAAGTTACTCAAGCACTCTCTGCCTCAGTTTTCTAGTCTGTTAAATACAAAAATAAACATTATCTACCTCATAAGTTTTGCTATGGGGATTAAATGAGTAAATACATGTGAAACGTAAAGAACAGTACCTAAGGGCCAGGCGCGGTGGCTCACACCTGTAATCCCCACACTTTGGGAGGCCGAGGCAGGTGGATCACCCGAGGTCAGAAGTTCAAGACCAGCTTGGTCAACTCAGTGAAACCCTGTCTCTATGAAATATACAAAAATTAGCTGGGCATGGTGGTGGGCACCTGCAATCCCAGCTACTCAGGAGGCTGAGGCAGGAAAATCGCTTGAACCCAGGAGACAGAGGTTGCAGTGAGCCGAGATTAAGCCATTGCACTCCAGCCTGGGCAACAAAAGCAAAACTTCATCTCAAAAACAAACAAACAGACAAACAAACAAACAAAAAACAGTACCTAGCACATGCATTGAATGTTAACTATTATTCTTCTTCTAGATTATTATTCTAGATGGATATGTGTATGTGCACCCTCATGTTTGTGTGTGATACTTAATTTTTTATGTCACTTTGATTAGGCTATGATGCTGAATTATTTGATTATATACATCTACATGTTCTTGTGAAGTTTTTTTTTAGATGTTATTAATATTTCAATCAGTAGACTTTGCGGAAAGTCATTACCTTCCATGATGTGGGTGGGCTTCATCCAATCAGTTGAGGGTCTTAAGAGAAAAAGACTGAGGTCCCTTGAGGATGAAGGAATTCTGTTTCCAGACTGCCTTGGGACTTAAGACCTGAAGACATCAACTTCTTGCTGGAATTTTCAGCCTGCCAGACAGCTGTGTGCATTTTAGATTTGCCAGCCTCCACAATTTGTGAGCCAGTTTCTTAAAATCAATCCCTCTTTCTCCACACACATCCTGTTGGTTCTGTTTCTCTGGAAAACTCTGACTAATACAGTATCTAATATATTTGCATAGTCTCTGGGCCATTTTCTCCATCTTGATGTTGTTTGCATGGCTCTGGGCAGACAGAGTGGGAGTGACTACTTGTGTTCCAACAATATCTGAGATTTATTTCCCCTCGTCTGAGGGCTAAGAATTTTGTGTTCAGCTTTACTTTCTTAGCCTGAGGGAGTGACAGAGGGAGCACAGGACTTGACCAAGATGCCCTGCAGTCTGAATAACTTGTCTCTGCTCTTTCCTCTGAGATTTTTGTGCAATGCCTTGTTCCATGTTAATTCCCTGGTTGGAGAGTCTATACTTCTCCTGCAGGAGACCCCATTATAATTTGATCTCTGGGTGGCCTGGGAGCCTCCTTCCATTCTTAAAGAGTCAGCTCTAGAGTGCTCTTCCCTGGCGTCACTTGTCTCCATTGCATTTAGGAAGAAAATAATGATCTGCCTACTGAGTTTTCTTTTCTCTATGTGTCACATCATTGATAATTCTCAGAATTTTGTCAACTCAAAATAAAACCTCTGGAGGGTTATGGAGGGGTTTGAAGGAAAGGGGCTCTGTGGAGCCAGGCAGTAATGACCCTCTCTGCTTCACTCCAGCATTTTGTTTCTTTCACTGGTTACTATTTTTGAAGAGTATCGTATCAATTAGACGCGACTCTTATTTGTTTGGTTGGTGATTACAGATTTTAATTTTTCTTTGAATTAACAATTTTTACCATACTTTGCAGATATGGGGGGGGGTCCTAGAATAGTGCCAGGTTTATATTATCTGACTAGTAAATGTTTGTAAAATTGTTGGATTTCATCTATACCAAGTTGGTGCACCAGTTCTTCACTGTTTTGTTGCCCCAGACTCCAGAACTTTAGAAAGTCTTCTGGAACATAGCTGTTGCTGCAAATATTACATTAACATAGTATGTTGTATGCAAGGCAAAGTCCCTTCTGTCTTTCCTGATACACTGACTTACCTTTTCGTATTATTTACCTGGGCAATCTTGCTGCTATAATCATCTAATTTTTTTCTTAATGCCTCATGGAAATTCTAACTTGCTTTATTAATTTTAGTCATATTTATATTTTTCAATTTTAATTCTTCTGTAGCAAATACACATAACATAAAATTTGCCATCTTAAGCATTTTAAGGGTACAGTTCTGTGGTATTAAGTACATTCTTATTATTGTGCAACCGTCACCACCATTTATCTCCAGAACTCTTTTCATCTTATAAAACTAAAACTCTGTGACCATTAATAACTTCCAATTACCCACTTCTGACAGCAACCACTATTCTACTTTCTGTGTTTGATTGTGATGACTCTAGGTATCTCATGCAACTGGAATCATACAGTATTCATCTTTTCGTGACTGGCTTATTTCGTCTAGCATAATGTCCATCAGATTCATTCATACCAGAATTTCCTTCCTTTTTAAGGCTGAATGGGATGCATTGTATGTATGTACGACATTTTGCTTATCCATTCATTTGTCAGTGGACACTTGGATTGCTTACATGTTTTAGCAGTTGTGAATAATGCTGCTATGAACATGGGTGTACAAGTATCTTTTTGAGACCTTGCTTTCAATTCTTTTGATTTTATATTAAAAAGTGGAATTGCTGGATCATATGCTAATTCTATTTTTAATTTTTTGAGGAACTGCTATACTGTTTTCCACAGTGGCTATGCTCTTTTACATTCCCACTAACAGTGCACGGGAGTTCTAATTTTTCTGCATTCTTGTCAACACTTGTTACTTTTGTTTCATTGTGATTTTTTTATAGTAGCCATCCTAATGTATATGAGATGGTATCTCATCTGTTTTCGATTTGCATTTCTGTAATGATTAGTGAGGTTGGGCATTTTTTCACTCTATTGACCACTTGCTTATATTCTTTGGAAAAATGCCGCTTCAAGTTCTTTGCCCATTTGTGAGACAGGTTGTTTGTTTTTTTTTTGTTGAGTTTTAAGAGCTCTGTCGACCGGGCGCAGTGGCTCACGCCTGTAATCCCAGCACTTTGGGAGGCCAAGGCGGGTGGATCATGAGGTCAGAAGATGGAGACCATCCTGGCTAACACAGTGAAACCCTGTCTCTACTGAAAATACAAAAAAATTAGCTGGGCGTGGTGGTGGGCGCCTCTAGTCCCAGCTACTGGGGAGGCTGAGGCAGGAGAATGGCGTGAACCCGGGAGGCGGAGCTTGCAGTGAGCCGAGATTGCGCCACTGCAGTCCAGCCTGGGCGACAGAACGAGACTCCATCTGGAAAAAAAAAAGAAAGAGTTCTGTCTATATTCTAGGTATTAGTCCCTTATCAGATATCTAATTTGCAAACATTTCTGCCTGTTTTGTGGTTTGCCTTTTTACTCTGTTAATAGTGTCTTTTGATGCACAACATTTAAAAAAGTTTCATAAAGTCCAGTTTGTCTTTTTTTAATTTTATTGTCTATGCCTTTGGTATCATAGTCAAGAAATCATTGCCAAATCATAGCTTTTGCTTTATGTTTTCTTTTAAGAGTTTTATAGTTTTAGGTCTTATGTTTAGGTCTTTGATCCATTTTGAGTTAATTATTTTTTGGGGAGTTAGGTAAGATCCAACTTCATTCTTTTGCATGTAGGTATCCAGTTTTCCCAGTATAATTTGTTGAAAAGAATGTCCTTTCCCCATTTGAATGGTCTTGGCATCCTTGTAAAATATCAATTGACCATATGCATTAGACTGAATGTTTTATGTCCTCCCAAAATTCATATGTTGAAACCCTAACCCCAAGGTGATAGCATTAGGAGATGAGCCTTTGGGAAGTGATTAGGTCATGAGGCTAGAGCCTTCATGGATGGGATTAATGCTTTTATAAAAGAGATCCCTTGTCTCTTCCACTATGTGAGGATGTAGCAAAAAGATGGCCATCTCTGAACCAGGTAGAAAGCCCTCACCAGATACCAAATCTGATGATGAGAACTTGATCTTGGACTTCCCAGCCTCCAGAAGTATGAAAAATAATTTCTGTTGTTTATAAGCCACCCAGTCTATGGTATTTTGTCAACTAAAACACATATATGTGAGGACATATTTCTGGTCCTATTTTCTCTGTTCTATTCCATGGGCCTATATGTTTGTTGGTACCACACTCTTTTGACAGTTTTTCCATTAATGTGTCCAGCAAAAGGGGTTGGACTCAGGCTGTCTGCTTCTCAAGTTCATGCTTCTAGTTCTTACACCCACTATATTTTCTATAGTGCTGTGGAGTTGATGTCAATATCACTGGGTATTTGGGTGGGGGTTTCGATGACTATAGCTTTGTAGTAATCGTCCTACAGCTTTTTGTTTTTCCTTCATTTCACTAATGTGGTTTATTACATGGATCAGTTTTCATATGTTGAATCATAGTTGTATTCCAGAAGTAAATCCCATCTGGTCGTCGTATGTAATCCTTTGCATAGGCTGCTGAATTGAGTTTGCTAGCATTTTGTGGAGGGTTTTTGTCATAATGTTTATAAGGGATATTGGCTTGTAGTTTTATTTTCTTTTAGTGTTTTTGTCTGGCTTTGTTTTCAGGGAAATGCTAGCCTTATAGAATGAGTTAGAACGTATTTTATCTTCAAATTTTTGGAAAATTTTGAGAAGAATTGGTGTTAGTTCTTCTTTAAATGTGTGGTAGAATTCACCAGTGAAGCCATCAGGTCCAGGATTTTCCTTTTGTTGGAAAATTTATTATTGATTCAATCTCCTTAGTAAATAGGTCAATTTGGATTTTATATTTCTTCTTGATTTAGTCTTAGTAGGTTGTGTGTTTCTAGAAACTTGTCCATTTAATGTAAGTTATCCAAATTTAGACATATAATTATTCATGGTATTTTCTTACTATCCTTTGAATTCCTGTGGTATCAAGTGTAATGTCCCTTCTTATGTCATTTCTGATTATATTTCTTTTAGTCTTCTCCTTTTTTTCTTAGTCAATCCAGCTAAAGATTTTTCAACTTTGTTGATCTTTTTGAAAAAGTGGCTTTTTGTTTCACTGATATTCACAATTGTTTTTCTAGTCTCTATTTCATTTATCTCTCTCTAATCTTTATTATTTCCTTCTTTCTGCTGGCTTTGGATTTAGTTATTTCTTCTTTATTAGCTCCTTAATTTGTAAGTTAGATTGTTCTTCTGAGGTTTATCTTGTTTTTAAATGTATATATTTATAGCTATATGTTTCACCCTTAGCATTACCTTTGCTATCCCATGAGTTTTGGTATGTTGATTTTTTGTTTTCATGAATTCTTAAATACTTTCTTTTTTTAACATTTATTTTTGGTTTAGGGGTACATATGAAGGTTTGTTACGTAGGTAAACTCGTGTCATGGGGGTTTGTTGTACAGATTATTTTATCAGCCACATATTAAGCCCAGTACCCAATAGTTATCTTTTCTGCTCCTCTCCCTCCTCCTCTCTTCCTCTACACTCCACCCTTAAGCAGACCCAGTGTCTGTTTTTTCCTTCTTTTGTGATCATAAGTTCTCATTATTTAGCTCCCACTTATAAGTGAGAACATGTGGTACTTGGTTTTCTGTTCCTATGTTAGTTTGCTAAGGATAATAGTCTCCAGCTCTATCCAGGTTCCCTCAAAAGACATGATCTTATTCTTTTTTATGGCTGCATAGTATTCCAAGGTGTGTTTGTACCACATTTTATTTATCCAATGTGTCATTGATGGTCATTTAGGTTGATTCCATGTCTTTGCTATTGTGAACAGTGCTACAGTGAATGTTCACGTATATGTGTCTTTATGTAGAATAATTTATATTTCTCTGGGTATATGCCCAGTAATGGGATTGCTGGGTCAAATGGTAGCTCTACTTTTAGTTATCTGAAGAATCACCATACTACTTTTCCCAGTGGTTGAACTAATTTACACTCTGACCAAAGGTGTATAAGTGTTCCCTTTTCCCTGCATCCTCATGAGCATCTGTTATTTTTTGAGTTTTTAATTCTGACTAGTATGAGATGATATCTCATTGTGGTTTCAATTTGCATTTCTCTAATGATCAATAATGTCGACCTTTTTTTTTGTATGCTTGTTGGCCACATGTATGTCTTCTTTGGAAATGCGTTTGTTCATATTTGCTCATTTTTAAATGGGGTTATTTTTCTCTTGTGACTTGTTTAAGTTCCTTATAGATACTGGATATTAGACCTTTTTCAGTTGCATAGTTTGCAAATATTTTCTCCCATTCTGCAGGTTTTCTGTTTATTGATAGTTTTTGTTTTGTTTTGTTTTGTTTTTGTTTTTGCTGTGCAGAAGCTCTTTTTTTTTTGAAAACTCAAGTGTGATATGTAACTTAATATCCACAAGAACATCACAGCCTAACTATTCATACAAAATTTTCCTCTAAGAGCCAAAATTTTAATCAGTGGGAAGAGCTGATTGCCATGCATTTCTGAAGAGGAAGGGTCAGGATTTCGAGTGCTACATTGCTCACTGACGTCTAATTCAATGACTCCAGCCCAGCCTGAGCCAATCTTTTCCTAAATCCTTTTGCATTTTCTTTTTACTGTCAATTTACACCTTAACAAAATAAAGGAGCTTTAGTATAAGATAGAATCTTAGAGTTGATTTACTTCAATCAACTCTCATTTTACAAATGAGTTTGCTGGGGACTCCCTGTTCTAAAATATAATTCTATTCTTGCCTCTGGCATCCCTAGTTTTACCTTCATCTCCCTACTCTCTCCCCCCTCCATCTATTATACCCCCTATTATTTTTTCTTTTTTTTTGAGGCAGAGTCTCGCTCTGTTGCCCAGCTTGAGTGCAGTGGTGTGATCTCTGCTCACTGCAACCTCCACCTCCCAGATTCAAGCAATTCTGCTTCAGCCTCCCTTTAGCTGGGATTACAGGTGTGCACCACCACGTCCAGATAATTTTTGTACCTTTAGTAGAAACGGGCTTTCACCCCATTGGCCAGGCTGGTGTTGAACTCCTGACCTCAGGTGATCCTCCCACCTCAGCGTCCTGAAGTGCTGGGATTACAGGCATGAATCATTGCGCCCGGCCCACCCTGTTTTCTTAACCCTTTACTTCTTAACCCTCACCTGCCCCTCTTTGTGGGCCATTTCATTCTTGGAATAGCCTGTTTTCATTATTAGTTATGGGCCTATTTTCCTTACTATGTACAATTTTAAAATTATATAATAGTTTTTCTTCAAATGTTAAAAACTATGTTTACATTTAACCAAATAAGATACTTGTTATTAAGGGCATGTGTTCAAAAACCTTCTTTTCCACTTATTTTTTCTATAACAAACATAGAAACTTATAATATCTTATCTATTGTTAAACTAAATTTGATCTGAGGCTGCCTCTGTTCCTTGAATCCCTACCTGATTGCAGCTTAGTTTAGGATGTGAACAAACTGAAAACCTAATTTAGGGGTACATTAAGTCCTCACTAAAAATGGTCGCTAGGTTCTTAGATACTCTGACTCTAAGCATAAGGAAACCAATTCCACCACAGGCTAATTGATATAAAGAGGAATTAGTTTCCTTTGGCATACTTCTGGACATAAAAACATCATCAAACTTCTAAATAATGAATGACACACTTCAAATAATAAACATTGAAATAAATTCCCGGTCTCGCCCAGGTGATCCCTGCATGTTAGCCTCCCAAGTAGCTGGTGCTACACGGATCTTCTTCCTCTTTTCTCTAGCCCCATTTCCAGTTTGTTTCCACAGTAATTAGAGTGAGTTGCTACTGTTTTGTTTCTTTGGTCTTTTCTCTCTTTTTAAAAATTTTCTTTTTAAATACCCTTTCCAGAAACTTTTGGGTAACAGGTGGTATTTGGTTACATGAGTAAGTTCTTTAGCAGTGATTTGTGAGATTTTGGTGCACCCATCAACCAAGCAATATACACTGAACCCAATTTGTAGCCTTCTATCTCTCACCCCCTTCCCACCCTTCCCCCGCCTCCCAGTTCTCAAAGTTCATTGTATCATTCTTATGCCTTTACATCCTCACAGCTTAGCTCCCACTTATGAGTGAGAACATATGATGTTTGGCTTTCCATTCCTGAGTTACTTCACTTAGAATAATAGTCTGCAATCCCATGCAGGTTGCTGCGAATGCCATTAATTCATTCCTTTTTATGGCTGAGTAGTATTCCATGGTATACATATATACCACAGTCTCTTTATCCACTCGTTGAGTGATAGGCATTTGAGCTGGTTCCATATTTTTGCAATTGCAAATTGTGCTGCTATAAACACGTGTGTGCAAGTATCTTTTTCGAATAATGACTTCTTTTCCTCTGAGTAGATACCCAGTAGTGGGATTCCTGGATCAAATGGTAGTTCTACTTTTAGTTCTTTAAGGAATCTCCACACTGCTTTCCATAGTGGTTGTGCTAGTTTACATTCCCAGCAGAAGTGTAGAAATGTTACCTTTTCACCACATCCATGGCAACATCCATTATTTTTTGATTATAGCCATTCTTGCGGGAGTAAGGTGATATTGCATTGTGGCTTTGATTTGCATTTCCCTGATCATTAGTGATGTTGAGCATTTTTTAATGTTTGTTGGCATTTTGTATATCTTCTTTTGAGAATTGTCTGTTCATGTCCTTAACCCACTTTTTGATGAGATTGTTTGTTTTATTTCTTGCTAATTTGTTTGAGTTCGCTGTAGATTCTGAGATATTAGTCCTTTGTCAGATGTGTAGATTGTGAAGATTTTCTCCCACTCTGTGGGTTGTCTGTTTACTCTCTCTGCTGTTCCTTTTGCTGTGCAAAAGTGCTTTAGTTTAATTAAGTCCCATCTATTTATTAATTATTATTATTTTGCATGTGTTTTGGGTTCTTGGTCATGAAGTCTTTGCCTATGCCAATGTCTAGAAGGGTTTTTTGATGTTATCTTCCAGAATTTTTATAGTTTCAGGTCTTAGATTTAAATCCTTGATCCATCTTGAGTTTATTTTTGTATAAGGTGAGAGATGAGGATGCAGTTTCATTGTCCTACACTTGGCCAGCCAATTATTCCAGCACCATTTGTTAAATAGGGTGTCCTTCCCCCACTTTATATATTTGTTTGCTTTGTTGAAGAACAGTTGGCTGTAAGTATTTGGGTTCCTTTCTGGGTCCTCAATTCTGTTCAATTGGTCTATGTGCCTATTTTTATACCAGTGCCATGTTATTTTTGTTATTATGGGCTTATAGTATTGTTTGAAATCAGGTAATGTGATGCCTCCAGATTTGTGGGATTTTGTTTGTTTGTTTGTTTTTCTTAGTCTTGCTCTGGTTATGTGGGTTCTTTTTAGGTTCAATATAAATTTTATAATTATTTTTCTAATCCTGTGAAGAATGATGGTGGTATTTTGATGGGAATTGCATTGAATTTGTAGATTGTTTTTGGCAGTATGGTAGTTTTCACAATATCGACCCTGCATCCATGAGTATGGGATGTGTTTCCATTTATTGGAGTCATCTATGATTTCTTTCAGCAATGTTTTGTAGTTTTCCTTGTAGATGTTTATCACATCATTTGTTAGGTATATTCCCAAGTATTTTAGTTTTTTTGAAGCTATTGTAAAAGCGGATGAGTTCTTGGTTGGTTTCTTAGCTTGGTCACTGTTGTTGTACAGCAGAGCTACTGATTTGTGTACATTAATGTTGTATCCTAAACCTTCACTGAATTAATTTCCAGTTCTAGGAGTTTTTGCAGGAATCTTTAGAGTTTTCTAGGTATACAATCATATCATCAGCAAACATTGACAGTTTGACTTCCTCTTTAGTTATTTGGATGCCCTTTATTTCTTTTTCTTGTCTGATTGCTCTGGCTAGGACTTCCAGTACTATGTTGAATAGAAGTGGTAAGAGTGGGCATCCTTGTCTTGTTCCAGTTCTCAGAAGGAATGCTTTCAACTTTTCTCCATTCAGAATTATTTTGGCTGTAGGTTTGTCGTAGATGGCTTTTATTACATTGAGGTATGTCTCTTGTGTGCTGATTTTGCTGAGGGTTTTAATCATAAAGTGATGTTGGATTTTGTCAAATGCTTTTTCTGCATCTATTGAGATGCTCATGTGATTTTTGTTTTTAATTCTGTTTACGTGGTATATCACATTTATTGACTTGTGTATGTTAAACCATCCCTGCATCCCTGTTATAAAACCCACTTGAGCATGGTGAATCATCTTTTTGATATGCTGTTGGATTTGGTTAGCTAGTAATTTGTTACGGAATTTTGGATTTATGTTCCTCAGAAATATTGGCCTGTAGTTTTCTTTTTTGGTTATGTCCTTCCCTGGTTTTGGTATTAGGGTGATACTGGCTTCATAGAATGATTTAGAGAGGATTACCTTTTTCTCTATCTTGTGAAATGGTGTCAATAGGATTGGTACCAGTTCTTCTTTAAATGCCTGGTAGAATTCAGCTATGAACCTGTCTGGTCCTGAACTTTTTTTTTTGGTACCTTTTTTATTGCCATTTCAATATCACTGTTTGTTACTGGTCTGTTCAGGTTTTCTAATTCTTTATGATTTAAGCCAAGAGGATTGTATCTTTCCAGGAATTATCCTCTAGTTTTTTTAGTTTATTCATATAAAAGTGTTCACAGTAGCCTTGAATGATCTTTTGTTTTTCTGTGGTGTTGGTTATAACATCTCCCATTTCATTTCTAATTGAGCTTATTTGAACCTTCTCTCTTCTTTTTTTGGGTTAATCTTGCTAATGGTCTATCACTTTTATTTATCTTTTCTAAGAACCAGCTTTTTCTTTCATTTAACTCTTTTTTTGTTTCAATTTCATTAGTTCAGCTCTGATCTTGGTTATTTCCTTTCTTCTGCCTGGTTTGGGTTTGGGTTTGGTTTGTTTCTTCTTGTTTCTGTAGTTCCTTGAGGTGTTACCTTAGATTGTGTATTTGTGCTCTTTCAGACTTTTCGATGAAGGCATTTAAGGCTATGAACTTTCCTTGTAGCACTGTCTTTGCTGCATCCCAGAAGTTTTGATAGGTTGTGTCACTACGATCGTTCAGTTCAAAGAATTTTTTAATTTCCCTTTTGATTTCATTGTTGACCTAATGATCATTCAGGAGCAGGTTATTTAATTTCCATGTATTTGCATTGTTTTGAAGTTTCCTTTTGGAGTTGATTTCCAATTTTATTCCACTGTGGTCAGAGAGAGTATCTCGTATATTTTCAGTTTTCTTAAACTTATTGAGTTTTGTGGCCTATCATATGGTCTATCTTGGAAAAAGTTCCATGTGCTGATGAGTAGAATGTATATTCTGTGGTTGTTGGGTAGAATGTTCTGTAAGTATCTGTTAAGTCCATTTGTTCCAGGATATAATTTAAATCCATTGTCTTTTTGTTGACTTTCTGTCTTGATAACCTGTCTAGTGCTGTCAGTAGAGTATTGAAGTCCCCCATTATTACGGTGTTGCTGTCTCATTTCTTAGGTCTAGTGGTAATTATTTTATAAATTTGGGAGCTCCAGTGTTAGGTGCATATATATTTAGGATTGTGATTTTTTCCTGTTGCACAAGGCCTTTTATCATTATATAATGTCCCTCTTTGTTTTTTTTTTTGTTTGTTTGTTTGTTTTTTGTTTTTTGAGATGGAGTCTCGCTCTCACCCAGGCTGGACTGCAGTGGCCTCCTCTTTGTTTTTTTCAACTGCTGTTGCTTTGAAGTTTGTTTTGTCTGATATAAGAATAGCTACTCCTGCTCATTTTTACTGTCTATTTGCATGGAATGTCCTTTTCCACTCATTTACCTTAAGTTTATGTAGTTTTATGTGTTAGGTGAGTCTTTTGAAGGCAGCATATACTTGGTTGGTGAATTCTTATCCATTTTGCCATTCTGTATCTTTTAAGTGAAGCATTTACACCATTTACATTCAATGTTAGTATTGAGATGTGAGGTACTATTCTATTCATCATGCTATTTGTTAGGTTTGTTTAACTGTATTTTGTTTTATAGGTCTTGTGAGATTTATGCTTTAAAGAGGTTCTGTTTGGATGTGTTTCCAGGATTTGTTTCATGATTTAGAGCTCCTTTTAGCAGTTCTTGTAGTGCTGGCTTGGAAGTGGTGACTTCTCTCATCATTTGTTTGTCTGAAAAAGACTGTATCTTTTCTTCATTTATGAAGCTTACTTTCCCTGGGTACAAAATTCTTACCTGATAATTGTTTTATTTAAGGAGGCTGAAGATAAAGCCCCAATCCCTTCTAGCTTGTAAGGTTACTGCTGATATATCTACTGTCAATCTGATAGCTTTTTTTTTTATAAAAAATAGCTTTTTTTTATACTTTAAGTTCTAGGGTACATGTGCACAACGTGCAGGTTTGATACATAGGTATACTTGTACCATGTTGGTTTGACGTTCCCATCAACTCATCATTTACTTAGGTATTTCTCCTAATGCTATCCCTCTCCCAGCCCCCAATCCCCCAACAGGCCCCAGTGTGTGATGTTCCCCACCCTGTGTCCAAGTGATCTCATTGTTTAATTCCCACCTATGAGTGTGAACAGGCAGTATTTGGTTTTCTGTCCTTGCGATAGTTTACTGAGAATGATGGTTTCCAGCTTCATCCATGTCCCTGCAAAGGACATGAACTCATCCTTTTTTATGGCTGCATAGTATTCCATGGTGTATATGTGCCACGTTTTCTTAATCCAGTCTATCATTGATGGCCATTTGGGTTGGTTCCAAGTCTTTGCTATTGTGAATAGTGCCACAATAAACATACATGTACGTGTGTCTTTATAGTAGCATGATTTATAATCCTTTGGGTATATACCCAGTAATGGGACTGCTGGGTCAAATGGTAATTCTAGTTCTAGATCCTTGAGGAATTTCCACACTGTCTTTCACATTGGTTGAACCAATTTACACTCCCACCAACAGTGTAAAAGCATTCCTATTTCTCCACATCCTCTCCAGCATCTGTTGTTTCCTGACTTTTTAACGATTGCCATTCTAACTGGCATGAGATGGTATCTCATTGTGGTTTTGATTTGCATTTCTCTGATAACAAGTGATGATGAGCATTTTTTCATATGTCTGTTGGCTGCATAGATGTCTTCTTTTGAGAAGTGTCTGTTCATATCCTTTGCCCACTTTTTGATGGGGTTGTTTTTTTCTTGTAAACTTGTTTGCGTTCTTTGTAGATTCTGGATATTAGCCCTTTGTCAGATGGGTAGATTGCAAAAATTTTCTCCCATTCTGTAGGTTGCCTGTTCACTCTGATGGTAGTTTCTTTTGCTGTGCAGAAGCTCTTTGGTTTAATTAGATCCCATTTGTCAATTTTGGCTTTTGTTGCCATTGCTTTTGGTGTTTTAGACATGAAGTCCTTGCCCATGCCTATGTCCTGAATGGTATTCCCTTGGTTTTCTTCTAGGGATTTTATGGTTTTAGGTCTGACATTTAAGTCTTTAATCCATCTTGAATTAACTTTTTTCCCATTCAGTATGATATTGGCTGTGGGTTTGTCATAAACAGCTCTTATTATTTTCAGATACATTCCGTCAACACCTAGTTTATTGAGAGTTTTTAGCAATAAGGGCTGTTGAATTTTGTCAAAGGCCTTTTCTGCATCTATTGAGATAATCATGTAGTTTTTGTCATTGGTTCTGTTTATGTGATGGATTACGTTTATTGATTTGTGTGTGTTGAACCAGCCTTGCATCCCAGGGAAGAAGCCCACTTGATCGTGGTGGATATGCTTTTCGATGTGCTGCTGGATTCGGTTTGCCAGTATTTTATTGAGGACTTTTGCATCGATATTCATCAGGGATATTGGTCTAAAATTCTCTTTTTTTGTTGTGTCTCTGCCAGGCTTTGGTATTATGATGATACTGGCCTCATAAAATGAGTTAGGGAGGATTCCCTCTTTTTCTATTGATTGGAATAGTTTCAGAAGGAATGGTACCAGCTCCTCTTTGTACCTCTGGTAGAATTCGGTTGTGAATCCGTCTGGTCCTGGACTTTTTTTGGTTGGTAGGCTATTAATTATTGCCTCAATTTCAGAGCATGTTATTGGTCTATTCAGAGAATCAACTTCTTCCTGGTTTAGTCTTGGGAGGGTGTATGTGTCCAGGAATTTATCCATTTCTTCTAGATTTTTCTAGTTTATTTGCATAGAGGTGTTTATAGTATTCTATGATGGTAGTTTGCATTTCTGTGGGATCGGTGGTGAGATCCCCTTTATCATTTTTTTATTGTGTCTATTTAACTCTTCTTCCTTTTCTACTTTATTTAGTCTTGCTAGCGGTCTATCAATTTTGCTGATATTTTCAAAAAACCAGCTCCTGGATTCATTGATTTTTTGAAGGGTTTTTTGTGTCTCCACCTCTTTCAGTTGTGCTCTGATCTTGGACTCCCACACAATTATAATGGGAGACTTTAACACTCCACTGTCAATATTAGACAGATCAACAAGACAGAAGGTTAACAAGGATATACAGGACCTGAACTCAGCTCTGCAACCAGGAGACCTAATAGACATCTAGATAACTCTCTACCCCAAATCAACAGAATATACATTCTTCTCAGCACTGCATCACACTTATTCTAAAATTGACCACATAGTTGGAAGTAAAGCACTCTTTGGCAAATGTAAAAGAACAGAAATCACAACAAACTGTCTCTCAGACCACAGTGCAATCAAATTAGAACTCAGGATTAAGAAGCTCACTCAAAACTGCACCACTACATGGAAACTGAACAACTTGCTCCTGAATGACTACTGGGTAAATAACAAAATGAAGGCAGAAATAAAGATGTTCTTTGAAACCAATGAGAACAAAGACACAACATACCAGAATCTCTGGGACACATTTAAAGCAGTGTGTAGAGGGAAATTTATAGCACTAAATGACCAGCAGAGAAAGCAGGAAAGATCTAAAATTGACACCCTAACATCACAATTAAAAGAACTAGAGAAGCAAGAGCAAACAAATTCAAAATCTAGCAGAAGGTTTGTCTTTATAGGTTATCTGACGCTTTTGCCTCACAGCTCTTAAAATTGTTTCCTTTGTCTTGACTTTAGATAATCAGATGACAATGTGCCCAGGTGATGCTCTTTTTGTGATGAATTTCCCAGGTGTTTTGATCTTCCTATATTTGGATGTCTAGGTCTCTAGCAAGGTCAGGGAGGTTTTCCTTGATTATTCCCCAATTATGTTTTCCAAACTTTTAGACTTCTCTTCTTCCTCAGGAACACCAATTATTCTTAGGTTTGATCATCTAACATGATCCCAGACTTCTTGGAGGCTTTGTTCGTTTTTTAGAATTCTTTTTTCTTTGTCTCTGTTGAATTGGGTTAATTCAAAATCCTTGTCTTAGAGTTCTGAAGTTCTTTCTTCTTGTTTTATTCTATTGCTGAGACTTTCTAGTACATTTTGCATTTCTCTAAGTGTGTCCATTATTTCCTGAAGTTTGATTGTTTTGTATTCATTCTATCCATTTAACTGAAGATCTCTCCCATTATATTTTGTATCTTTTTTTGATTTCCTTAAATTGGACTTCACTTTTCTCTGCTGCCTCCTTGATTAGCTTAGTAGATTTTGTAGATTACATTCTGAATCCTTTTTCAGGTAAATCAGGGATTTCTTTTGGGTTTGGATCCATTGCTGGTGAGCTAGTGTGATTTTTTGGGGGTATTAAAGAACATTGTTTTGACATATTACCAGAATTGTTTTTCCGGTTTCTTCTCATTTGGGTAGGCTATGTCCGAGGGAAGATCTGGGGCTCAAGCCTGCCATTCAGATTCTTTTGTTCCATAAAGGAACAAAAAGTTCCCTGATGTAGTACTCTCCCCCTTTTCATGGGATGTGGTTTCCTGATAGCCAAACTGTAGTGATTGTTATTTCTTTTCTGGACCTAGCCATCCAGCAGGGCTACCAAGCTCTGGGCTGATACTGGGGATCGTCTGCACAGAGTCCTGTCATGTGAATCATCTTCAGGTCTCTCAGCTATGGTTACCAGCACAGTATTTGGGCTATCTCCCAGGTCCTGCAGGAGCAATCCACTTCCTTCAGAGGGTCTGTGGATTCTCTCAGCTTTCCTGATATATTCCTATAGTAGTTCTGGAGCAAAAGTTCATGATATGAGTCTCCACACACTGCTCTGTTTGTCTGAGCTGGAGCTGCAGGCTAGTCCTGCCTCCTAGCTACCATCTTCTCCTAAGCTTCAATAGAGTTCTGGAGATTAAAAGTCCAAACGGTCTTACAGACTACAATCAAGGTGTTGGCAGGATGTGTCCCTTCTGGAGGCTCCATAGAGAATTCTTTCCTTTCCCTTTTCTAGCTGTTAGAGGCCATCTGCCTGCCCTGGCTCATGACTTTTCCACCTTCAGGGCCAGCAATGACAATGGAGTCTCTCAGGCCACATCCCTCTGACACCTCTTTTTAAATTTTCTTATGCTCCTTGCTCCTTCCTGCACACTGAAGTTGCTGTTTTAGATTTTTTTTTTTTTTTTTTGAGTGAGGTCTTCTAACTCTGTCACACCCTGGCTGGAGTGTAGCTGACTCTGGGTACACTGCCTGAGTTAGCCCTGCTTTGAATCACCATTAGTCCATAAGGTTCTTGGATCAGGCTTCATCAGAATGTTGGCATGATTACATGGCTCTTTCGCAATTCATCATGGCTGGAGAGGCCTCAGAAAACTTACAATCATGGCAGAAGGTGAAGAGGAAGCAAGGCACCTTCCTTACAAGATGGCAGGAAGGAGGAGTCCAGAAGCTCTTTAATTAGATCCCATTTGTCAATTTTTGCTTTTGTTGCAATTGTTTTTGGTGTCTTTGTCATAAAATCTTTGCCCATTCCTATGTCCAGGATGGTATTGCCTAGGTTGTCTTCCAGGGTTTTCATAGTTTTGCATTTTACATTTAAGTCTTTAATTCATCTTGAGCTGATTTTTGTATATGGTGTAAGGAAGGGGTCCAGCTTTAGTCTTCCGCCTACGGCTAGCCAGTTATCCCAGCATTATTTATTGAATAGGGAGTCTTTTCCCCTTGCTTGTTTTTGTCAGCTTTGTCAGAGATCAAATGGTCATAGATAGCCTTATTTCTGTTCCACTGGTCTATGTCCCTGTTTTTGTACCAGTACCATGCTGTTTTGGTTATTGTAGCCCTATAGTGTAGTTTGAAGTCAGATAACATGTTGCTTCCAGCTTTGTTCTTTTTGCTTAGGATTGCTTTGGCTATTTGGGCTTTTTTTTTCAATCATGTTAATTTTAAAATAATTTTCTCTAGTTCTGTGAAGAATGACATTGGTAGTTTGATAGGAATAGTATTGAATCTGTAAATTGCTTTGGGTAGTATGGCCATTTTAATGATATTTATTCTCCTATCCATGAGCATAGGATGTTTTTCCTTTTGTTTGTGTCTTCTCTGATTTATTTGGGCAGTGTTTTATAATTCTCATTGTAGAAATCTTTCGCCTCCCTGGTTAACCGTATACCTAGGTATTTTATTCTTTCTGTGGCAATTGCAAATGAGATTGCCTTCCTGATTTGGCTTGGCAAAGCTTGGCTGTTTTTGGTATACAGAAATGATAGTAATTTTTGTAGATTGATTTTGTATCCCGAAACTTTGCTGAAGTTGTTTATCAGCTGAAGGAGCTTTTGAGCCAAGACTATGGGGTTTTCTAGATATAAAATCATGTTGTCTTCAAACAGAGATAATTTGACTTCTTCTTTTCCTATTTGGATGCCCTTTATTTTTTTCTTGCTTGATTGCTCTGGCCTAGTACTTCTAATACTATATTGAATAGTAGTGGTAAGAGAGGATATCCTTGTCTTGTGCCATTTTTCAAGAAAAATGCTTCCAGCTTTTGCCCATTTGGTATGATGTTAGCTGTGGTTTTGTCATCGACAGGCCTTATTATTTTGAGGTATGTTCCTTTAATACCTAGTTTTTTGAGAGTTTTTAACATGAAGGGGTATTAAATTTTATTGAAGGTCTTTTCTGCATCTGTTGAGATAATCGTGTGGTTTGTGCCTTTAGTTCTGTTTATGAGATGAATCACATTTATTGATTTGTGTATGTTGAACCAACCTTGCATCCCGAGCATGAAGTCTACTTTATCATTGTGGATTAGCTTTTTGATGTGCTGCTGGATTCAGTTTGCCAGTATTTTATTGAGGATTTTTGCATTGATGCTCATCAAAGATATTGGCCTGAAGTTTTCTTTCTTTGTTGTTTCTCTGCCAGGTTTTGGTATCAGGAAGATGCTGGCCACATAGAATGAGTTAGGGAGGAGTTCCTCCTCAGTTTTTTGGAATAGTTTCAGTAGGAATGGTAGCAGCTCTTCTTTGAACATCTAGTAGAATTCAGCTGTGAATCCATCAGGTCCTGGGCTTTGTTTTGTTGGTAGGCTACTTATTACTGATTCAGTTTCAGAGCTTGTTATTGGTCTCTTCAGGGAATCTATTTCTCCCTGGTTCAGTTTTTTTTATTATTATTATACTTTAAGTTTTAGGGTACATGTGCACAATGTGCAGGTTTGTTACATATGTATACATGTGCCATGTTGGTGTGCTGCAACTATTAAGTTTTGAGAGGGTATATGTGTCCAGAAATTTATCCATCTCTTCTAGGTTTTCTACTTTGTGTGCATAGAGTTGTTCACAGTAGTATCTGATGGTTGTTTTAATTTCTGTGGGATCAGTGGTAACATTCTCTTCACCATTTCTCGTTGTGTTTATTTGGATCTTCTTTCTGCTTTATTACTCTAGCTAGTGGCCTATCTACCTATCTTTTTTTTGTTTTTTCAAAAAAAAAAAACTACTGGATTCTTCAATTTGGCTTCAATTTTTTTGAGATCTTTCTAACTTTTTGATGTGCATTTAGTGCTATGAATTTCTCTCAACATTGTTTTAGCTGTGTCCCATAAATTCTGATATATTGTACCTTTGTTTTCATCAAAGAAAATCTTGATTTCTGCCTTAATTTCATTATTTACCCAAAAGTCATTCAGAGGCATGTTGTTTAATTTCCCTGCAATCGTATGGCTTTGAGCAATTTTCTTAGTCTTGACTTTTATTTTCATTGTGCTGTGGTCTGAAAGTGTGTTTGGTATGATTTTGTTTCTTTTGCATTTGCTGAGGATTGTTTTATGTCCAATTATATGGTTGATTTTAGAGTGTGTTCCATGTGGTGATGAGAAAAATGTATACTCTGTTTTTTTCTTGGTGGAGAGTTCTATAGAGGTCTATCAGATTTATTTGGTCCAATGTTGAGTTCAGGTCCTGAATATCTTCATTAATTTTCTGCCTTGATGATCTGTCTGACACTGTCAATGGAGTGTTGAAGTTTTCCACTATTATTGTTGTGGGAGTCTAAGTCTCTTTGTAGGTCTCTAAGAACTTGCTTTATGAATCTGGGTGTGCATATATGTGTTGGGTGCATATATATTTAAGATAGTTAGGTCTTCTTGTTGAATTGAACCCTTTACCATTATGTAATGCCCTTCTTTGTCTTTTTTGATCTGTGTTTGCTTGAAGTCTGCTTTGTCTGAAATTAGGATTTCAACACCTGCTTTTTTCTGTTTTCCATCTGCTTGGTAGATTTTCCTCCATCTCTTTACTTTGAGCCTCTGGGTGCCATTACATGTGCGATAGGTCTCTTGAAGACAGCAAACCACTGGGTCTTGCACTTTTATCCAGCTTGCCATGCTGTGGTTTTGAATTGGGGCATTTGGGCTGGGCATGGTAGCTCATGCCCATAATCCTAGTACTTTGGGAGGCTGAGGCAAGAGTTTGAGACCAGCCTAGCCAACATGATGAAACCTCATTTCTACTAAAAATACAAAAATTAGCCAGGTGTGGTGGTGTGTACCTGTAGTCCCAGCTACTTGGGAGGCTGAGACATGAGAATTGCTTGAACTCAGGAGGCAGAAGCTGCAGTGAGCCAAGATTATGCCATTGCACTCCAACCTAGGTGACAGAGTGAGACTCTGTCTCAAAAAAAAAAGTTGGGGCATTTAGCCCATTTACAATCAAGGTTAGTATTGATATGTGTGGATTTGATCCTTCCATTGTGTTGTTAGCTGGTAATGCCGGCTTCGTTGTGTGGTTGCTTTACAGTGACACTGGTCTGTGTGTTTAAGTGTGTTTTTGTATTACCTGGTAACAGTCTTTCCTCTCTATATTTAGTGCTCCTTTCAAGATCTCTTGTAAGACAGGTCTGGTGGTAATGAACTCCCTAAACGTTTGCTTATGTAAAAAAGATCTTATTTCTCCTTCACTTAGGAAGCTTAGTTTAGCTGGATATGAAATTATTGATTGAAGATTTTTTTCTTTAAGATGTTGAATATAGGCCCCCAATCTCTTCTGGCTTGTAGGGTTTCAGCTGAGAGGTCCACTGTTAGCCTGTTGGGGTTCCCTTTGTAGGTGACCTGCTCTTTCTCTCTAGCTGTCTTTAACATTCTTTCATTTTGGCCTTGGAAAATCTGATGATTATGTGTCTTGGGGATGATCTTCTTGTGTAGAATCTTTCAGGAGTTTTCTTTTTTTCTTTCTTTTTTTTTTTTTTGAAGGTCATGGGGCACAAGGCTGCGATTCTTTTAATGGTAATGACAGTAACATAAGTCTGATACACAAGCAGTATGTATTCAACACACTGATACCTGATAGCATGTCAGGAAAAGAGAACAGGCAATGCAGTTTAAGGGGGGAAAAACTGAGAAGTCACAACTACTCCAAAGATGTGAAGGAAACCACAAAAGACATGGACCTGCTTCTACTATAAAAAGAAAATGAAGCGCTTCTCTGGGGTTGCTATACCAACTGTTTCAGCCCATTGTAGTCTTGCCTCTTTCGGGGCTTTAGCCCCTATTTCATTTCATGGAAAAGCAGACATCTCCTAACAAACAGAGTGACATTTACCAAAAGAAAGAGGGCTTATCAGTGAGAAGCTTAATAAAGAAAAATATTTACCTATGCTTTGCACAATTTTCTTTTCTTTTTTTTTTTTTTTTTTTTTTTTTTGAGACGGAGTCTCACTCTGTTGCCAGGCTGGAGTGAGGTGGCATGATCTCGTCTCACTGCAGCCTCCACCTCCCGGGTTCAAGTAATTCTCCTGCCTCAGCCTCCTGAGTAGCTGGGATTACTGGCACGTGCCACCATGTCCAGCTAATTTTTGTATTTTTAGTAGAGACGGGGTTTCACCATGTTAGCCAGGATGGTCTCGATCTCCTGACCTCGTGATCCACCCGCCTCGGCCTCCCAAAGTGCTGGGATTACAGGCATGAGCCACCATGCCCGGCCTGCTTTGCGCAATTTTCAAAAGCCATTATTTCTATTCAATTTTGGATACTTACTACAGTGCTGGATGCAAAGTTTATGCAGTAAAAGCTTATTGAATGAATGAATCACAGGATAAATAATACAACTAGTAATTTCTTAAGATCATAAATTCCATTACAGTAACCCTGGTAGGCAACTCTATAAAGTTCTGGGCTCTAAGAAGAGGTCAGTGCATGCCATAAATGTGTTTGATCTGCTGTGAAGTATATTCACAGTCTTCAAAATGTAATGCTTAAAATGAGGTAAAACTGGTTGGTTACCACCCCCAAATTGGCATATGCCAGCCTGCACAAAGGGACTGTTGGCCTCTCTAGCAAGGTTGGCAAAGTTTTCATGGACGATATCCTAAAATATGTTTTCCAAGTTGTTTGCTTTCTCTCCCTCCCTTTCTGGGTACCAGTGATTCACAGATTTTGCCTCTTTAACGTAATCCAATACTTCTAGGAGATTTCGTTCATTCCTTTTAATTCTTTTTTTCTTTATTTTTGTCTGTCTTATTTCAGAGAGCCAATCCTCAAGTTCTGAGATTCTTTACTCAGCTTGGTCTATTCTGCTGTTAATGCTTGTTAATATTCTGCTGTTACTACTTATGATTGCATTGTGAAATTCTTTTATTGTGTTACTCAGCTCTGTCAGATACATTAGGTTCTTTTTTATAGTGACTATTTCATCCTTCAGCTCCTGTATCATTTCATTGTGATTCTTGGATTGGGTTTTGCCATCCTCCTGAAACTCAGTGACCTTCGTTCCTATCCATATTGTGAATTCTATTTCTTTCTTTCTTTTTATTTTATTTTATTTTATTTTATTTTTTTATTATTATAGTTTTAGGGTACATGTGCACATTGTGCAGGTTAGTTACATATGTATACATGTGCCATGCTGGTGCGCTGCACCCACTAACTCGTCATCTAGCATTAGGTATATCTCCCAATGCTATCCCTCCCCCCTCCCCCCACCCCACAACAGTCCCCAGAGTGTGATGTTCCCCTTCCTGTGTCCATGTGTTCTCCTTGTTCAATTCCCACCCATGAGTGAGAATATGCGGTGTTTGTTTTTTTGTTCTTGCGATAGTTTACTGAGAATGATGATTTCCAATTTCATCCATGTCCCTATAAAGGACATGAACTCATCATTTTTTATGGCTTCATAGTATTCCATGGTGTATATGTGCCACATTTTCTTAATCCAGTCTATCATTTTTGGACATTTGGGTTGGTTCCAAGTCTTTGCTATTGTGAATAATGCCACAATAAACATACATGTGCATGTGTCTTTATAGCAGCATGATTTATAGTCCTTTGGGTATATACCCAGTAATGGGATGGCTGGGTCAAATGGTATTTCCAGTTCTAGATCCCTGAGGAATCGCCACACTGACTTCCACAATGGTTGAACTAGTTTATAGTCCCACCAACAGTGTAAAAGTGTTCCTATTTCTCCACATCCTCTCCAGCACCTGTTGTTTCCTGACTTTTTAATGATTGCCATTCTAACTGGTGTGAGATGGTATCTCATTGTGGTTTTGATTTGCATTTCTCTGATGGCCAGTGATGGTGAGCATTTTTTCATGTGTTTTTTGGCTGCATAAATGTCTTCTTTTGAGAAGTGTCTGTTCATGTCCTTCGCCCACTTTTTGATGTGGTTGTTTGTTTTTTTCTTGTAAATTTGTTGGAGTTCATTGTAGATTCTGGATATTAGCCCTTTGTCAGATGAGTAGGTTGCGAAAATTTTCTCCCGTTTTGTAGGTTGCCTGTTCACTCTGATGGTAGTTTCTTTTGCTGTGCAGAAGCTCTTTAGTTTAATTAGATCCCATTTGTCAATTTTGTCTTTTGTTGCCATTGCTTTTGGTGTTTTAGACATGAAGTCCTTGCCCATGCCTATGTCCTGAATGGTAATGCCTAGGTCTTCTTCTAGGGTTTTTATGGTTTTAGGTCTAACGTTTAAGTCTTTAATCCATCTTGAATTGATTTTTGTATAAGGTGTAAGGAAGGGATCCAGTTTCAGCTTTCTACATATGGCTAGCCAGTTTTCCCAGCACCATTTATTAAATAGGGAATCCTTTCCCCATTGCTTGTTTTTGTCAGGTTTGTCAAAGATCAGATAGTTGTAGATATGTGGCGTTATTTCTGAGGGCTCTGTTCTGTTCCATTGATCTATATCTCTGTTTTGGTACCAGTACCATGCTGTTTTGGTTTCATTTCAGCCAGCTCAGCCTTATTAAGAACTCTCTTTGGAGAACTGGAGTGTTTGTTTAGAGGACATATGACACTCTGGCCTTTGAGTTACTGGAGTTCTTGTTAGGGTTCTTTCTTATCTCTGTGTGTGAGTGTTTCTTTAACTGCAGTGTAGATTGAGTACAGTCAATAGATTTATTTTCTGGATGTTTTCACAGGGCCAAGGCTTTGTGCAGGGTCTTTATTTGAAGCTGACTTCTTGTCTTTGGTTTCAGAGAGGGATATGTTAGTGAGGTATTTTTTGTGTTGAAGCTTTGGGGTGTGATCCATTAGGTGGCACTTAGGTGTATTGATCAGTTGGTAGACTTTTGCTTAGTTGTATGGTTCCCTTATGTTTTCTTCCACTTGTAGCCATGTTCTCCATCAATGTTCTGAAAGTGTGGGTTCCTCTCCCCCTTGAGTGCTGGGTGTAGATCATGGCTTGGCACTCCCAGCTGCCCACTGCAGCCCTGGGGCAATCTGAGTGTGTATGTTTCTTCCCCAATTTTGAGGCAGAAGAGGAAGGGACCTTAGTTGTGGATGTGGCCAAGGGTCTTTTGCTTGTCTCCTGAGGGCTCCACCCCAGAGAGATGCAGGTTAGTAATCACTCAGTGCCATCAGCTCAGGCTAGAGAGTCTGTGCTGTGGGCCCAAACTGGAGGTTCCCTGACTGGTGATGAGCAGTGGGGGACTGGAGGGTGGGACCCATGGAAAACAAACTGGCCTTCTCTCCTTAGGTCAACTGCAGCTTGTTGGAGGTGTGGATAAGGCACTTAAAGTCTTTGCTCCTTTATTAGTCCGAGGGTGGCAAGGGTAGTTCGACTGCAGAGGCAGTGGCAGAGAGGCTTTCAGTTGCCTTGAAGGGCTCTGTCTGGGGAGTTACAGAGCTGCTACTGGCTCAGTACTCTGGTGGAGGGTGGCTAGAGGCCCAGGTCTGGAGGTCCTGCCTATTGAAGAGATATGGGAATGGGCACCCATGTAACAGCCTGGCCACTTTTCTGTAGGGCTGCTACGGTAGGCTGGGGGCCCACTCCAGTCCCTAGTCACCTCAGATTTTCCATTACCTGGAGGTATTAACAATGAAGTCTGGGAAATAGCTAAGATGGTTGCCTGCCCTTTTTTTTGGGAGCTTTGTCCCAGGGAAGTACAGACATGTTACTGAGCCAAACACACTTGTAGGAAGTGGCTGGAGACCCCAGTTGAAAGGTCCCACCTAGTAGGGAGAAACAGTTCACTTAAAAAAGCACTGTGGCCACTTTTTCATAGAGCAGCTGTGCTGTACTGGGGGTCTACTTCAGCCCCCAGTTACCTTGAGTTTCCAAAGCTCAAAGGCCAGAGCAGCTAAGTCACACAAACAGCAAAGATGGCAGTCCACCCCTCTCTCTGGGAGTTCTGTCCAAGGGAGGTTTCAAATTTCTGTGGGCCAGAGAACACCTTTGGGAGTGGCTGGAGACCCTGGTTGGGAGGTCCTGTCCAGTGAGGAGGAACGGGATTGGGGACCCGCTTTAAAAAGCAGTCTGGCCATGTTTTTAAGGATGCAGCTGTGCTGTGCATGGGGATTGTTTCTGCCTCTGGTCAGCTTGGACTCTCCAAAACCCAAAGGCTGGAACAGCTTTGCTCTTTCGCCCAAACAGCAAAAATGGTGGCCTGCCCCTCCCCACTTGGAACTCTGTCTCAGGGATGTCTAACACTGCTACCCGTGGCTGGCTAGAATTCCAAGCCAGTGGGTCTTATCCTGTGGGTTGCCATGGAAGCAGGGCCTGCAGACTGTCACTGCCTAGCCCCCTGGATTCAGCCTCTTTCCTAGGGTTACGTGTGGGGGTCTAACCTGCCACTTTGCCAGAGTTGCAACTACCTTTGCTGGGAAGCCCAGTTATCTTAAGTCTCCCGGGTCTCCATGTGTGCCTGAGTGGCTGTTCTGCCGGGATTCCATATAGCTCTGTGTCAGACTGAAGGTCTTGGTGGGGTAGGTTCATGAGGAGAATTTCCTGACCCAAGGGTTGCAAAGACCCTTGGGAGAAGCATGGGTTTCCAGGGTCGCACATTCACTCACCACTTCCCTAGGGGCAGGGGAGGTTCCCCTGGCTCCGTATTGCTCCTGGGTGGGCCGTCATCCTGCCTTGCTTTTCTCTGTTCTCTGTGCATTGAGTTGTTTCCTTGATTATTCTCAATGTGTGTACCTGGATGTTTCAACTGAAGGTGCTGTATTTACTCACCCCTTCCATTCTCTTTGTGAGAGATGCACACACTAGCTGTTTCTAGTCTGCCATCTTGGCCCTAAAGGTCTTAAATACTTTCTAATTCTCCTTGTGATTTATTTTTCAATCCATGGATTGTTTAAGAGTGTGCTGTGTCATTTCTAGAAATTTGTGAATTTTCCAATTTTCTTTCTGTCATTAATTTCTAACTTCATCCCATTGCGGTTAGAGAAGATACTTTTATTATATACATGTTTTTAACAAGCTATTGAGACTTGTTAAATTTCTCGTCTATCATATGGTCTATCCTGGAAAATGTCCCATGTACCCTTGAGAAGAATGTGTATTCTGTTGTTGGGTTAGAGTATTCTAAATGTCTGTTAGATCTCATTCGTTTATGGTGTTATTCAAATTATCTGTTTTCTTATTTCTCTTCTGTCTGATTGTTCTATCTATTGCTGAGAGTGGGATACTGAAGTCACCCACTGTTATTTCTCCTTTCATTTCTGCCCACTTTTGCTTTATATGTTTTGATAGTCTATTATTAGGTATATAAATGTAAATGTGATGATCTTATACCTTCTTGCTGTATTGAACCTCTTATTAATACATAATGCCTTTCTTTGTTTCATAAACTTTTTTAGTTTAAAGTCTATTTTTTCTCACATTCGTATAGCCTCCCCTGCTTTCTTTTAGTTAGTATTTGTATGGAATATCTTTTTCCATCCTTTTACTTTCAACCTCCATGTGTCTCTGGATCTCAAATGAGTCTCTTGTAGATGGCATACAGTTAGAATCGTATTTTAAAATCTATGCTACCAAGCTCTGTATTTTGCTCGAAGAGTTTAATTTATTTACATTAAAGTAATTAACTGATAAGAAGGGACTTGCTTCTGTTATTTTCTATTTGTTTTCTACATGCCTCATAACTTTTTTTTGCTCCTCATTTCCTGTATTATTATGTTCTTTTGTGTTTTTTAAATTTTTTGGAGTGAAATTTTCTAATTTCCTTTTGTATATAACTTTAGCTATTTTTTAAATTGTATTTCATATGTATTTATTACATGTATATTTTTTATTTCAGCACACTTTGTGTCAATTATTTTTAAAAAACTTCCAGGCCACATTATTACTAGGCTGTGAATTATTTGCTACATTTCCCATGGTGTGAGAAGAGACGGTATTATAAAGGTAAAACCAGGGTGACAGGGCTCTCTACCATCTGAGGTAGGCTAGATTTTAAGCAAAACAATTCAAAACCAGGTAACACTAAGACCATAGTTATTAGTAACACATACTAATAACTGTATGTGAATGTAATTACTGCCTTCATTGTCTTATGATGCTGCTTATTCATTAACCTTTGTGTTACCATCTCTTTGTCCAGAGAGTCAATTCTTATTGGAAGCTACTGTTAGTTCCTGGGATAGTGAAGTCAGAAATGGGCATGTTTCTGGAAAAATGTTATAATATTCCAACCCTCCAACACTCTTCACAAGTGATAAGGAGAATTAATTTAATAAATGCTTTTTATTTTATTTTCTATTTGCCAAACAAATATGGTGCTGGGAATACAGAGATGAATGAATCACAGCCTTCACCCCAGCAGGGTTGAAGAAAGTCAGGGAGGCAGGAGATGTAATAGATGCTGTAAAGAGAGCATTGTGTTACAGGAGCAGGGAGTGGAATTTCCTTAGTTGGGAGGGACTGAAGCAGAAGGCATTCCAGGAAGAGGGAACAGCTTCAGCAAAGGCAGAGGGGTAAGGATGAGCATTGAATATCCATTGGAGAAGCCAGAATCAAGGTGGCAAATGTTGGAGGGAGACAGGGATTGGGAGAGGTAAAACAAAATAAAGTCAATTGACATCAACTCTTTGTTTAGACTAAACACAAGCAAATTCTATTATCAAGCAAATATAACTTGCTCTGAAGGAAGAACAAAGCCCACAGCTGTTGTTTTTCACCTTATAAACTCCTAGTCACATAAACTCATAAACTCAAATCAAAAGATAAGGAGTCTGGTGGTTTTTTGAACTGTGTACATATAGTCAAGGATAGCAGTCTTTAAAAATCTGTCTTAAATGTATTCTCTTTCCATTGCTTCTGTGTGCAATTAAGAAATACTCATTGTATATACTTGCCAAGATACTGAATATAATCTTCTTACTCAACATGACTCTGCAATCTGAAAGTAATAACCCAGACTAATAAGTCTACTGAAAATCCTCCTAATCAGATATCAGTTTGGCCAAACTGAATCCTTAAAGGTCAAAAATTCAATTAAAATTAGATACAGCCAGCCCAACTGTCTTTGCGAAATGGCAAGTTTGTAATGCGTCATAGAAACACTAGTTAAAAAATAGGAAATAAATCATTTTGAACTAGATTAATAACGAGAATGGTCACATTTAAATTTACTGGGGAGCATATTTTTCAAACTGAGAAACTCCACTGTGGAGCTATACCTTATTTATTTCTTTTTCTAGCCATTATTAATTTAATAGTTGATATATCTGACAAGTAACTTTACCTTTTACCAGCTGATGTACATTGGAACTTTTCCTTTCTGATTATGCCAGCCCCACTGTAACCCCTTGACATTTGGTGTCTACAGCCACTCTGCTAAAACCATTAATGTCTACAGCACATGGGTTTTGAACTCAGGCTATCTTGTCCCAGAGTCCATGACACTAGCTTTTGCCCACTATGTTGTCTGTACTGCTGTAGAGTTGATCTCATTAATGTGCTGGGTGTTTGGTGGAAGACATATCTTTGAGAAACACTAACTATATATTCGTATGTTGTAAGCTTTATTTTGGAATCAAATCGAATCATTGTAAAACTCATTATCTGGACTGCATTGTTCTTACTTTTTGTCAATACACTATAATAGGTCTATGAAGGGCCGGGCGCGGTGGTTCACGCCTGTAATCCCAGCACTTTGGGAGGCTGAGGCGGGCAGAACATGAGGTCAGGAGATGGTAGACCATCCTGGCTAACACAGCGAAACCCGGTCTCTACTAAAAATAAAACAATTAGCCGGGCGTGGTGGCGGGCGCCTGCAGTCCCAGCTACTCAGGAGGCTGAGGCAGGAGAATGGCATGAACCCAGGAGGCGGAGCTTGCAGTGAGCCGAGATCGCGCCACTGCACCTCCAGCCTGGGTGGAGACTCCGTCTCAAAAAAAAAAAAAAAATAGGTCTATGATATAATATTTTTATCAAATAGCTATTATGGCATAATTTATTGTGGTATTTGGTGTTCCATATTTAAAATACTGAAAGATTTATTTCTTTTATAGTTTAGTGTATCTCTCCTGGAAAAGTGACGTGTCCTTATATAAGATGGAAGCTATTTAATTCAGCATTTTTACCTCTTCCCCCTTGTTTTTATTTTATTTTTTGGTTGTCAGAGAACTCAGAGCTAATTTTTGGGCTCAGTTGTACTAACTTTATAATCTTGTCTAATTACCCACATTTCCCTTTAAAATTTGGCTTTTATTCTTATTTGTTTTAATTTGTAAAAATTATTTCATAGTGTTTATTTACTGTAAATACCCTGAAACACACACACACACACACACACACACACACACACACATTCTACAACAAAAAATAAAATGTTGAATTAAATAGTTTCCATCTGATAAAAGGAGACATATAACTTTTCTGATAGAAATACACTGAACTATAAAAGAAATCACTGAGTCTTTTAAATATGGAACATTGAATACCACAATAAATTGTGTCATAATAGCTATTTGATAAAAATATTGTATCAAGTGCTGTGTCATGAACTCTGGGACCAGATAGCCTGAGTTCAAAACCCATGTGCTATATACATTAATCTTCATATATATATGTGTGTGTATGTTTGTGTGTCTCTGTGTGTGTCTGTGTGTATTTCAACCAAAAGTTCTATTTACATTACGTTTCTTACCATTCCCAATATTAATCCCCTGGACCAAATCTTCATTATCTCTTTTCTGTAGGATTTAAATAATTTGGTAACATGTTCCCCAGACTCCTGACACAATCCCTCTCTAATTTATGCACAAAACAGAGTTTATAGGACAACTCTGATTATATTATTCTGCTCTTCAAAACTCTTCAGTAACTTCTTCATTTTTACTAACACGAATACAATCTACTTAGCCCATCACTTAAGGTATTATCTAATTGGATTCAATCTAACTTTTTAGGCTTTTTTCCCTCTAGTCTTCCTCAGAAATTTATAATTTCACCCAACTTGACTACCTATGGTCAATCCAATTACCCCAGCTAGAACTCTGAATATCAAAGATAATTTTTTTCCTTCTTTTATTATCATCCCATCTCCATCCAGTTCATCAATTAGGATTTTTATCTTTAAATGCATCACAAATACATCCACTTACCTCCATTTTCATTGCTACCATGCGTGCTACTACTTCAGTAGTCTTCCAATCTGTTCTCCACATAGGAATCATAATAAGCTTCCAAAATATAAATAGCACAATCCTACTACTTTTAAAAGAAAAACTTTACACAAATTAAACTTAGCAGAGTTTATTTGAGCAAAAAAAAAAAAAAATGATTCATGAATCAGGCGCAGCCTCAGAACCAGAAGAGGTTCAGAGAGTTCCACTCAGTAATGTGAGCAGGCAGTATTTACAGACAGAAAAAGTGATGTACAGAAAAAGGAATTTATAGAAATAGTCTGATTGGTTATAGTTCAGCATTTGCCTTATTTGGGCATGATGGGATAAGGCATTTGCCTTTATGGACACAGTCGGATGAGTTAGCAGCCTGTGATTGGCTAAAGCTTTGTTGCTGGGATTGTCTGATACTCAGCTGTTTGTCACAAGAATATACTCTTAGTTGCAATTTGTTTTTTGTTTTTCTTTTTTGAGACAGGGTCTTGCTCTGTCACCCAGGCTGGAGTGCAGCAGTACAATCATGGCTCACTGCAAACTCTGCCTCCCAGACTCAAGCAATCCTCCCACCTCAGTCTCCTGAGTAGCTGGGACCACAGGCACATCCCATCATACCTGGCTAATTCTTTTGTATTTTTGGTAGAGACAGGGTTTCGCCATGTTGCCCAGGCTGGTCTTGAACTCCTGAGCTCAAACGATCCACCTGCCTCGGCCTCCCAAAGTGCTGGGATTACAGGTGTGAGCCACTGTGCCTGGCCTAGTTGCAGTTCATTTATATACTGTTAGGTTGCAGTTCACTACATAGGGCATTAAAATATGGAGGCAACTTTAAGCCAAATTTAATTTAACTTAAGACTACCCTACTTAAAACTTTAAGTGGCTTAAATAGAATCCAACAAAATAGATTGTTAACATGGTCTTTACAGCCATACACTATCTGGCCCCTGCTTAGTTTTTCAAGCTCATTTCTTGCCCCTCTCTTCCTATTTACTCTACTTTAGCCATACCAGCCTCTTACCAGTTCTTGAACACAGCAATCTCTGTCCTATCCGGTAGACTTTGACCACACTTATATGTCTGGCAAAGTACAATTCATAAGCCAAATCTGGCCCACTGCCTGGTTTTCTCAATAAAGTTTTATTGGAACACAGCCATGCCTATCTGTTCAGGTATTGTCAATGACTGCTTTTATACTTCAATGGTGGAACTGATTAGTTGCAACAGAGAAGAAATGACACACAAAACAGGAAAATATTTACTCTTTGTCTCATTACAGAATGTTTGCTGACCTCTAGGTCAGCATTATTCTTCCCACTGTCTGCATAGCATTCAGTTCTCAAGTTAAATGTCCACTTTACAAAGGCAGAAAGATCATCATATCTAAGCTGGCTATCTTCTAAATTTCGTATCACAGTACCAACTTTGTGATTCCTTTATATTCACCATAAGCTGCATTTAAATATTATTTATTTACCTGTAACTGTATTTTTTATTTGACTATACAATCATGCATTGCTTAATGATGGGGACATGTTCTCAGAAATGTGTCATTAAGCGATTTTGTTCTTGTGTGAATATCATAGAGTGTACTTACACAAACCTAGATGGTAGAGCCTACTACATACCTAGGCTGTATGGTGTAGCCTACTGCTCCTAGGCTACAAACTTCTACAGCATGTTACTATACTGAATACTGTAGGCAGTTGTAGCGCAATGGTAAATAGTTGTGTATCTAAAGATATCTAGACACAGAAAAGGTACAGTTAAATACGGTATTATAATCTTATGGGACCTTATATGCATTCCATTGTTGACTGAAACATTGTTATACAGCACGTGACTGTATATTCCTTAAGGGCAGGAAACATGCCAGCTTTGTTCTTTTTTTTTTTTTTTTTTTTTTTTTTTTTTGAGACAGAGTCTCCCTGTGTCACCCAGGCCGGAGTGCAGTGGTGTGATCTCGGCTCACTGCAGGCTCTGCCTCCTGGGCTCACACCATTCTCCTGCCTCAGCCTCCTGAGTAGCTGGGACTACAGGCACCCACAACCACACCCAGTTAATTTTTTTTATATTTTTAGTAGAGACGGGGTTTCACTGTAGCCAGGATGGTCTTGGTCTCCCGACCTCGTGATCCGCCCACCTCGGCCTCCCAAAGTGCTGGGATTACAGGTGTGAACCACTGCGCCTGGCCTCCAGCTTCGTTCTTTATACTCAGTTCCTAAAACAATACCAGATCATAGTAGGTAATTATAGGTAATAAATGTGTATTAGTTAGTTCTCACACTGCTATAAAGAACTGCCCGAGACTGGGTAATTTATAAAGAAAAGAGGTTTAATTGACTCACAGTTCTGCATGGCTGGGGAGGCCTCAGGAAACTTGCAATCATGGCGAAAGGGGAAGCAGACATGTCTTACATGGCAGACAGGCAGTTGAGAGAGTGTGTGAAGGAACAACTGTCAAACACTGAATAAAACCATCAGATCTCATGAGGACTCACTCACTATCATGAGAACAACATGGTGAAAACCGCCCCCATGATCCAATCCCTTCCCACCAGGTGCCTACCTTGACACATTGGGATTATGGAGATTACAATTTGAGATGAGATTTGGGTGGGGACACAGAGTCAAACCATGTCAAAATGTTAACAGAACAAATGAATAAACATGTTTTATTTTCCCAGTTCTATTAAAAAAATTATTTCCCTATTGTTTGGGAATATTTTGAGATCTTTTAAGTGACCCCCTTCTCAATTTAACCTACACTGGGAAAAACCTTCCTGTATATTGTTCTTGTGGGACACTCTTTGTGGTTTAATCTAATTTCATAGGTGAGATCAGAGAGTAGTCTTTGTCTTTATTCTGTCTTGTGTTGATATGACACTGCATTCACCTGAGAAGAAAAAAGTAGAAGTCCAGAGAAACATTTCCTTTATTGAATAGTTACATCAAAATCAAAATAGAGTAATTCTGATAGACAAAAAGAAAACTATGAAGAATTATTCCACCAAAACCATACAATAAGATTAAGCCACATTTGCTTAGAGATAATTCTCTTATTAAAGGTACAGAAACATCCCATCTTTAAAACAATAATAAAATACATGCATAGATAAATTTCCTAATATAGTATATACTTAGTAACGAAATTAATCATATTTAGTAATGAGATTACTTCTGGAGCTTCTACTCTGATCATCATATTAATACAGAGGAGGACACGTAAACTTTGCCATTAATTATTATGGTTTTGACCAGAACAGGTTCATAAGTAGATTCCAGAGATGTTTAATTGCTCTGTAGTCATAGTCATAACTACCAAACAGATAGCTTTTACATGTTAACAACCATGTTTAAGGGTAATTAATAGATTAGTTGTAAAATCTTAGAGTTAAGCTCCATGATATTTTTAGTAGATTTGTCTGAAAGAAATTATGAGCAAGGAATAAGGAAAGGACAATATTACCAGATACCTTGTTAAGGAAACTTGTGAAAACTTCAGTAAAAAAGAAAATAAAGGAACCTGGACAGAACCGGTTAAAGTTATTAGTGGGAAAAAGTTTTGTCCAAGACCTTGGACATGAGAGGATCTGCTTATAAACCAGATAAAGGATGGGTTGATTCCTGAGAGTCTTCTCTAAACGTTGACAATGAAAAAAGACAGTCTGTAACATAGAATTTAAAAGAAATCATAGGTTCTTTTTTGGGAGATATCCAGCACTATATTATTATAATTATCTTCAAAGTTTACGAAAATCCTGAAGCCACTACTGCACAAACCATAGAGAAATCTGATATTTCAGTCTAGGTGCTTATTCTATAAACAGAGAATATAAAGGCCTGCAGCCTTCCACTCTCTTGTCTTATATAGGGCATGAATCATTGTTAGTGATATATAAAAATCACTCACAAAGCTATTCCACTAATAGAGTTATCCTGGATGCAATTACCTGGATTAACAATTATATATACAATAGTAATTTATTATTCTACATCTATGTTAGCCACGAAAAGAATCAATAGCATTATGGGTGAATGGATTTTTAATTATAAGGAAGTAATTTAAGTAGGAGTTCAATCATTTCTCTTTCTCTCTTCTAGCCAACTAAAATTCAAGAGATTTGGGATTCATTTTTCCAAAATTAGCATTTCCAGTAACTAGGATTCAGAGAAAACTTTAAAAATGTATTGCCAATCCTTTTTCCATTTTCTTCTGCTTGGATTCTTCCATCATCTTTCTAGGGTAAGTTATCAGTTAGAAGAAGACTTCATAGAGGGTGGGGAAGTCCAGTTATTTCTGATTTTAAAAATTTGTTCCAGTGGCACATTCATTTTAACTTTGTTCCTCCAACATTGATTAGCATATTCTAAGCATACAAAACAAAAAAATCATTTCAGTTACTCCATCCCTTCTAGTTGCATGAGATTTTAATACTTTGAGCCATGCAGTGCATAGCTGCTTTAAAATTTTGAGATTCATAGGTGACTAATACACACACACTTAGAATCAATTAGAAGTTATAAGAACATACATAATGAAACATAACACAAATGTGGCAGGAAGATGGACCCAGTTTATAGTTTGGTTTCCATCATTTACCAGTTGTTTGACAATGGGCATATAACTTAGCATCTAATTCTCAGTGTGCATATGTGTGTGGGGTGTGTGTGTGTGTTCAACATTATAGGATTGTTATAATAATAATATGAAAATACACTGTAAAATACATAGTATAGTGCCTGGAATACAGTAGATGCCTAGTAAATTGCAGTCATGATTATATCATAATTATTCACTTTAAAATCTAGTATTCAAATATTTTTTGGGAAATGTGATACTCCACTAAAAGAACGTTTCCAGGGAGAGTTAGCTCTATATATGAAATTAGCCTACTCAACATTCAATTTCTATAAATGAAACCATAGCAAGTGTATCTTTCCTTTTCTTTATTACATATCTAAGCCTGCAGCATTTGCCCATATTTTATGAATACAGGCTTCATGAGTTTAGATAACATAATTACGGCATAGCTAACTTTAAACAAACTAGGATTTAAGAGGTACATGGAAAGTGAGATGAAAAAGATTTATTTTAATATTAGCTTCTTGTATTTTCAGAAAGATCCTTGATGGAATTTTCGAATTGAAAGGTGTCTTAGGGATAATCTTGCCAAAACTTTTTTTCAGATGATGAAACCGATGAACAAGAGGATATTTCTCTCTTTCTTTCTTTCTTTTTCTTTCTTTCTTTCTTTCTTTCTTTCTTTCTTTCTTTCTTTCTTTCTTTCTGTCTGTCTGTCTTTCTTTCTTCTTTGAGACTGGGTCTTTCTCTGTTGCTCAGGCTGGAGTGCAGTGGTACAATCTCAGCTTACTGAGGCCTCGACCTCCCAGGCTCAGCTTATCCTCCCACCTTAGTCTCCTGAGTAGCTTGGACTATAGGCATGTGCCACCACACCTGACTAGTTTTCTGTATTTTTAGTAGAGACAGTGTTTTGCCATGTTGGCCAGGCTGGTCTTGAACTCCTGGGCTCAAGGGATCCACTTGCCTTGGCCTCCCAAAGTGTTGGGATTACAGATGTGAACCACTGCACCCAGCCCACAAAAGGATATTTCTAAGGCCACATAGCCAGTTATCAGCAGATCCAGGACTCCTGACTTCTTATCACCTCTTTTTCTCCTGTCTGGCTCTGCTTTGTTAGAAACAGTTTCACAGGAGAGGTGACATTTGAATTGGTCTACAATAGCAAGCTTTTCTAAATGTTTAAAATGTGATTTCACTTACAATATGGATTCTTGTTATTCTTTTGGAGAACGTTGACATTGTTGGTGAGGAAATATGGGTAAGGCAGGATGAACCCATACTTTACTCCCAGACATATTGGTGACTAATATAGCTTAGAGTTCAGATAACCAGTGGGGTCTCATGCTGACGGGGGAGCCGGTGTATATTGTATCAGCTGTAGGCAAGAGATGCATTTCTTGGGAAAACAGAGAAGCCTTCCCATTTAGTGTGAGAGAAACACTCTTTCCTGCAACAACACAAATTCTTCAGTAAAACGCATTTTCTCATTATTTCAGTTGGGCCTATTATTTGGTGGTGTGTTGCAGGGCGGTTGTTGTATGCTGAAGAGTTTAGTTCTTCGTCAAGATGAGCACAAGGCACAGTACTGACTCAAAGAGGTTGGGCATGTAAGACTATGGATAATCATGAGAATAACAATAGTAATTTTTTATTGGGTGCTTACCAAGTGCTAGACTTGTGCTATGTGCTTTATATGCCATATTTGTTTGATTATCATGGTAACCCTGTAGCATGAATACTATTATTGGCAATACTTTATTGACTAGGTAACTGAGGCTTCAAGAGACTAATTTAACCAAAGCTCACAAAGAGAGTACAGGTTCAGTCTTCCTCATTTGAAATGCTTGGGACCAGAAATGTTTGGATTTCCAGTTTTTTCATATTTTGAAATATTTGCATATATAGATGAGATATACTGGGGATGGGATCCAAGTCTAAACACAAAATTTATTTATGTTTCATATATACTTTATATACATATGCTGAAGGTAATTTTATACAATATTTGCAATAAATTTGTGCATGCAGCGAAGTTGGTATACACTGAACCATCAGAAAGTAAAGGTATCACTATCTCAGGCACCCATGCGGATAATTTGTGGTTGTTTTGCACGACCATCATTCATGACTCTGAATTTTTATGCTACCAATAAGCAATCATTTTCTTATATTTATTCACACATAAGTAAAAAATATGCCATACCATTAATACAGTGAAAAAAATGAGTGTTCCAGGTAACTAAGCAGCACAGTAGCAGCATCAGCAGAATACCTGTGTCAGCTGATAAACAAGAGCAACAACAAACAATGCAGATTTCCAGTCTCCGCCTACAAGTCTGTGTTTTGATTGAAAGGTCTCTCACTGTACACTACATTTTGTGGGGGGTTTTTAGATGAGAAGAAACATTAGAAGCAGTTGAGGGACCAGGAAGTGGTATGAGGAGTCATGCTGCTGGTTGGCTTTTTAAGCATGGTGACGGTTTCCATCTTAGCCACCTGCCTCATTAACAATAGTTTTTGTCTTAGAAGTCTCCCTTTGATTTTCTAAACTGATATGACTTCTTGTTCTGTTATGAATGCATGTTACTCTAGTCCTTCAATACACTCATAACACATTTTCATCATGTTGTTTATAGGCATTTTTTCTGCCGTGTTAACAACATCATCTTCATTGTCACTCTTACAATCACCTTGATTCGGAACCATTTAGACTATTTCACCATAGGTCATTGAATGAACAGCTGAAGCCTTGTTATCCATGTTAAAAACTTCTTAAATATTCACTTCCTCCAACTTATTGATGGACTCTGAAGGTGTATATCTATCTATCTATCTATCTATCTATCTATCTATCTATCTATATATTTTTTTTGAGACAGAGTTTTGCTCTAGTTGCCCAGGCTGGCATGCAATGGCATGATCTCAGTTTACCACAACCTCTACCTCCCAGGTTCAAGTGATTCTCCTGCCTCAGCCTTCCCAAGTAGCTGGGATTATAGGCATGCACCACCAAGCCCGACTAATTTTGTATTTTTAGTAGAGATGGGGTTTCTCCATGTGGATCAGGCTGGTCTCGAACTCCCGACCTCAGGTGATCCACCCATCTCAGCCTCCCAAAGTGCTGGGATTACAGGCGTGAGCCACCACACCCGACCTGAAGGTATATTTTTTTTACAAATGTAAGGAGGCTAGACATCATTTTTTTTTTCTCACTTAATATACAGGACCCTTCAGAGTCACTACCTTGTTCATTATCATCACTGAACATAGTTGCAGTCAAGAGATTGTGCCAGGCATGCACAACTGTGTTTAGTCACTGAGTTCTAAGTGTTGGGAACAGCAAATACAGCATACTTCATGCTAAACTCCTTTTGAAAACCTCTATAACCATGCTTCTGTTCACCGCTGCTAGCATTCTGTTCAGGAAAGTGTTTTTATATTTACTCTTTAAATTGATCTAAGGATAACCTGGTCACATGGCTTCTCATTGATTCAAAGTCACATTTAGGGGAAAGTACAAGGCATAGACATTATTTTTATTGAGAATTTCAGCTGGAGAATGAGGAGAACAGTTGTCAAATAACAAAATCTTGTAGTTGTCATCCAGTCCAGCTTCCCTGCAGTGAGCACAAGCTGGTACAAAACGTTTGTGAAACCAATTAGAAAAGATGTGCCTGGTAATCCATGCCTTCTTGTTAGCATAATGATAGACTAGTAAGAAATTCACTCCTTGAAAACAGTGAGGACACAAGCTTTTGCCTACCACAGCAACCTTACAGTATGTGTGCCTACTGCATTAGCACATCTCAGCACAGTCACGCTATCTTTGCATCCTTAATTCCTGTAGGGACTGTCTCATCAGCTGTAGTCACTGCCTTTCTGGAGCAATAAAACCAAAACAATAGTGTTTCATCAGCCTTATAGACTTGTTCTGGTGTCAGATTTTCATCAGTGATGACCTTGGAAACTCATCAATGAATTCCTTCTTTGCTTTGTGATCAGCAGAAGTTTTCTCACCAGAAATCTTTAAAAATGTAATGCTGTATCTTTTCTAAAATTTCTTCAGTACACCTCTTGAATATTCATAGTCCCCTTCAATTTTCATTTTGTTGTAATATATTTTTGCTTGTTTCATGATCAGTATACCACGTGATCATGAAACATGTTCGCTGTGATGTTGATGGAACTATCCTTTCAAAACATGATTGAGATCTTCATTTTTAGCTTTATGCAGCGTTTTTCTGTTTTTCATTAACTTCTACTCATTGCTTCAATAGAACTTCAACAATTTATCCTGTTTCCTCATGTCATATATAGTGGTCATTCCTGTACCATACTCTTCCGTAAAATGTTTCATGCTTAGACTGCTCTCCAGTTTGTCTAACAGCTTGACTTTCTGTGTTATAGATAAACATAAATGCTCCCTCCTTTTCTTCTCACTGTTACTCATAGGGGTATCTGCAGGCCTTTTTGACATTTTCTTTTTTTACATATAATTTCAACTTTAATTTTAGATTCAGGGGATACATGTGCAGGTTTGTTTACATGGATATATTGTGTGATGCTAAGGTTTGGGGTATGAATAATCCTCCTTTTTGACATTTCAACAATTTATGTATACTACAGAGCAGAGAATAAACAAAAAAATCACAGTGAGTAACACATATAGGTCTTGGTCCATATGAGGCATCATGGGGAACCTGCCATTGGTGTATCCCGTCTGCACGTGTGCCATTTAATTACCTTTTGAGGGCATGTTTGCATGGGGGAATCGGGGCACGCACAAAAAAAGATAGATTGCAGCTGAAGGGAGCTAGGAAGGTCTTTTTTCCCTTTGGGATGCTGAATAAACTGTGTGTTGTGCACCTGTGTTTTGACTGTGATCTGTCACATGACACCAAGTGTGGAATTTTCCACTTGTGGTGTCATACTGCAGTTCAAAACGTTTCACATTTTGGGACATTTCAGATTTCAGATTTTCAGATTAGGAATGCTCAATGTGTCGATGGAAATAGGGTCTATCTAAGATCAATTTATGCTTTACAATGTACACCTTCCCAGACTCTGGAACTATAGCAAAACCTATACTGTCACTTTATATTGTCAATAATGATTTATTTTTGCATCAACAGCAATTCTTGTCTCTGAGGATGCTGAGGCATGAAGCGGTGATACATAGATGTGAAGCTAGGTCACTTTTTTTTTAGGCTTTTTAGAACTTTTAATTTGCATATTTTAAAAATTGTGCGATCCAATAGTTAATATTATTTGAACAACAAAAAATGGCATTCTTATTAAACTACTTTTAACAGCCTTCAGGACACCTTGTATTAACTTAGTTTTTGCTCTAGATTCAGTGTGGTTTTATTCAGCTTCTTACTTCACCAGCGTGTAAGCACTTTTTTCTCCCCTGGCATCCAGACAGGTAGATGACAGAAGCAGATGATGACTTTGTTGTCAGTAGTTCTTGATTCTTTCATGCAGAAAGGGGCAGCACAGTTATTTCAGTTCCAAACTCTTTGCAGCTTACAAATCAAACAGCTAAAAGAAGTAAAATAAGAAGGCAATGCCCATGGAATGTGCAGTACCTATTCGCAGCTCACAGCTCATTATAATTCACCTGTTTGCTTCTTTAGTTTGTTTCTCTTGAAGGCGGTGGATTTATCTCTTGTGTTTCTGCCTTCTTCAATCTCTGCTTATTGAGTGTCTCAATCTCAGCCATGCTGGGTTTGTCAGACATGGTTGCAGAGAAAGCAGAGCCAGGAGTGCAAAGCTGTGGAATCCTGTCTGAGCAGTGATTACTGCTAAGTCTTATTTGACTTTTTTTTTTTTTTTTTTTTTGAGACAGGGTCTCACTTTGTTGCCCAGGTTTCAGTACAGTGGCATGATCATGGCTCACTGCATCCTTGACCTCCTGGGCTCAAGTGATCCTTCTGCCTCAGCCTCTCAAGTAGCTGGGACCACAGGTGCGTGCCACCATGCCCAGCTTTTTTATTTTATTTTATTTTATTTTATTTTATTTTATTTTATTTTTTGTAGAGACAGGGTCTCACTCTGTTGGCTAGGCTGGAGTGCAGTGGCATGATTTTGGCTCACTGCAGCCTCGACCTCCTGGGCACAAGTAGTCCTCCTACCTCAGCCTCCTGAGTAGCTAGGACCACAAGCACATGCCACCATGGCTAGCTTTTTTGTTTGTTTGTTTGTTTGTTTATTTTTTTTTATTTTTAAGAGACAGGGTCTCACTATGTTGCCCAGACTGTTTTCGAACTCCTGGGCTCAAGTGGTCCTACTGCCGTGGCCTCCTCAAATGTTGGAATTATAGGTGTGAGCCACTGTACCCAGCCTTCTTTGAGTTTTGAGTACCTGCTGCTCAGCTGAAAAATTGGAAAGAATAGACATAAAAAATCTTAGGCAATTTAAGACAATGAGCTGTATTTACTTATTATTAAGTACTGACTCTGTACACAGTAAGCATGTAAGTCTACTTGTATAATGATCTCAGTCTTTTTTTCTTAACAATTGCACCTCTCTTCTTCCTCAACTTCATACCTGGAGTTTTTACCCAAATGACACTTCTTAGCCACAAAGTCAAGGGCATGTGCTCATGTTTTCATCATGGACCATGGCTAATGGAAACACAGTTAACAGGTCTTAATGTGCAGCCTCCACAGTCCACTTGATTTGTTCCTGGTTGAATAGGCAGAAAAAAACAGAGCAAAAGTGGTAATGGAGGTACTAAATTCTAACCTCACAGGTTTTTTAAATGATTAAAAAGCCATACTCTCTGCCAAAGGTTTGTAAAGGGTCATCACTATATTTAAATAAAGGCACAGTGCAGGTGTAACACAGCTGTCTACTGAGGAAGACAGTTCTTAGTGAGAAATTGCCTCAAACCTTCATGAATGGTGGTATTGCTCCTGGCACTACCAAGAGGGAGAGTAATATTTTCCCGATTAGATTTTGGTCCATACTTCAAATTCTCTTTTCTCTGCCAGGTGCCAACCTAGATGAATATTCATCCAAGCTATTTATGCTTCTTTAATTTTCATGAAAAGTAGAAAAAAACACATTTTCAAAGGCATTTGTATGAGACACAGTATTTATATCCCAGCAATGAAACTGAATAACATTCCTGCCTTTGAAAGTTCTATGGCTTTCCTCCTGAGTGATTTGGCTTTCCTTCATCTTCCCTCTCTATTGTTTAAGATTGAATTTCATTCTATTGCATTTTGCTGCCTTCATTATACAGTGCAAGTTACCTTTCCAGCCATTACTAGCCTTGACTTTCCTTTGACTTATCTCAAGTTTTCTTGGCCGGGAGCGGTGGCTCACACCTGTAATCCCAGCACTTTGGGAACCAAGGCAGGCAGATCATGAGGTCAAGAGACCAGCCTGTCCAACATAGTGAAACCCAGTCTCTACTAAAAATACAAAAATTAGCTGGGCATAGTGGCACATGCCTGTAATCCCAGCTACTCGAGAGGCTGAGACAGGAGAATTGCTTGAGTCCAGGAAGCAGAGGTTGTGGTAAGTCGAGATCAGGCCACTGCACTCCAGCCTGGGCAACAGAGTGAGACTCCATCTCAAAAAAAAAAAAAAAAAAGAAAAAAAAGAAAGAAAGAAAGAAAAAGAAAAACAGCACACAATTCAGCCCGCCAAGGTGATCTGCTTTTACTTTCTTTGCTTAAAGTAGCTGCCTTCCAAACAGGATCTTGTCCATTTACTTTGGAACTGCCATCCATGAACCAAGCAGCACTTGCTTCTTTGGTCAGTTGGGAGCTGTTTATCTGGTGCTGTAGAATCCAGCAGTTTCTCAGACAGTTCCAGAGTCAGTCCTAGTGGAAAAGAAGCTCCCTCTCAAAAGTATCCATTCTTTACATTTCCTAGGTAGCACGATCCTTTATAAACCATTTCCATCTTATTGTAGAACCCTCCTGGGCACTGCCATCCCCATTAGAATGTTTCTCTGACACGACCCGAGACAGCATGAGGGGTGTCATAGGGGTAGCTTCAGTTAACGTTTCATAGCAAGACAGTAAATGCCCCTCAAGTTGAAATTCTCTCTAATCTAAAGTTTCAGTAGTCATTTCTGAGAAGTGCTCACAAGATTTTGCCATAAGCCCCAGTAAACACTCCACAGAGGGCTATCAAATGGAGAATTTGTCCCTGCAAGCACTCTAGTATTTACTCCGCACTGTGTGGGCTCTGGCAATCTTACTGGTTCCCATTAGCAGTTCAATTCATATTGCTTGAAGGCTGGATTTAGATGCCTTCTGTTTTACAAAACTAGGTAGAAGAAACATTTCCCAATAAGATACAATGTTGGTTCTCATGATACAATCAGGTAAAAGAGTTGCAACCACTTCACATGAAGCATTTTCAAATGTATCAGTTGACATAATCCTATCAACCTTTCCATTTTTAAGTTCCAGTTTCAGGAACTTCTCTTCTCCAGCCCCAAACCATTGTACACTCTTTTGTGCAAAAGGCTTTGGGTCCTTAGCCAGGGGTTGAGCCAAAGGTCCTTGATCTTTTTGTCAATCTTTACCTTCATTAATCTGTCCAACAATTGCCCCAGGCAATTTCATATCAGATTTCTCGTTGTAGTCTCTGCCTACTGCTTTTTAAATCTTTCCAAATTGGGGGAAATACAGCAAACTGGTTTGGGGCCCTTTAATGTTGGGGGGCCAGCAGGGGTTCCTGTTGGTTCACCCAACATTCAATCGTGTTGTATTAGGACCTTTGTTTTAACCCCATCAATTTCCATTTTATTCATTCCATTTTTTATAACCATCTAAAGATTTCCACCCTCTTGGGATGAATTCCATGACTCTCCTCTTTCTTTCTCCTTTTAGTTTCACCCCATCAATGCTTTCTTTACTCACCTTATTTATTAATAACTTTAAAAAATTTCCACCTTTCTGCGACCAGTCATTTGACTATCCCTTTTGCCTTTCCCTATTCCTTTGTTAACTAATCTAATGTTTTTATTAACCATAAGACTCATGAGGGGAAGCTGAAACAGTAAATTTGATAAGGCTTCTGGAACTGTTGTTTGATTCTGCAGGAGTAATGTCACATAGGGTGCCCATGTAGAAGGAGCCCCCTTAGCCACAGCATTTACCATAACCTGGGTAACGAGCATATTCAGCAGGTGAGTAACCCTGTCATCATACAGCCAGTCTCACATGGCTTGCATACAAAGCATATCAGCCGCTTTATCTGGGATGTTCCACTTGACATTAATAGGTGGAGTTGGATAGTCCCTTTTGTCAGGGTAAACACATCTTATAGTGGCTTTTATCCAGTCCATCAGGCTGACTGTTCCCTCAGGAATAACCTTCTGTGTATCTGGATCACATATACCCATCTGTGATTGTTCAATGGGGAGCTGTGGGTCCTGTATCACCCCAAACATGCTCTTCCACTCTGCAGCATTTAAAAACAAAGGTACTTCCCTAAATTAGTTACTCTCATAATCCATTTTAGTAAAGGTTGCTTAGGAAGCTAATGACACTAATCTACAAAATGGAACAATCCCTTTACACCATACCCCCTGTTTTCAGTAGTTACTTAGTTTTGCCCTTCCCTCGTATTGACTACCTTCTTTGTAACCACAGGTCTCACAGATACTTTCTGTTGTCACTGCATAATTCTGCCCTTGGTGGGGTGGCTTTGAGGCTGGTGGCCTCAGCTCAGACTGACTGAAATCTGAGATTGATCTTGCAGGAAGGTCCAACCCAGTATTCTCTTTTGATTTCATTTTAGCTCTTATAGATAACAATAACCAAGAGATTGAATATTTCACTTTTTTCTTATTAGTTTGCATTTCCTTATGCATTCAGTGAACGAGCTCCCTGGGAGTTAGATTCATCTTTAATTCCACTGGTAACTTTTACCTTTAGTAACTGATCTCAACACAGCTGCAGCTTCATACCTTGGGTGACCACATGGCCACTCAGGAATCAAAGATTTGTTATCTCCAGCTCTTTTATCCTTTCTCTTCCCAAACCACGTTTCCAATGAGTCAAGGTCATTCCAGCAAATCCTACTTTAAACACCAATTGTGCAGGGAAAAACTCTCAAGCTGTTTTTCCTCTACTATTACACCACAACAATCAACACAGAAGATTCCAATAAGCAAACATGTGGAGGATTTTTTTTACCACAAACCAAGTAGCAGACACCAGCTGGGTGTCCTCCAATTCAATTCAAACACTGTCTACCTTGATATAGCATTGCATTCCATGGATTGAGGGCTCAGCCCCCAAAACTGTCCCCCATACACATAAGAGTCACAAGTCTAGGCCTCTGAAACTTCTGACTGACTAGCTTCAAGTGGGGGATTCACGTGACCCTCTCTTTGCATTTGATTAATTTTCTGGAATGACTCACAGAATTCAGGGAACCATTTACTCACATTTACTGGTTATTTTAAAAGGTATTGCAAAGAACGTGTAGGATGAGGTATGGGGGAAGGGGCATGGTACTTCCATCCCCTCCCTGGGCACACCACTCTCCAAGAACCTCCACATGTTCAGCTATCTGTAAGCTCCAAGCAGTGGCTCTGAATTCCATCTGCAAATTATAATCTTTTTAAAGAATTGACAGGTGCTTAGTCCTGCAGCAGACCAATTAAATCAGATTCCCTGGGGCTGGGACCACTGCTCTGTATTTTTTAAAATCTCCTCAGGTGACTCTAATGTGCAGCTAGAGTCCATGAATTACTACCCTAGTAAGAAGTTTACTATGTGACAAAGGCCACCTATTTCACAGAGTTGGATACTGGCCTTTAGAAGCTGATATTCAATATAAATAAACAATCAAGGACCATCAGAAATTTGAGAAAGGCCTTCAACATGAAAGAGAAAAGCTAAGACAAACAACATGAAACAAACAAAACAAAATAATGGTTGATAGTACCCATAGAGAGATTCCCAGAATTATTGTATTCAAACACAAGAATATCATACAAGAAAAACATAAAATCAGATAATAAAAAGTAGCTTTTAAAAATCAATATAGGATCCTTGGCAGGGGAGGGCTAGTTCCTATCATTTACAATACGGCACATTTAAGGTACTGCAAAGAAATCTGTTGCAGAAACATAGGGGAAAAGAGGAAAAATCAGCACAGCCTTTGTCTTTTAATCTTAATATAGAAAAATCTGCATTGCCTAAAAAGATTAAACATGCAAGTAACAAAATGCATCCTAGTTTTGACATTATGCCCTTCTCAAATCTACTATGTGTGAAGAAGCTTGGTTATTCTAGGCTCCCACAGTCCATATAGTAGCCACCAGCCACATGTAGCTTTTGAGCACCTGAAATGTAGCTAGTCTAAATTGAGATGTTCAGTAAGTGTAAAATACACTCACAGGTTTGAATATTTGGTATAAGGATATGTAAAATATCCAATGAATTTTCTATAGTGATTGAAATGACAATATTTTTGATATATTAGGTTAAATAAAATGAATTATTAAAATTGAAAAAATAGTTATAGGAAATAGACTGAGTGCAGTGGCTTATACCTGTAATGCCAGCTACTAGGGAGGATGAGGTGGGAGGAACACTTGGGCCTAGGAGTTTGAGACCAGCCTGGGCAGCACAGCAAAACCAGATCTCTAAAAACAACTTAATAGGAAACATTACTAAAATTAAAAGTATTCAATAAAAGAAGGAAAAGATAATGTGGAAAATATCTTCCAAAAATGATAATAAAACAATAATTTATGAAAAATATGGGAGAAAATATAGAAAGAAATAAAGAGCCAACTATGGGATTCTAACATCTGGTGAAGAGAAGTTCCTGGAAAGCAGAAAAGAGAATTCAGAGGAGGGGACATTATCAAATAAAATTGTTTATATTGACTGAAATGATAATATTTCAGATATATTGAGTTAAATACAATGTATTGTTTTATTTAATGTAAACATAAAACAAGAAAATTCTCAGAGTTGAAAGACACAAGCTTTCAGGTTAAATGAGTCCCTGTGTCTTCAGGCCACTGGGAATAAAAATATCCTCCCAGACATTTGTGATAGAAATATCATAATCTTTAAGATAAAAAGAAGTTACTCAAATTGTTAAGGGATGAACAACAAAAAACAAGGAAACAATTATACACACAAAAACAGATAACTTAGAAAAGGACACAAAAGCAGAATAGCATTAGACTTTTTATCATGAGTACTGAATGGTAAAAGAAAATACTATCAAAATCTTGTGGGAAAGTGATTTTCAGCCCAGCCAAATGAAGTTTAGGGCCAGCATAAATACATTTTGGTACATGTGCATTAAAAAAATATTTTCATATATTATTTCTTTGGGAGTCACTTAAGGATGTTCATCAGCAAAATGAAGTAAACCAAGGGGAAAGATGTGATCCTCAAGAAAAAGAAAATGGACCAACCTAAAAAATTAGTGAAAAGAGATCTCAGTTGCATTACTCTAGAAAACAGAAGTCCAGATTACAATAGAAAGATAAAGGGATTCAGGAAGAATGTTTCTGGCAGGACAGGTGAACCCTAAAATAATTTTTTGATTAGATGAAGATATTGAAAAAAAATTGAAAGTCAGTAAACTGACTTGAAAACTATGACCATATAGTGAGACAAAGCAATGAAATGTACCCAGAATTCAACTGGATCTATCCTTGAGAGTTATGTAGTCCTATAATAGGGTGTACATAAAAAGAATGTAGGTTTCCATTGAGTTTACAAGTCTTTTCACTCAGATAAAATTTACATACCTTACAAGCCAGAGATGCAATATCCAAACAATCAATTTGACTGGAGTTGTAGATCTATTAATATATGTCTCAATTGAAGAATTCGATATATAATAGAGCTACCTAACTCTTTTAATGGTATAAATACTGTTCAGTGTTTTGCATCAGTATTCCCAACTGGCACCCCAGCCAAAGTCTGATGATTTTATGTAACCTCAAGCATAAGAAGGCAATCCCAAAAGTTCCTGGAGATAATATAATAGCTTGATAAGTGAACTGTAAGAATATTTACCATGAATGTCTACAGCTCTGTATCTTATTGCCAGGTAAAATGTGTAGCTAAAAATAGCCTTAGTTACCTGAGAAGTTGTTTCCTAAGAAGATGAGTGTAATTTAACCATGGGAACATAAATGATTAAGTATAGAATTGATTAAAAAAAAGTCTTTTTAAAATTTTATTTAAAAAATTTTATTTTTAAACTGACAGATTAAATTGTATGTATTTATCATGTACAACAGGGTGTTTTGAAGCACAGACATACCCTGAAGACATTGCAGGTATGGTTCCAGAGCACCACAATAAAGTGACTACTGCAATAGAGCAAGTCACACAGTATTTTTTATTTTGCTGGGCATATAAAAGGTATGTTTACATTATATTACAGTCCATGAGGTGTGCAATAGCATTATGTCTAAAAAACAGTGTACATACCTTAATTTGAAAATACCTACTGCTAAAAAATACTAATAGTTACCTGAACCTTCAGCGAGTCATAATCTTTATCCTGGAGGAAGGTCTTGCTGATGTTGATGGCTGCTGACTGATTAGGGTGGTGGTTGCTGAAGGTTGGGGTGGCTGTGACCATTTCTTAAAATAACAGTGAAGTTTGTCATACCCATTGACTCTTCCTTTCACAAAAGATTTCTCTGAAGTATGCAATGCTGTTTGATAGCATTTTACCCACAATAGGCCTTTTTTTCTAAATTGGAATCAGTCCTCTCAAACCCTGCCACTGGTTTATAACTAAGTTTACTGAGTATTCTAAATTCTTCTTTGTCATTTCAACCATATTCATAGAATCTTCACCAAAAGTGGATACCATCTCAAGAAACCACTTTATTTGCTCCTCCATAAGAAGCAACTTGTTATCTGTTGAAGTATTATCATGATATTGTAGCAATTTAGTCATCTCTTCAGGCTCCACTTCTAATTCTAGTTCTGTTGGTATTTCCACATCTATAGTTACTTCCTCCACTGAAGTCTTGAACCCCTCAGTCATCTCTGAGGGTTGGAATAAACTTTTTCCAAACTCTTGTTAATGTTGATATTTTCACTTCCTCCCATGAAATACAAGTGTTCTTAGTGGCATCTAGAGTGGTGAATCCTTTCCAGGTTTTCAATTTACTTGCCCAGATCCATCAGAGGAATAGCTATGTATGGCAGCTATAGACTTACAAAATGTATTTTTTAAATAATAAGACTTGAAAGTGGAAAGTAATTACTCTTGACCCACAGGCTGCAGAATGGATGTTGTGTTAGCAGGCATAAAAGCAATATTCATTTCCTTGTACATCTCCATCAGAGCTCTTGGGTGACCAGTTGCATTGTCAATGAGCAGTAGCGTTTTGAAAGGAATCTTTTTTTTCTAAACAGTAGATCTCAACAGTCATGTTAAAATATTCAATAAACCACGCTGTAAACAGATGTGTTGCCATGCCTTGTGGTTCCATTTGTAGAGCACAGGCAGAGTAGCTTTAGTATAATTGTTAAGGGCCCTAGGATTTTCAGAATGGTAAATGAGCATTGACTTCAACTTAAAATTACTAGCTTCATTAGTCCTAAGAAAAAAGTCAGCCTGTCCTTAGAAGCTCTGGAAGTAGGCATTGACTTCTACTCTCTAGCCATGAAAGTCCTAGATGGCATCTTCTTCCAGTAGAAGGCTATTCCCTCTACATTGAAAATCTGTTGTTTACTCTTGCTACTGTCATAAATGATTTTAGTTAGATCTTCTGGTTAATTTGCTGCAGTTCATACATCAGTGCTTACTGCTTCACCATGCACTGTTATGTCATAGAGATGGCTTCTTACCTCATGAACCAACCTCTGCTAGCTTTAAACTCTTCTCCTGCAGTTTTCTGACCTCTCTCAACCTTCACAGAATTGAAAAGAGTTAGGACCTTGCTCTGAATTAGGCTTTGGCTTAAGGGAATATTGTGGCTGGCTTGATCTTCTATCCATACCACTAAAACTTTCTCCATATCAGCAATAAGGTTGTTTTGCTCCTTTTTTTTTTTTAAGATAGGGATTTGTTCTGTTGCCCAGGCTGCAGTGCAGTGATAGGAGCATGGCTTGCTGTGGCTTTGGCCTCCTGTGCTCAAGCAATCCTCCTGCCTCAGCCTCCCAAGTAGCTGGGACCCACAGGTGCACACCACCATCCTGGCTAATTTAAGAAAATTTTGTAGATACAGGATCTCACCATGTTGCCCAGGCTGATCTAGACCACCTGGGCTCAAGCTATCCACCTACCCCAGCCTCCCAGAGTGTTGCAATTACAGGCATGAGCCATCATGCCCAGCCTGTTTTGTCTTCTTATCATTCATGTGTCCACTGGAATTGCACTTTTAATTTTCTTCGAGACCTTTTTCTTTGCATTCACAACTTGGCTAACTGGTAGAAGAGGCCTAGCTTTTGACCAGTCTTGGCTTTGATATGCCTTCCTCACTTAATGCTTAATCATTTCTAGCTTTTGACTTAAAGTGAGAAACATACAGTTCTTCCTTTAACTTGAACACTTAAAGGCTATTATAGGGTTATTACTTGGCCTAATTTCAATATTGTTGTGTCTCAGGGAACAGGGAAGCCCAAGGAGAATGGGTTGGTGGAGCAGTCAAAACACATACAATAATTATCGATTAAGTTCACTGTCTCACATGGGCCTGGCTCATTGAACCCCAAAACAACTTCAATAGTAACATCAAAGATAACTAATCACAGATTGTCATATAGATAATGACAGATTATTACTATATTTGTTACTAGGCTAACAGATATAGTAATAATTTAAAAATTCAAAATGTTGTGAAACATTACCAAAATGTGACAGAGAAGCAAAGTGAACACATGCTGTGGGGAAAATGGTGCTGATAGCCTTGATCAATGCAGGGTTACCACAGATCTTCAATTTGTAAAAAACTCAGTATCTGCAAAGCACAATAAAATGAGGACTGCCTCTCTCTCTCTCTCTCTGTCTCTCTCTCCCTCCCTCCTTCCCTCTCTCTCTCTATAGATAGATAGATAGATAGATAGATAGATAGATATGGATATATATATTACACACATACATATATATGTATATACACATACACACATTGTATATATACACACACATATATATGTATATACACATACACACATGGTAGAATGGTGAAAACTAGCTAATTAACAAATGCATTCCCTCACATCATTACCATTTTTGTGGTGAGAACACAACATCCACTCTCCTTGTGTAAAGTAAGGTCTTAACTGAAAATATAATTGTCTTTTGTGGGAAAGCATCAGAAAAGAATGAAGACTCAGAGCATTACTTTGTTTTTTGCATTGAGGAATTCACGCACATTTAGAGTTCTATCTGCTTGTAAGAGTGACAATGGTGGGACACTAATTTGAAATTTATAGTAGAGTAATTGAATTAGACTGATTTTTTTTTTTAAGAGAAGAGATCTCACTCTGTCACCCAGGGCTAGAGTGCAGTGGTGCAATCATAGCTCACTGCCATCTAGAACTCTTGGGCTCAAGTGTCTTTCCTGCCTTAGCCTCCTGAATAGCTAGGACTACAGGTGCATGCCACCATGCCCAGCCTAGACTGATTTTTTTTCTTTTTGGTGACAGAGTCTCACTCTGTTGCCCAGGCTGGAGTGCAGTGGCATGATCTTGGCTCACTGCAACATCTACCTGCTGGGTTCAAGCGATTCTCGTGCCTCAGCTTTCCGAGTATCTGGGACTAAAAGGGAGCACCACCATGCCTGGCTAAGTTTTTTTTTTTTTTTTTTTTTTTTGTATTTTTAGTAGAGACAGGGCTTTGCCAAGTTGCTCAGGCTGGTCTCAAACTCCTAAGCTCAGACAATCCGCCCACCTTGGCCTAGCATTACAGGCTAGCATTACAGGCTTGAGCCACCGTGCCCGGCCTAGACTGATTTCAAAATGAAATCTTACAAGTTTATGTACACTATTGGAATATTTAAGAAAACTCAAAATTCACCATATTTATGAACTTTATTTATTAGATTTATTAAAATGGCTTAGTAGTTGAAACTATTTTATTTTGCAGTAAATAACTGATAATATTGCATTTACAATAAAATTGAAATATTCAAAGGTTTATCTAAATTTGTAAATGGAACAAACATTATTCAAAAGTAAGGTTAAAAGTCATTGTGTAAATATGCTAGACTTGTAAATAGAAATTCAGATTTGTAATTTAAAAGCCTAAGGAAAAATTAAGTTTATGAATTTTAACTTCAATTAGCTATAGTGTATCAATTATATACTTACTTTTAAAAATAAAATAAACCTCTGAATACACTTTTCTGTGAAAAAGAATAAATGCTCTCAAGGGCATCAGAAATCTCACATTATAAACGAAGATATTTTTCTTAAATTGAGAACAAACAATAAGGCAATGTAATTCTAGGGGAAAGCCAAAAAAGAAAAGAAAAAAAATGTTATCTTAATGATTGTTCTGCATTGGAAAATATGCATATGGGTCATAAGTCTATACACTTTTTTTGTGGTTTTTAACTCCTAGAACAAAGTATTGACAGAACATAGGAGACTTGATTATGGTTACAGAACAGAATACATGTTATTAATCTTGGCACTACAGAATTAGGGGTAAAGATGAGAGAAGTTAAGAAGGATGACAAGTTAAGAGGCAAAGGTGGGGTGGAAGAGGTGACAAGGAGAATAGGAAGGCCAGTAGCTCAATATTATTAAATGGCAAATAAAAAAATCTCTATGTATAGGTGATACAAGAGGAATCCAGGTAGTATGCAAAGGTAGCCAGTGAAGAAAGAAGAAAAGCTAATAGAATTGGCAAGGTGAGGGAAGAGGAGGCAGATGATTGTGGAGTGCAGTAAATCTTCATCAATCATAGCAGGAAGTTAATACAAAATATTAGGAATTAAGCATTGATAAAACAAAGAGCTCATGAAGTATATTAAAAATGCTTAATAATAAAATATTCATATTAATAAAATATCGATGCATATAATATATATTTATATTAGTATTGCACATAATATAAAATATTAATGCCTGTTAATAAATATGCATATTAAGAAAATATAAATAAACAAACATTTGTAAATACACTATAGAGACAATGAAACTGGAACAAATAGCTAGGAAATGAGCCTGGTGAAAGAAAGGGATGGCCTGGGGAATGTTGCCTGTAACCAGCATGTACATTTATTACTTTGGTAAACAAATGTTAAAAGTTGTTATTGACAAAGAAATGTGATAGGAAAATATTTTCTAATTATACCCCTTTCTCATTATACCTTAAAGCCCTCTTTGTACCTATCTTACAAAATTTTCTTGGTATAAAGGGATATTGGATTGTTTAACTTTTTACATGTTTATATACAGAGCTTAGAAAGACAGTGAACATTTAAGTAGGTATAAGAAGAGAAAGGAGGTTTTTTTAAATTGTTGTTATTATGATTGAGATGATTAGGAAAATATGTAGCCACTCTGATTATATATAGGTAACAGGGACAAGCCATGGCCTGCCATGATGAGTAATAGCAGCAGAAATTGAAGGATGGAAGCCTAGTCCACATGTACTCATGTATCCCATTATTGGAGTGTAAAGAAATACTAAAGTCTCAGCAAGAATTCTTAGTTATGCTGTTAGATCATATGTGTTCCTTCTAAAGAAATATTTAAAATTGGAAAATTAGAAGTGTTCATAGACAACATACCTTGGGGACTCCTTCATTGGCAGCAAATAAGACAACACATTAACAAATCTTTTAAGCTTTTATAGTTAAGACAACAAACTGAAAGTTTGCTTTGACTTCGAAGGATTCTTAAAATAAAATCCATGTTCTGTGTTTCTGTTTGTATCTGTTATAAAATTTGTCAAGGCAGCCCATTTTTTAAGGAGAGAAAAAATTACTATTTCTTTTTATTTTTTGGAGGAGGGTTACTTTTATTCTATGGTTGAGAGAAGAAAAGATAAAAATGATAGTTCTATATTCCATTTGGTACACTGTCTTCCAATTCACAAAAGAAATGGGCAAGTTAATGGATGCTGGGGAGCACAGGTTTTTCTATACTTCCTGTGGGCTGACTCTGCCTTCAGTCCTTGGGTAATTTTAACTAACCTAGCAAAATTATATTGTCCTTTCTAATATCAGCTCTCAGTCTCAGCCTGTAGATTTAGCATATTTAAAGTGATGTCTTCACTGAGAGTGAAGAGAGGCTGCTTTTATCTGATACCCAAATTACCCTGTGAAATGTGGTGATTCTAACCACACTCATATATCCTTCATCTTTCTAGCCTCATTTATGATTTGGACAAATTTAACTTTTGGAAGCTCTCCTCAAACGGCTCTGGGGTAGGTAGATGCAGCTATGACCTCACATGGCTAGTCATTTCTCTCCCAGCGTTTCTTTTCACTCAAGAAATATTTTTAACCCCTATAATGTGAGAGGTACTAGGGATATTGTAAGTGGACAGATAGTGTCCTTACCTTGATGGGGCTTATATTTTAGTGGGGAGACAGTAAACAAACAAGCAATAAATAAATGAATAAACACATGGAACAAAAATAATTACAGATTGTGATAAATACTTTTGAGGAAATAAAAAAGTGTGATGGTTCAGTGCTTAAGGAAGGCTTTTTTGAGGATATTTTGGTTAGTACACAAAAGGTCAAGAGCAGACTGACATGTAAAGAGTTAGATGAGTAGTGTTCTAGACAGAGAAGACAGCAGGTGCAAGGGTCCTGTGGCCAATGAGCCACTAGTTCACAGTGAACAAGGGAATCGTCATACACAATGTGATTGGAACGGTCAGCAAGAGCTAGATTATTTGGAGTCTTAGGCCACAATATGGAGTTGGGGCATGACTTTAGGCATCATGAGAGACATTGAAGAACCACTGTAGAGGTACATTAGTGCCTCTCTCCTCCTGCTCCCTCCTGCACCCTCCTGCCCTATGGTGTGCTTTTCCTTCTAACACCCAGCTTTTAACCCCTAACTGCTGCCAGGCTGCTGGAGCAAATTTGCTGTTAAACAGAGACCTGGAAGTAAGTGCCTGAGAATGTATGCCTCGCCCATCCCACAGCGCCAGACCCAGGACTGCCAAATAAGGGGTCATGAAAGCCTGGCCCTTGCTTTAGGTCCAACTAGGACTATTCTGAGTAGAGGAATAGCTAATATTCCAGAGATCGCTGTGGGATTAGGTAGAAGCCACACTCTTCAGGACTGTGCCTGAGATCTCACCCTTGCTTGACTTCGTCCCCTTCCCTGCTTGCTTCCCCCACTCTCACCTGGGAACATTTCCCTAACAAACTTCTTGTATGTGAATCCTGGCAGACAGTCTGCTTCTGATGCATTCAGCCACAGGCAATCACTCTGCTGTTATTTAGAGATCATTTAAATCCCACTTCAGCCCCTCATTAGCTGTGTGTCCTTAGACAAATTACTTAACCTCTCCATGTCTCAGTTTCTCTCACAAATTATTCAATAAAGTCATTCAATGAATATTTGCTGAATGGCTACTATGTGCTAGACACTGTGCTAACAGTACAAATTCAAGTGAGCCAAACAGACAAATCCCAGTACTTGTGAAGCTCCCATTCTAGAGTGGGAAACAAAATGAAACAATAACCAAAATATAATAAATAGGTTCATCAACAAACAGGTAATATAGTACTCAAGATGATGATAATTGCTAGGGAGAACATAGAGCAAAGTAGAGAGAACAGGGAATACCATGGAGGTGGGGATGAGTGTTCTAATTTTCAAAATGATGGTCTCTTTGGGAAGATGTCACTGAGGCAGAGGAAGCAGCTAGCACAGAGATTCTGGGGGCAGAGGGGCATGCCTGCTGTGTTTGAAGGACAACAATAGGGAGGCTTGGGAGGTTGGAGTGAAGCGGGAAAAGGAAATGCAGTAGCAGGTGAGGTCATGGTGGGGAACAGAGAGTCAGATCCTGGACCATCTGATAGGTTGTGTGAAAGACTTTGGCTTTTAGTCTCAGAGAGGCTGGGTACAGAGCAGTGACTTAATCTGATTTAGGGTTTTAAACAGTTACACTGGCTGCTATGTTGTCAACGACTGGGCCTATGTGGGACAAGAGTGCATAGGAATTAAAAGTAGAATCTGCATTAAAGGGTTGAGAGGATGAAGTCAGTTAGCACAAACAAGTATTCAAGTAATCTTAGCTATTATCACTCCTTAGTGCTATCTTTAGTAGCAACTGCAGTGATTTTACTGAAAACTCCTTCTGCCTAATGTCCCTTTGATGGAGATCTGAGCTTTTACTCACTGTTTTCCAGAAAAAAATGCAAATTAATTTGGGGCCTGGCAAAGAGAAGAAAATTTCCCCTGGTCCTTGGCTCAAGACTACATTTAATGGAGTGGATTAGTTTACCAGATCTTGATAGTGGGTATATGTTCTACTTTGAGATCACTGGGAAGAAAGAGTGACTTAGAGTCTAGGTTAAAAAGGAAAGATGGGGTGCATTATAGGCAAACTTTGCTTATTTCATAATTTCCTAGGGAAAGTTCAGTTTGAACAATCCAATGATTAAATTAAATCATACTTAGAACAAAAAACAAATTACTTGGAAAAAGGACGGAAGACCCTTTACCTCTTAGATTTAGCATTTCCTGTTGGGTTCTAAAGTCATAATTTTAAAAAGGGGAGTTTGGAGAAAAGTCAGGCATTTACTGAAAGTATGAAGATCTTTATTTCCCTTCTAAAATGTAGGGTTAAGTGTTGGGTCAGGTGTTTCTGTACTATAACATTTCATTAATTTACTGGAAGAGTTCACCCTCTTTGAAGAGCAGATGCTGCCAATATTTGGCCAAGCATCAAAGCACAGACACAAATGCTGCAGGTGTTCATAGATGATAGAGAAATCACTGTTACACTGATTAGGCCCCCGACATTGGGTCCATGGACAGCAGTATTTAAGTGAGACCTCAAAGAAAGAAACTGGATGTGTAGAGAGTGAAGGATAAGTCACTCCATATGATAGGAGAAGCACAGGAAAAGGAGAGGTGGGAATAGGGGCACCTATGTGAAGGATGACAAAGCACCATGTTGAGACTATGAAAAGTATCGTTGGATAGATAGCTGGAAACCAACTAGAAATAGGAGGTAAGAGTGTTTATAGAAATACCACATTTGTTTTTCACTGTTAGAATTTCAGATTAAAGAAGCATCAGTGAGCACTTTCTGGCCTTAGATTTTAAGCTTTGCTTAGTAGACATGGTCTGAGGGCTAAGCCTATTAAAATTTATGACAATAAACTCAAAATAAAATTAAAAGAGGTAGATGAGATTTAAAATCACTTCAAGAGGCAGTGTGTCTGGAAAGCAGTATGTGATGGGTGCCATGACAACCTGAAGGTTTATAAAGCATATTCTTGTATTTTGTTTATTTATTCTTTTTAAAATATTTTCTCAGTTTTCCATTTATTCTGAAACTCAACATTTAAAATGTGGAATCCTTAGAGACAGAAAATAAGGGTTGATAATTCTTTGTCACCATCAAAATTCATGTGAATGATCTTGAGACTGAACAGGAAATAAATCCCCTTTATATATCTTTCACTTAAAAATGTTTTCTAAAATTCCCTTTCCGTATTTTTTTTCAGATAACAAATGGTTTCTGAAATATTTATGAGAAAGGCCAGTTATAATTAATGGCAGTACACTCTGCTACAACATCAATTTATTGCATTCCTAGTGACATGAAGTCCAATTAACATCCCTGAGGGGTTCAATAAGTGTCTGCTACACTTTGTCATTTAATGACAAGATGAAAATATATGATTTTTCCATAATCTCTCTTGGAGCAAAAGCAGAACCCTAGTATTCTATGAAAAATGTGCATTCTGTGGCTGTGTTTGCTTTATTCAACACTGTACTTCCAGGACTTTGTATGCAGAGGGCTTTTGACAAATACATGTTGAATTAGTGAATAGATAAACACACCGATGTTTATCTATTGATGAATGAAAGGATGAACGAATGAATTTCCTGTTAATTCTCTCTCTTCTACTTTGATCTGACTAGATAGTTTATTTAGAACATCAAGTTGTATTCATTGCCTTCTAACCACAGAACTTTCCTAACATCTTTTCTTCTTTTTCATCTGCTGTTTCCAAGTTTTCTGGAATGCTTGATCTTTATGGACATTCCAGAAATCTTCTCAATGTTTCTTGTACCTCATAGCCATGTATGAAAACTGATCACATTTTCAGCATTTTCAGAGCAGGAGGTTTGCCTTCACCCCAGATGTAGATTATATTATAAAAGTTTGTACTATTTGCTAGAAAGAACTAAATCAGTTCAAAACAATTATTAATATGTCAGACACACCTAAATCAAGAATTACTGCCGCTGAAAATATTTTAATTACTTCAAGATACTCTAGGATCTTTCTTTCCTTCTCCTCTTCCATCTCCTCCTCTCCCCTTTTCTTCTTCTCTCTTCCTCTTCCTCAATCTCCCACTTCTTGTTTAATCAGTTAACTACCAATACATAGCCTTTATCTTGTCATTTGATCTGATAGCTTTAATTTTAGAATGTGAATATTTGCCTCCAAAACACTTGTCTGAATGGAAAAAAAATCTCTTAACAATGGGATTTTCTAAAATTTAATCAGCACACCATATTGTTTCAGCACTCTCTTCTGCATATTAACATGATATGATATCTCATGCTGTTAGCATCTTGTGAATTTTATTTTCCTGAGTTAAGTGACTGGCTCTTTGGGAACAATTTCTTACCACATCATTTTTCATACCCAGAAAAACCATGACTCAATAGCCTCTTGGACATCATCTTGCCAAACAACGTTAAAGTAGTGAGGAATGATTTGGTAATTTTTATAGCATTTATTTTTTCACTTTATGTCATTTTCAATGTTTTCACTTTATGTCACTTTATGTCTACTCCCTAGAAGTAGAAAAGTTGTAAGGTATATTCTGTCTTCACTTTCTTCTCTTCTTTTCCCTATTATCTTCTATTGCTTTTAGGACCTTATTGCTTTCTCTCTCCCTCACTGTCTTCCTTTGTATCATAGAACATTGAATATGTTACTTACTGGGTGGAGAAGAGAAGCTTCACATCTGTATTTGTGAATACTGATTGTGGAGGAAAGAAAGGGGCAAGGGAGGCCAACTCTCAAACCAACCTACTGCCTAATTCCAGAGTGGATTTTATGCAAAGCTAGAATAGGAGGCATCCTATGTAGTATGGCTTGAGAGCTCTGAAAAACTGACTTCCGCCCCAGCCTTAGCTTTCTCAAGCGAGCTTTATTGACACAATTGAATGGAGTCACTGCTTTGTGTTTCAGGGACACAAGATCAGTTGTGGCTGCCCTCTCATATAATCTAAGAGTAAAGATTGACATGCTTAAAAATTTTATAATGTAAGATAGAAAAATGTTATTTTAAAGTGCTCTAATAGAGATAACAAACGAAGACAGGTCACCCAGGGTAACCAGGGAAGGTCATATGGAGGTTCAAGAATTCTCTTTTAGGATGCAACTTTCCTACCGGAGTAATTTACTAGAGCGTTATTTGCCACTAACAAGTTATCCTTCATTAATGTATTAGTTACTTAGCTTTCTGGAACAGCAGAGAATAAGCCACTAAGGGAGTGGTTCTAAAGACAGAAAAGTTTGACAGTGGGGATGGGGAAAGGAAAGGTGTTGCTGGAGGAATTGGCAAGGGAGCAAATGAGTCAGAATTTAGGATGGTACTGTGGAGGGAAGACCTGGGGAGATCAAGGGAATCATGTGGGAGTTGGAGAGGAGAAGAGAAGGCAGGAGATGGAAGAGAGTGGTGAGAAACAGGATGTGAAAACATTTGGGAACAGGAGTTCTGTTGAGGTTATTATTTCTTCACTAAAGAACTAAATGTTAAGTGAACATGTGTGAATAAATGTTGAGTAGCTAGGTCTAGACCTGATTCTCCTGGAAGAAGAGCAAATGAATGTACCTTTGCCTTTTTATATAATCTCTAGAAATTATTTAGTCTTCTCCCTCATCCATCCCACAGGAAGCAGGCAACCATAAATATGCTTGAGACATTTTAAGGGGATCTAAGTGTTGTTTTCAAGTTATATGGTGCTCTCAATAATTTTTGGAGTCATTTTTAAAATGTCTTGATAGTCTTTTGATTTTTTAAATTAATTAATGGTATTTGAACAGATGTGAAACATTTTCTTATAGATAATATTCTACCTGCTTTAAAAACATAAGATCTGTAAAATTCAAGTGGGTCTGGCAAGTTGTTCCTATCATAAAAGGAACTACTATTGCTCCTGTTGAGACAGAATACCAAGTTGTTTGAACTTTTGGTGTGATTGAGTATTGGGCTTCTTGAAGTCTTACAATAAAATATGAAATTTGCTATTTTCCTGTTTTTGGTTTTTCTCTTTCTCTAGGTAGTATGCATATATTTATGCAAAAACACACTCCCAATTTTTAATTCTGTTATATCTGACTGGGCACAGTTACTTGTGTCACCAATTACAAGGATATGCTAAAACTTAAAATTATCTCCTATGGCTAATAACTCATTTTGGACCAGTTTCTATTAATATGGATTTGAAGAGAATATGAATATGTTGATAATATCTTGGAATGTAATAAGTTATGCACCGGGAAGTAATTTCAATCTATATTTAGACCAACATTTTGAAAAGTGTGGAGGAGAGGAAATCACTGTGGGGAGGAGAGAGAACCTTTTTTTTTCTTTTTCAAAAGCATGTGGGTTGATATATTTTTATCTTTTTCTTGTCTGTAACAGTGTAGGCTTAGTGAATGTCAATGAAAGAAACAACACATCACATATTCCTATCTGTGAGTAAAAATAATAGATAGAAGGTTTATTTTGTGAAGTCAGGGGCATAAATAAATGTGCATGGTATTGATTTACCACCGTATGATCTAGAAATTATATTAAAAACACATTCACTGCTTAATATAATTATTGGCAACAATTGTTATGGCTAATATTTCATGTCTATCACTACATATATGGAAGACATAATGTTACATGTTATAAGAGGCATTTGCCATTCTTTCTGGACATTCAATATTTTGAGCACCCTTCTTATATTTGGTGAATTACAATTCCATTGAGCTTGTACCTCCCATTATAGAAATATAAATCTCTTTCTCATCTTCCATTTCATTAGAGTGCAGAAATTTAACCATTTGACTTAGGCTCTGTCATTGGAAACTAGTGATGAGAGAAACAGGTGCAGCGCCAAATCTGATCCATTCTGGTGTGCATGACAGCAGATTATTTTGCCTCTGCAATTTCTGGGGTAGTGGTAGCAGAGGTTTCAGTGGTAATACCCAAGTGTACAGTGTTGGTATTTTTGTTGGTGTCTCTGCTCAATTGGGATAGAAGTATTACCTTTGCATTAAAGGGGAAACATGATGTAGTGATTAAAGGTGTTGGACTTTGGAGACAAACATTTTCCTGGGTTTGAGTCTCAGATTTACCACTTACTAGCTGTATTGATTTGGGGCCAGAGACTTAATCTCTCTTTGGCTCAGTTTCATTGTATATGAATTGGGAATAATAATAGTAGCTACTACCTTGAGTTATCATGACTGAATCCATTAATATATGTAACGTGCTGATCTGGTTTGGTGTGTCCCCACCCAAATCTCATTTTGAATTATAGCTCCCATAATTCCCACGTGTTGTGGGAAGGACCCAGTGGAAGAAAATTGAATCATGGGGGCGGTTCCCCCTACTGTTCTTGTAGTGAATAAGTCTCACGAGATCTGATGATTTTATAAGGGGTTTCTCCTTTCGCTTGTCTCTTATTTTCTCTCTTGTCTGCTGCCACGTAAGACCTGCCTTTCACCTTCCACCATGATTGTGAAGCCTCCCCAGTCACGTGGAACTGTGAGTCCATTAAATCTTTTTTTCTTTATAAATTACCCAGTATCGAGTATGTGTTTATCAGCAGCATGAAAATGGACTACTACGCCTGCTTATGACACTGTCTGAATCACAGTAAACACTCCAGCAACAGGAGAAAAATTTCTCCAAGTAAGTATATTTTAAAGAATCAGTGGGCAAGAATAAGATTTATTTGTGTTTACACTCCTAGAACTATCCTATTCTATATACTAGCTATATCCAGAGTTCCTAACTTTGTGCTGAGGCACCCTGAGCCACAAGGACATAGAGGGACATTTTAAATTTGGTGAAAGGAACACAGTGAAACTTGTTATCTGTTAGAAACCTTGAGAACTACTAGCTAAAGGTAGTTCAGAGTTACATTAATTTGTGCTATTTTTTTTAAATGTTGTAGTTTTGCAAAACAAGATTTTTGGCAGTTTGATAAAAAACAAGCACTGTGTGGGAAATTAATATTTTAGGAATGAGAGTAGGAAATGAAAGTGGCATTTTCTAATCTGATACCAAGGTTTGAGAAGTTGTATAATACTCTGTAAGATGAACACATCCCATTAGTAAATGATTTTGTTTCTTCAAGGAGAAAATTAAAAGATTTTTTCTTTCAATAAAATGTATTTTTTTTCAAACAGGTAGTAACTTGTTAGTTCATAAATACTTATTAAGTTGTTTAAACTTAACTACTTAATCAACAGAACTACTATGTATTTCTTTTGGTCTAAGGGCACTACATAAAAATTACTATGATATTATGAACACTGTACACCAAGAAAGTTTGGAAACTTCTGAGTTATACACATTTTCAGCAACAAGCAGACTGGCACCCTGATCTATGGAACTAGGTAGATATTAAGGGCCAAGTAGAAATCATTAGAGTTCCTGCTTCCTATAAAAATGGAAAACCAAAAGCAGTATCACATTTCTAAAAGAATTGCGGAAATAGTCACTTGCCATAAAGACTTGGAAGAGAGAGGGATACTGATGTCCCTAATATCTCCATTTATCTCATTCATTTGGCCAGTAGAGAAGGCTAGCTATGAAGAATGATACCTTGAGTTTCAAGAGAATTCTATTTCTGTGAATATGACCACCACAGGACTACATTAAATTGAATTTCCAACTAGAAAATTTTTAACCAACATGAGCAGCATATATTCAAACAAAGATCCCTGCGAGGCTTGGCTTGATGTTATAAATTCTCAAAAAGTGAGTTTTCCCTCCTCCCAGTCCCATTGTTGAGACAGGAGAATTTCCTTGCTGTGCTAGATTGGTTCTTGTCAGCTTGGCACCACTATCATCAATCCCTTCTAAATTCTGAGTTAAAATTTAACAATGAGAGTAATTTAGAAAAGATTTGGATGAGGAGATAAAGTGGAAGTTATTATGAGACAGTTGTGAGATGATTAGATGTTGCAGCTTGATCAGTTACTTTGGCTTCCGCAGACATTGAAGATTCCTCAGAGTTCACATATCACAGCTGTGGAGTGTGTTACAAACATTTTCCAGAGCTCTAGCGTCCCAGTGGTTGTGGAATTTAGGCCTCTCCGTAAGTGCCCACCTTGCAGTTGTCTGTTGGTGGATGCATGCGGCTTCTTGGACTTCCCCATCATCTCTGGCTTTTCTGCCAATGCCAGTATTCCAGGCTACAGTGATTAGTAACTGTTTCTCTCATCTAAATTTTTTTCCCAGACCTTCATTTTTCTACCACCTCTTGCCTTCTTATAAGCCATAATTTCTGTTTTTGAAATTATTATTCCAGTAATACTAACACTGGCTCTACTTCACTGGCCAACAGAATTTCATGGAAATCTAGAATTGGTTCTCTGATCTGAGTAGACATAAAAACATTAATGACCCCATCGTCAGTGATAAATTGGGGTCTGGTAGTCTATGACATGCAGTGGCCAAATGGATACTTAAATGATCACTTGTGGTCACCTGGAGTCCAATGTTGATAGAAGATTAGGGTGATGAGGTACTTACTGCAATAGAGAGTTATAGTGGGAATAAAGAGTATAAGATTTCGCAGATCAGAGCTTAGGTAGAGAACTAGAAAGCTTTCATCACTGCCTTGAAAGAAACATTTATCTTGTGTACCACAGGGTATAGATTACACAGGTGGCTGAATTACAACACAAATTGGATCCACAGTCTCACAAGGAATTGCATTTTAAAGTTGGGGCATTATTTAGGAGAAAGAGGGGGACTTGAAGAGTGAGATGTAGACATCTGAGCCTATTTCAAATTCCTCTGAGCCTCCCTTCCCAGTAGAAACATGCTTCTCCCCTTGTCTGAGGAAGTTAACCTTTCTTGAAGAATATGTAATAAATTCTCCTAAAATTTTACAAGAAAGTACTGAGCCTTCTCAACTCTTCTTTCCTACCTCTTATAATTTCTAGACCTATAATAGCACTCAAATACAGATTCCAAGGAGGTAGGTTAAAAACACGATCTAAGAGAAGTACCATAAACACCAAAAATTGTAACATTTTGCCAATTTATATTGACAGAAATTTGGGGAATATATGTGGAAATAAACCCTAAAGTGTTAGATCAGGGTAGAAAGAATATTATGTTGGATTAGACTGAATTTATTGATGTGGGTGTGCCGGCCAGAGATTCTGATTTCACTACGTTAACTCAAGCAGCTGAGGGTGGCTCTAACAATTTGCTTGGTTGTATGACTGAAATCTGGACCCTCACATTTTATGAATTAAGTGAAGATGAAACTCCAGAATATCCTTGGTGTCTTGAAGAAAAAGGTGTGCAAAAGCTTAAGGAAATGAGAATGAAGTGAACTTATTAGGATGTACAATGCTCGGCTATTCCCTCTGTCTCCCAGGTGGGCACAGGGGATAACCATTCACTAAAGCTTTGGAAAATATATCACTGTAGAGACAACCAAGATCCCCGAAAGGCTTTATAATGATTGTTCTCTGCCACTGTGGTTTGCCAGTCAGAGTAGGGGCTTATGGAAGTCAGACGATTAAGGGAGTTTTGGCTTGGATCCATCTCACGGAGAGTTCATTGAGTCTGTAAATCCACCTCTTGGCTATTTTCCCAATTACAGAAGGCAGAGTTGAGATAGACATATTCAGTAATTAGCAAAATCCTCTTATTGGCCGATTGACCTGTGGAGTGAGGGCTATCACTGTAGGAAAAACCAACTGGAAGCCCCTAGAACTGCATCTCCATACCATAATAGTTAACCAAAGCGATTTCATATTTCTTTTTTTATATATATACTTTAAGTTCTAGGATACATGTGCAGAATGTGCAGGTTTGTTACATAGGTATACACGTACCAGGGTGGTTTGCTGCACTCATCAACCCATCATCTACATTAGGTATTTCTCATAATGCTATCCCTCCCCTAGATGCCCACCCGCGATTTCATATTTCTAGAAGGATTATAGAGGTGAGTGCTGTCATCAACAACTTGCAGCTATTCAAGCAATTATTCCACCCCATTCCCAGTAAATTCACATATTTGGCCTATAGAGAAGACAGATGGACTTAAAGAATGTGCATAGATTATTATACACATAATAAGGTAATGACTCCCATTGCAGCTGGTGCTCTACATGTGGTTTCTTGGAGAAAACCAGCACAGTTCCCAGCTCTTCCTGCTACTGTGTTAACAGGAACTCTCTGTATTATATTATAGCAGGGGAAATTTATTTGGATCAGGTAAGGGAAATAGAGTTGCTGATGTTCAATGAAGGCAGAGAAGAAAGGACAGAGTATGGAGGTAACTCAAGGACGCCATGGAATACCTCACAGTTCTTCCATGTGCTGTGGCAAATGTTAATGGATGACTCAAGCAGCTTCATTCAGACAGGACTACCACACACTCAGATCCCTCAGGAATGAAGTTCTGTGTCACCTCTTCAGGTGAAGACAACACCCAGCTGTGTTGTTGGCTTAAAGACAAAAATATGAAATGTGCATCATAAAAGAAAAATCATAAATATCAAACATAGCTGTTCCACTCAAAGAAAAATGAACTGCTGTGGCAAATATATGTATTTAAATATTTGGACTTATTTTCCTTTTTTACACTCTTTTTGACCCTATAATTTTGTGTAGAGTATGCTGATGACAATTTTTAAAATTTATAGGCTACATATTATTCAAGGTGGGATTGTGAAGTGAAGGAGGAATAAACATACCCCAGAGATCCTGGACATGGAGTTGGATACAATAATGAGTACAGTTGCTTGAAAGTTTATATAAGAGGGAATAATACATAAGAAGGTTAAGATGCCAAAACAATGGACTGTAATGGATATTTTTCATTCTCTTTGGCTTCTCCCTTGTTTATCCTTCTTATGTTTGGGGGAATTTCTACCTAATAAATAGACCTCTCACTACGGAAGTCAGAAATTCACTTTTCGAATTTCGCTGTGGCTAAGGGCAAATTTGTGATCCAGACTCTTTCAATTGGACACACCCATGCCAATCTTTGTAGCTGACTGTAAGAAACAAGTGCCATACAAAATTCATTCTGACTTGGTTGACAGGTGATATACCCAATTTCCAGAAGTAGCAGTGGCAGAGGTTTTAATGGCAACATCCTGTGCCTGGTGGTATTGATGTTGTCAGTGCAAACCACTGTGCCCATGCTAAGTGGGAATGGCAATGCTGTCTCCAAAATGCAATCTCCTACTGTTCTCCATCTGATTTAGAGCACTGGTTCTGGCTCTGTAGCCTCTAAGCTTGTTGCTCTGTTCCTCCCATAGCTCATACAGCTACTTAAAAACATTTAACGCATTATATTCCTGCTTAAATTAGTTAGAATTGGTTAATTTCTTATGACTAAGAATCTTATGATCAGGTGTTCTTCATGTAGCACTCTAATCTTGCTAACTACTGTGTAAGGTAAGCTTCATCATCTTCATTTTACAGGTGATAAGACAGAAATTAGATAACTTGCTCCAGATCACGATGCTTGTTATAAAGACTAAGAATTCAAACTCATGTTTATTTTTTATCATTTATATTTATTAATTTTCACTTATAATTGTGAAAATTTATCAATAGTTATTCAAATATAAACAGTAGTGAAAATGTCAGTATGTTAATAA